>NC_000016.10:54865530-55168560 GCF_000001405.40 Homo sapiens
GGTTTGAATTTTCTAGAAAAGTTCTGAGTGTATGTGTATATAATGTAGGCAAGCAATGCCTTGGCATTGAGTTTATAAACCATTTTGCCTTATTAAGTTCCAGGCACAAAAATATTGGGGAAAAGTCCTTGGAGTGAAATTATTCTCCATGAGTTCATTTTCACAATTATATCTCTGCAGGCAAGCAGATTTCTCAACCACACAGTAGCTAGGCTTCCCAAAGAACTGCTGTGTCCTCTGGGGCTATGATGATAACATTTTTGGAGGTCAAAGAAACCTCTGAGAATCTGTTTAAAGTATGACCAGAAAAACTTTCCGCACACAAAATTTCAGATTCAATATTGGGAGTTTTGCAGAACCCCTGAGATATCCATGGATTGTGTGAGGTCAAGGGCTCGAGCTAATAAGGATGATCTACCCTAGAGAATCTTGAAGGTAGAACAACACCAATTTTATGATTTCATACGCAGCTCTATTGCTGGGACTACTTGGGTTTTCACAGTCTGCCCGGGGGCTACTCCTGTGAAAGTCCTTCCTGACTCTCCCATATCCTACCCAGCTGAGCCTGGAGGCCTGCTTCCACAATCCCAAAGCCTGCCATGCTTGTGTCTATAAAGTGTAGTATCTTTTGTGGTGAGTTATAATTGTTCACTTGTTTGGTTTGCCATCAAGATGGTTAGCTCCTTCAGGGAAAGGCATTTATTTCATAGATCTTTATTTTCTCAACATTGGAAACATTAAAAATGACCAACGAATGAATGCTCAATGTAAATAATCAAATCTTTGTGAATAACCACATACAAACTTGGTATAACCCATTTTGTATTTTTAGTAGAGACAGGGTTTCACCATGTTATGTTGGCCAGGCTGGTCTTGAACTCCTGACCTCAAGTGATCCACCCACGCTGGGCTCCCAAAGTGCTAAGATTACAAACGTGAGCCACCATGTGCCCGGCCCCCGACCCCTGCCTACTTTTTTAACCAAAGTAGTTATGTGTAACTAGAATGATACCCTTCTTGGCCCTCTCTCTGGTCCTACCATATCACCAGTATGATACCTTCTTTTGGAGTCATGCAGAAGCTCTAGGGCCCATGTGGACATTACATGTGATTTCTCTAATCTGGGGTTCTCTTTTCTTTATTCCACTCAACCATCTAGTGAATTCCCTGGTCATATGGATCTAGCCCTTGAGTGTGGATGGGTGGCTCACATTAAACCATCTACTCCTTGGCAAAAGAAGAGTGGGTCATCTGGTCACTATCCTCCAAGAAGGGTAGCACTCTACTTACACATAACTACTTTGGTTAAAAAAGTAGGCAGGGGTGGGGAGCCGGGTGCACAGTGGCTCACACCTGTAATCCCAACACTTTGGGAGGCCAAGGTGGGTGGATCACTTGAGGTCAGGAGTTCAAGACCAGCCTGGCCAACATAACATGGTGAAACCCCGTCTCTACTAAAAATACAAAAATTAGCCAGGTGTGGTGGTGTGTACCTGTAATCCCAGCTAGTTGGGAGGCTGAAGCAGGAGACTTACTTGAACCCAGAAAACAGAGGTTGCAGTGAACCGAAATTGCGCCACTGCACTCCAGCCTGGGCAACAGAGTGAGACTCCATCTCAAACAAAACAACAAAAAAGAAAAAAGTGTGTTTGCGGGGGTGATAAATGTCATTTGGACATCCAGTAATCCAGCCACCAACGTGCTTCCTCTGACCATCACTTGCAGGCAGGTAAGGAGTAAGAAGGCAAAGAAAATTGCAGTGTAATGTCCCATACTCAAGGAATATTAAATGTTGCATTGTGGACTTTAGCCCTCCTGTATGTCCTAATCAAAGAAATAAGAGCGGAAAGGATAAAAGGGGCTTTGTAGTCATAGATCTGAGTGGGAGTTCTAGACCAGCATATATGGAATCATGACGAGTTCACTTGTTCCCTCTGGGGCTCAATGTGTTAGTCAGGAAAGGCTGCGCTATGCTTCAGTAACAAATAAGCCTCAAAATATTAGTGGTTGTATAAAACACAGGTTTCTTTTACTCACATGAAGTCCTCTGTGAATTGGGTGATTCACCAAGGTGGCTGCCCCCGATGTGATGACTCAGCAATGCATCCTGCCTCTCTTTAGTGACAATGCCAGCTCAAAACATGATGGAAAAGAGAGAATGTGGAGTACACATAACCACACTTTCATGCTGCATCTGGAAATGATGTGTGGCCATTTCATTTACCACTGGCTAGAGCTAGTCACATGGTCCCAAGCTAACTGCAAGGGTATTGAGGAGTGCAGTCTTCTTGTGCACCAAAGAAAAGCACAGTGGGACTTGCACAACACATAGAACTGTCTTTGCCACATTCAATGTCCTCATCTGTAAAGTGAGGATAACACCTACCTTACAGTTTTGCTGCAAGTATTAAACAAGAATGCACGTAAAGTGTGCAATGCATATAGCAGACAGTCAAGAAATGGTGTTTAGTTATTTTGACTGAAGCCAGTAACTCCCCATTTGTTGGGCTATTAGAGAGGCTTGTTACATTGCAGGGACACCAGGCCTTCTGGGAGTGAAGCACCACAATAGTGTGAGCTGGTGTGTCTACCAGCATGTCTATTTGTCTATTTGTCATAGGAGAAAGTCTTGGCCCTGGGATATGACACTCAAGACAGCCTCAGGGTGTCATTGGGAAGTGGGGACCAACTCAGAAGGGCCTGGCCCCACTCCCAAGACGTCACATCCCAATAAGATACCTGGTCAGAGGTATAACACTTTCCTTATGCCAGCAGCCAAGAAAAACCAGCAACTTCCAACAGCATTCCACATGAACAATAAACTCAACTTGACTTTGTTGATGATAATGATAATGGAAGTGTCTATCTTCCTTTTTAAACAGTATATCCCTCAAATTTGTTTTTCTATCATTTGTATAACCACCACATGATAAAGTTGCCCTTAGTTTGGTTAATTATGTTCAATCCATGTATAATGTGAGAGTCAGATGATATATTTTTTAATGTGATGTAATTAATCTTTAATTCTTGGGGTAAAGAGAAGGAAGATAAAGAATTAAGGATATTCCAGACCAGGTGCAGTGACTCATGCCTGTAATCCCATTACTTTGGGAGGCCAAGGCGGACACATCACTTGAGGTCAGGAGTTCGAGATCAGCCTGGCCAATGTGATGAAACCCCTTCTCTACTAAAAATACAAAAATTAGCCGGGCATGGTGGCATGTGCCTGTAATCCCAGCTACTCGGGAGGCTGAGGCAGGAGAATCTCTTGAACCTGGAAGATGGAGGTTGCAGTGGGCCAAGATCGTGCCACTGGATTCCAGCCTGGGTGACAGAGCAAGACTCTGTCTCAAAGAAAGAAAAAAAAAGAATTAGGTATATTACCTGGCAACTCTGGGAGTAGATAATATAATCATATTCCATTCACATTTCCTGGTTTCCTGGCTGCATTCTCCCTGTCACTTTATGCACTATGCTGGTAAATACAGTGCTCACTCACCCCACCATCCAATCACATTCATCCAGTTGAACTCTAGAGGCAGCCATGCACTACCTTTTAGAATGTGATGCTCTAGAAACTTATTATGTACCACCACTCCATTATACATTTTTTCAGTAACAGCAATGAAGAGGCATTGAAATACAAAACTGTTTTATGTTCATTTTATATCTTCCCAGAAGAGTTTCATTAACGACAAAAATACACCTTTTTAAGAGTTCTATATTTTCAATTGTGACCTACTACTAGGAATAATTTATAAGAAAAGGTAAAATTTTCCTTGTATCTTTATCAAAATGATTTAGTTTATCTGTTACACACTTTATTTTGATTATTTTCTCCAAAAAACCAACATTTGCAAAATAACAATCAAATATACAGTCATCTGTGTAACGAAAGGACAGATAAAACATTTTTGTTTTGTTTTTAAGATGGGAGTTTTGCTCTTGTCACTCAGGCTGGAGTGCAATGGTGCGATCTCGGCTTACTGCAACCTCTGCCTCCCGGATTCAAGTGATTGTCATGCCTCAGCCTCCAGGGTAGCTGGGACTACAGGCATGCGCCACTACACCTGGCTAATTTTTGTATTTTTTTTTTTTTTTTTTTTTGAGACGGAGTCTCGCTCTGTCGCCCAGGCTGGAGTGCAGTGGCGCGATCTCGGCTCACTGCAAGCTCCGCCTCCCAGGTTCACGCCATTCTCCTGCCTCAGCCTCCCGAGTAGCTGGGACTACAGGCGCCCGCTACCACGCCCGGCTAATTTTTTGTATTTTTTTAGTAGAGACGGGGTTTCACCGTGTTAGCCAGGATGGTCTCGATCTCCTGACCTCGTGATCCGCCCGCCTCGGCCTCCCAAAGTGCTGGGATTACAGGCGTGAGCCACCGCGCCCGGCCTAATTTTTGTATTTTTAGTAGAGATGGGGTTTCACCATGTTGGCCAGGCTAGTCATGAACTCCTCACCTCAGGTGATCCACCCGCCTTGGCCTCCCAAAGTGCTGGGATGACAGGCGTTAGCCACAGCGCCTGGCCCAAATAAAACATTTCTAATGTATCTTAATTCATTTCAGTTTACCTCAATTTGTTCATAAAAACAGATGAACAGGAGTACAAAAGGGTTTGTTTAGAAATTAAGCCATCTGCTGCCATTCAACATGGGCTCTGGTGGACCTGATTCTGCAACATTCCATTTGAAAACTGTTTTGTAGGGGATACTTATCATCTCTAATGTCTTTCAGGCCTGTCCAGAAAATTATTCAGCAGCTATAATAGCCGGTATATCACCTAACTCCAAGGAAACACACTGATATGCCCAGCATGTGTTAAAATCAGGTACTATTGGTCTGATTCCCAGTGCTGTGTCACATTCATGACATGCAGCCAATGAATTAAATCACTTTTGACATATTACACTGGCCTCTGACATGCTGCCAATGTAAAATGACATAACATACTGAAAATGATAATATTGAAAACGGATTAATAGATAGATTCAAATAACCAACATCTAATAACTCTTTCAAATGCAAAGAAGGAATGATAATCACTTTGTCCTATTTTGAAAATGCATTCTTCTCAGAATAAACATTATCATATATAATAGCTGCTACCATATGTTGAATACCTACGTACAGACATTGTTATAAGGACCTTCCCTCCTCAACAGTCCTATAAGGCAGGTACTATTAATAGTTCCATTTTATAGATGAGAAAACCAAGGGCCAGAGAGGTAACTTAACCTGCCTGAGGTCACACAGCTGGTAAGGAGCAGAGGCTACCTTAGCAACCTTGCTACATACACCTTCTTTGAAAGGAATCTAGGAATGTCAATGGGCTTTTTAAAACTCACTTCTTAAACTAAATTTTATCTCTGACATACACAGCTGAATAAGAAATACAGGGCAGACATGCGAATGGTATGCTGGGTTTGCTACATAAAAGTCATCAGGCAAATAACTCGGCTTCTATCAACCTCTGTTTCTTTAGCTCTAAAATGGCGGTAATGATAGTATTAGTCTGTTCTCGCACTGCCATAGAGAAATACCTGAGACTGGGTAATTTCTAAAGAAAAGAGTCTTAATTGTCTCACAGTTCCACAGGCTGCACAAGAAGCATGGCAGTTCTGCTTCTGGGACGCCTCAAGGAACTTACAGTCATGGCGGAGGGGAAGGAGGAGCCAGCACTTCACATTGCCGGAGCAGGAGGAAAAGGGGCGGGGGGAGGTGCCACACACTTTTAAATGACCGGATCTCCCGATAATTCACTCATGATCACCAAGACAATGCCAAGGGCGATGGTGCTAAACCATTCATGAAGGATCCACTCTGATGATGATCCAATCACCACCTACCAGGCTCCACCTCCAACGCTGGGGATTACAACTGAACATGAGATTTGGGTGGGAACACAGATCCAAACCATATCACTTGATCATAAAAACTGTTGTGACGTCTCAACACTGTTATGGGCTGTATTGTATCTACTGCTTCCCCCACCTCCCACTAAATCCACATGTGGAAGTCCTGACCCCCAGCACCTAAAAATGTGACTGAAGATAGGGCCTTTACAGAAGAGATTAAGTTATTTTATTATATAAATTTTATTTAGGTTGGTGCAAAAGTAATTGTGGGTTTTGCCATTAAAAGTAATTACTTTTGCACCAACCTAAATAAAATAAAGCCTTTAGGATGGGCCATAATACAATCTGACTAGTGTCCTTATAAAAAGGGGAAATTTAAACATTCCGAGAGATGTCAAGGATGCAGGCACGCAGAGGAAGGGCCACCTGAAGACAAAGCCAGATGGTAGCTATCTGCAAGCCAAGAAGACAGGTCTCAAGGGAAACCAAACCTACTGACACCTCAGTGTTGGGCTTCCAGCCTCCAGAAATGTGAGACAATACATTTCTGTTGTTTAAGCCACCCAGTTTGTGGTGTTTTGTTATGGTGGCCCTAGAAAATGAATAAAAACACATTAACAATAATTTCCATAGTCCCTGGCAAATAGTGCTCATTAAATGGTTTTTAGCTCAGTTGTGAACGCAAATACACACAGCCTTTGTTTTGGCTGAAAGGAAATGTGTCCTACATTTTAAAACATAATCTGAAAAATGTTTTTCTAATCCATAGACTTTTCATGAAACTTTAATTAAAAGACTAAAGATGGTTCATTTTTCAAACTAACAAAATCCAGTTAACACTGGTTAAAAGTCACTTTGTGGCCAGGTGAAATGGCTCATGCCTGTAATCCCAGCACTTTGGGAGGCTGAGGCAGGTGGATCACTTGAGGTGAGGTCAGGAGTTCAAGACCAGCCTGGCCAACATAGTGAAACCCCGTCTTTACTAAAAATACAAAAATTAGCTGGGCATGGTGGCGGGTACCTGTGACCCCGGTGACTCGGGAGGCTGAGGCAGGAGAATCACTTGAATCCAGGAGGTGGAGGTTGCAGTGAGCCGAGATTGTACCACTGCACTCCAACCTGGGTGACAAGAGAGAGAGTCCGCCTAAAAAAAAAAAGAAATGTCAGTTTACTACAACATTTCATTATACTGTGGATGTTGAAACTGACATTCAAAAGCTCCTTCTCTTCCTTGTAGCTATTGGGGCACTTGTGTCTAGTAAGTCTAGGTTTGGAATTGACACAATTTTGACAGTAACACACAAAGGTCATGACAGAAAGAGAGGGAGAATATATAAACAAACCAGTGTAGACAAAAAAAAAAAGTATTGTGTTGAAATTTTCTTGAATGAAGCTACCTATATCAGAGCTGATATATAAATTTCATCTCAAGAGCTAATTCCTATCACTTGACTTTGGGTCTTATGTTGAGAAAGGTTCTGAAGCCACACCTGGGCTCAGGAAAGAGCACCTGGATGGATTAGGAAGTTGTTTGAAAATGGAAGGAGAAGGACAGGAGCAAGTGGGCTGCATGTTTACTATTCAGAATCTGGACATTGGCTAATGGGCCCCTTTGACTGTCATCTTTTAACTTTAAGGCCTATCAAACATTTGGACTATTGTGCATACTGGATCTATCTCAATACTGTAACTTAGCAATTCTGAATTCACTAAAAACTAAATGCTTTTCTTTATATATGTATTTCCTGTAACAGTTAAGCTTTATTAGTTAAAAACAAAAGGAAACCCCTCTGCTTTGAGCTAACAAAGGCCATCAGCTGAATCACCTTTCAAGTTGCTCTAAAATTCCAGCTGGCTAACCCATAGAACACATATTTTCAGAGGAAGACAAGTTTTTCCTCACGAGTCACCATGGTAGCTTTTTGGTTGCCACCTAACAGTAGGCTTGCGGTTCACACTTTTGCATCAGTGGCTTTGCAATCTGCAGGTACTGTTAACTCTTGATAAATGCAGGTTATTGTGAAGCAGACTAGGTCATGGGGCATGTTGCCCACCAAGCCATACCCTAGAACCTGAGGGGATATGTATCGGCCCGATAATGCCCAGACTTGATTTGCTTCTAAACTGAGGACCAAAGCTCACGTTGTGAGAACTGCACCAGTCAGCGAGCCACCTTCCCCTTCGTGATCCCACTGGAGAAAGATATTTCAAATGATTAACGATTAGCATTTACTTTCAAACTGCCAAGTCCAGTTGGCTAAAGAAAGGCACTAGGAAGCCTAAGAATCTAGGTTTAATCTCTAAATGGGCCAAATAGCTTCACACTGAGAAACCTCCAGCTCGACTTTAACCATAGTCCGTCCCATGGGTTGGAAGGGGGAGAGAGACAGAGACAGTGACAAAGAGACTGACTGAAATAAACTTCAGCCCTACCACTGGAAAAACTCAAAGGGCAGGTGCTGCTGAAAGGGCTTCAGCCCTTTCCTGTCCAAGATCACCACGAACGAGTCGTATTCAAGTCTCAACATGGATCTCTGCTGTAGGAACACAGAGGAGGATCGTTAATGTTCTAAACATCTGATGCCCGTGTGTATTAATCCATTCTCACACTGCTGTAAAGAACCACCTGAGACTGGGTAATTTATGAAGAAAAGAGTTTCAGTTGACTCACAGTTCTGCAGGCTTAACAGGAAGCATGGCTAGGAGGCCTCAGGAAACTTACAATCATGGCAAAAGGCGAAGGGGAAGCAGGCACGTCTTACCACGGCAAAGCAGAAGAGAGAGTGAAGGGGGAAGTGCCACACACTTTCAAACAACCAGATCTCGTGAGAACTCACTCACTATCACGAGAACAGCAAGGGGGATATCCACCTCCATGATTCAATCACCTCCCACCAGGCCCCTCCCTGGACAAGTGGGGATTACAATTTAAGATGAAATCTGGGTGGTGACACAGAGCCAAACCATATTACCATGGTATCTAGCACAGTTCCTTACATACAGCAATAAATTCCTGTGGACTGACTACATTTTAAAATAAAAATCCATTTATTATTATTCATTAACCTAATACATTATAATAACATCTCTACCAAATTTATTGGAGTAAGTTGGCTCCTGCAGAAAACTACAGTACTATGCTAAAAGTCCAAAAGTTTACAAATTAAAAAAATAAAAATTGATATTAAAAAATATTAATTATTATATTATTTTAAACCTTCATCCAAAATATAAAAGTAGCTGGGCATGGTGGCTCACGCCTGTAATCCCAGCACTTTGGGAGGCCAAGGTGGGTGGATCACTTGAGGTCAGGAGTTCGAGACCAGCCTGGCCAACATGGTAAAACCCCATCTCTACTAAAAATACAAAAAAAACTAGCTGGGCATGGTGGCACACATCTGTAATCCCAGATATTTGGGAGGGCTGAGGTGGGAGAATTACTTGAACCTGGGGAGATAGAAGTTGCAGTGAGCCGAGATCACACCATTGCACTCCAGCCTGGGCAACAGAGCAAGACTCTGTCTCAAAAAAATAAAATAAAAATAAAATAAAATAAAATAAATAAAAGTAGAACACAATAAGTATTATGTTGGTTTATTTTCAATAGAGAAAACTGTCTGGTAAACTCTGAAGGCCCTTTCTGGTTCTGGAAAGTAACAGGCAATAGAAAATAATTCAACAGGCTGGCCACCATTAAGACTTCCTTGACCTGGGGGTCCAGCTAGCTTATATTTATCTCAGCCTCATTCATGACTTCCAGCTATGCACAGTGAGGGTTTGCAAATGGGACATTTCTTATGCCACTCTGCAAGCAGTGCCTCCTCACGCCAGCATTGCCTGCCACCAATAGAATTGTCACACTGTGGAAAATGCAATGAGTGGCTTGTTTTCTGGGAGATGCAAAGAGATGAGCTTTTATATAGAACAAGGACTTCCTTAGCTGATTCAGCATACTTAGTGTATCTGATATACAGACCTTCTTAATTGAAATTATGTTTAGTCATGCTTAAAAAATAATCTTATGTTGCTTCTAGAAGAATGCAATCTCTTATTTCAGTATCAGGGTTTCTAGCACCTTATTTGGAGAAACCCCTGACATTCCTCTGTCCTTCCATCTCCTGCATGGCTCTAATAACCAGGAAGCACAAAGATGGAAAATGAATTCAGGCAGCATAAGTGGCAACCCTCTCCCATGTTTCCTCTCCTCTGCAACCCCCTAGAAGGCTTTTTGAAGTCAGAAGGCGCTCCATAGGGGGTGAGGGCTGACTCTGGCTGCCAGCAAGCAGAAATGTTCAGCTACTTAACACAGGGCCACATGTGGCAGCTACAAAAACATCAACAGGATGTGAAATCTGCTTACTTCAATGGCATTCTCCCTGCCCTCCAATCTTTTCAAATCTAAGGAGGTATGGGAGTAGCTGAACTTGGGGGGAAGGGTGGACAGAAACATCTTGTGATTTTAGTTGAAAATTTGCATTATATAGTAAATCTTGGACTATTGTCCTGCTGTTTTTTATTCCATGTGGTTCTGAGTCTGCAACCTTGGGGAGCCAGAGTGTTGCATTTAACACAAAGCCTGGTGACACAAGGGATTTGGAAAGCTGACCACTGGAATATTAGGTGTTTTACATTAATTGTAAGTCAGAAGGAAATATATGTCAGAGCGGGTCCCCAAGGTGTCTTTCTCAGGTTAAGCACTGTACTTATTTAAGTTACTCTAGGGTATAGCTTCCTTTGTCCTGGAGACAAAGGGCTACGTGAATTTGCCAAAAATGATTTGAGGCCAGCTTTTTTGTACCTCTTAGCTTTGGTAAGCTGCAGCTTCCACTCCTACTGTTTAGTAGAAGGAATCCACTGCAACAGGACAGTACTCACTCTGCAAATGATTGGTTACTGGGAATGCTAGCCTTAGGTTTTCTCTCCAATGCCAACAGGAGTGAAACCAGAGGGATGGCCTCTAGGATCTTTCTTCCTCTGAGATGGCATGAGTCCAACCAGTGATTCTGTGATGCTGAAATGGAGAAGGGGAACAGTAGAACATGACTGTACCAGTTTTGGCATCACACAGATGTGGGTCCAAGTCCTAGTTCTCTCATTCATAAATCTCATAAACTCAAGTAACAACTCATCTTCTCTAAGTCTCCATTTCCTCACCTGTAAAAATAGGAATAATAGGGATTATTCCTTATGGGAATTTAATTCTTTATGGGAATTAAATGAGATACATCATAGTGTCTGGCACATAGTGAATGCTCAGTAAATGTGAGCTCTCATTATTAACATTATGAATCAATGTGCCTTGTCCACAGACAGTCCCTACATGGACCCTTTCCTTGGAATTCCAGCCATGAATAGGTGCACAAATTCGAATTTGTACACTGCTCACAGGCAACTAAGAAATTTAGTCCCAGGCCGGGCACAGTTGCTCATGCCTGCAATCTCAACCCTTTGGGAGGCTGAGGTGGGTGGATCATGAGGATTAAGAGATCGAGACCATCCTGGCCAACATGGCGAAACCCTGTCTCTACTAAAATTACAAAAATTAGATGGGCGTGGTGGTACGTGCCTATAGTCCCTGCTACTTGGGAGGCTGAGGCAGGAGAATCACCTGAACCCGGGAGGCGGAGGTTGCACTAAGCTGAGATCGCGCTACCGCACACTCCAGCCTAGTGACAGAGAGAAACTCCATCTCAAAAAAAAAAAAAAAAAAAAAAAATTTTCCCACTGGGGTCATTTTACTTAGCATGGGTTAAGACCAAGAAAACAAAAGACATTACCAGGCTACTGTTTATTCTTATTCCCAAGCCGGCTGGAAAATGTTTGAATCTCCATTCCAGAGTCTGTTTATCAGGGCTATCCTGTTATATCAGTCAGTTCTCACACTGCTATAAAGAAATACCTGAAACTGGGTGATTTATAAAGAAAAGATTTTTAATTGGCTCAGGCTTCCACAGGCTGTACAGGAAGCATGGCTGGGGAGGCCTCAGGGAACTTACAATCATGGTGGAAGGTGAAAGGGAAGGAGACACACCTGACATGGCTGGAGCAGGAGGAAGAGAGAGAAGGGGAAGGTGCTACACACTTTGAAACAACAAGATCTTGTGAGAACTCACTCATTATCATGAGATTAGCAAGGGAGAAATCTGCCCCCATGATTGAATCACCTTCCACTAGGCCCCTCCTCCAACATTGGAGATTACAATTTGACATGAGATTTGGGTAGAGACACAAATCCAAACCACATCACCTATCTTCTCCATAAGAGAGCATTTATTAAGTATTTTCTCGGTGCATATATAGCACCCTGAGAACAGTGCTCTTCCTAGGGGTAGAACGTTTTCCTGAGGCATTTACAAATTAGCAGAAGGGACAGGACTTGGACATAAACCATTTGGGCACCGGGCCATAGCCATCAGCTCAGCCATGGGCTAGAAGCGATGTAATCATGCACAGGTGGGCAGGCAGGGGAGCTTAGAACTTGCCTTTGTCTGAAACCATCAGACAAAGTTCATCTGTGTTCCCTTGTGCATTCTCTTTCTCTTCCTCCAGAAGAGCACAGATCTAGCAGAGGCTGTGTAGAGGAAAGATGAGTTTGACTATGGGTGTGTTTTGTGGCCATCCTGGAGGCCACGAAATCTTCATCCCACAGAGTAGGATGAAGATTCCCAGCACAGCACTCAGAAAGCAAGGCATGTTATCTGGGCCCAGGGCTGCCCTTGCCTCCTGAGGTCTATTATTTATCTTAAAGCCAGTGGGACCCAACCAAGACTCTTGGCCGGGATTTCATTCCCATTAGAGGATTTTCTCTGGACCATTCCTCTTTTCCTTGGACACATTCATTCTTCTCCCACTCCTCATGAACCCCAAAACCACTTCCTGTGAGATGCCCAGCTGTAAGAATTCCATGGCCCTGGTGCTAATCCCTTTTCATTTGCTTCTGCCTAATTTTTTTTTCTAACATCTGTAACCATTCGACCAATTCATGATCTTCCCAATACCCTGAAAGTGGATTTCTTTGCCTATGTACATGTCTGCTGTTTTTCTTCTCTAACAGTTCCTTAATCCTTGACTGAGAACCTTCTAACTGACTACCTCCTGAGTCAAGACATCCCTATCAGAAGTGTTCATGTCTGCTGGACTTAGTCATGGAACTCTAACATTACTGACTTTCCTAAGCTATTGTCTTAAACATTGTCACTAATTAGGGAAGTTCAAGTTTCATAGAAAGAAACTATTATAACCCACTTCCCATATCTACAGTCAATGGGTACTTTGTGAAAATTAGAAAAAGACTCCCTTTTCTCAAGATGCTTCATTTTCATTTGCTGAAAACTGTCAAGATAAATGTACAAAATCTACCATGTCCGCAATATAAATAATGTTCTTGTGCAGTGCACAACCTGCAGAAATTTACATGTTGGTACCGCCAAAGGAAGGGACTCCTTACTAAAGGTAATAGGAAAGATCATCCTCAAGATGTTAAACCACTTAGTTAGTAGTAGACAAATTAGATGTGAACGCCCTATCTGTTTGATTCACCACTATTTTCCCAGTAGGACTGAATTGTAATGGGTATTATAATCATCTTAACTACCACCAATATGATTTGGGACTCCATACACGTAAAGAATGGTGTTGCTCTATTTAGAATAAGATCTACTAATTATCTTACAATGGATATTTACACAGACTCAAAGTATGTCTCTACAGATTTCTTATTCATTACAAAGAGAAAACTTGACAGTGGAGAAACTGACAGACATCACCTTTACCAAGCGGTGGAAGGCAATGTCACCAATATTGAAAAAAGGCAACACCATGTGCCTTCTGATGTGATGAACTGAGAAGAACTCAGCATCACTCTGGGATTTTCCTGTCTTTAATCCCAAGCGAACATCAGTGAAACCCAATTGGAAGGACAGTCTATAAAACAACTGGCCTGGACCCACCACAAATGTCAGGGGAAAAAAAAAAACTGTTCCAAATTAAAGAAGACCAAAGATACATGACAACAAATGAAAAGGGTAAGCCTTGATTAAATCCTGGATTGGAGGAAATACTGTAAAAAACATTACTGTGATCATTAGTGAAATCTGAATATGGGTCAATTAGATAGTAGTATTGTATCAATGTTAAATTTCCCAAATTCGATAATTATACTGTGAAAGTATTTATGGGTAGAAGGTCACAGGATCCATAAGGGATAATAGAATGAAAGAAAGCAAATGTAATAAAATGTGAACAATTGGTGAATCAAGGTGAAGAGTATATACAAGAATTCATTGTACTACTCTTGGAAATTTTCCATAAGTTTCAAAATGCTCAAAAGAAAAAAGTTCTAAAAAAATTTCTTATTATTTGAAAAAATATATATTATTCTGGTAGAAATAAGCAAGTATGGACAACTTTCACTGCAAGATGGTGAGCTTCTAGTTTAAACTGGAGGATGAAATAAACAAATCCTTCCATGACAGCATTGTAAGCAAGCAAAGAGTCATCAACCAATCAAACATTCAAGGAATTTGAATTAGTCATCTAGTTGGAAATTAACTATGGAGGATAGACTACATACATTTAATCTCCCCTCTTTCCTAAAACACCCTGAAGTTATTACCCAGAAATACAAAAAGAGTACAACTGTACAAAGAAAAAGAGAATAAAAATGTACCTGGATAAAGGATATCAAAATAATTTTAAAGGGAATCAAAACCATTTCAGAAGGCAGAAAGTGGGTAGAGAAGTAATATATTGGTGTTACAGAGTGAAACTAGAATATAAATTCTGCAGAAAGGAGCAATGAGAATGAAGCCCATGGCCCCTCAAAGCTCAGGAATCAGGGAGCCAGGTATGGGGTGGATGGGGGATGAGGCTCACATGGAGAGAAAGGTTTAAAGCCTGTCTGCAGCAGTCAGATTCCCAGATCTCCTACTCTCCCTTCTGCATCCAGGTGACTGTTTGGATAGGAGAGATTAAATTAGAGGCTCTAATTTAGGGATTAGATTTAGGGATAACAAGCATAGAGAAGGGCTGGAGCAACACACAGGGCTTAAAAAAGAAGCATACTGAATGATGAGCTTCCTGTCCCTTTTTTCCTCCCTGCTTCCAGAACACCAGCAGCTAAGAGATGCCTCTCCAAAAGGAGACTGGAAAGTTCATCTCTTGAGACCCAAACTTTTAGATCCAGGAGTGGGAAGCCCCCCCATAGAAATAGCTAATGTTGGCTTGCCACCTGATCATATGGCAGTGAAATTCATCCACCACCAAGCTCCACAAATGGACACAGAGGATCTAATTAGCTTTCCATTAAGAATGTAATCTTAAATATTACAGCTAATGACTACAAGACATTTGAGGAGATCCTTCAATATGAAAGAGGAAGACCTAAACAAATAGAAAAATGGGATCTGGAGGAAGCTGAGAACATGCAGACCACAAAAAACAGCAGTGTATAAAATTGTATTATTAATAACCTCAGAAAAATAAAACCTCAGAAACATAAAACCTCAGAGAAATAAAAGAATATACTGTATCTATGAAACAAGAACAGGCTGTTACAGAACAGGAAAAATCAGGGTATAAGATGGAGCCTTGGAAAAGTGTGATACTGACAGTGCAGACATTTTCAGATGAAGATATTTTATTTCTGTGCATACTTCTTTAGAAAGCTATGGAAAGATAAGCTCCATGAACATGAGAAGCAAGAGAGAGAGAAAGACATAAAACCAAGAAAACAGGGACTCCAACACAGGAAAACACAAAAATAAATTTCAGGATGGCAGCTAGGTGACAAAGTGAAAATGCAATTGATCCAAATTAGAGAAGGATAAAAATAAATTTCCTGAAGAGAGTTCTTTAGAAAAGAAAAACCAAATAACCAAAAGAGAGTTGATAAATTATGCTCTGATACATATAATTGTTTATAAAATCTTGATTGACTATCAAGGATGGGTTTGATGGAGCACATGGAACTAATCAAATATAAAAACGAGGCCATTATTATCTTTAAAAAAATTTTAAAAATAATTAGGGAAGTTCAGGTGCATTATTTTTCCCAGTAGTACCTTGTATTTACAGGCATAATAATAATCTTCATACTGAATACTCATTTAACCAAAAATTATATTGGAAATTAATATTAAATTCCAAAATTATATTGGAATCCCTATATTGGAGCAATAGGAATGGTAAAGTAACGAAGCTATAGATTCATATGTTGTCAATGGAAGTCAATAAAATATATCCATTATTGATGTAGCCGTGATTGATAACTAAAGAAATAGCAGTAATCATAGTATTTAGAAATGTGAAGGCAAATGACAGAAGAAACACTTAGACATTTTTAAAGGGTTGCAACTGAAAAGTAGAGAAGAGGTAAAGAAGGGTGAGGCAAAGACCTTCTCTTTTCTTTATAAGCCTTTGAACGCTGTTTCATTGTCAACTATTTCATCATTGTTATCTTGATGAAAATAAAAAATAAAAAGAAATATTAATAGCTTAATTGAAACATCAGAGTAAAACACAACTCAAACAGGTTGTGTATTGAAGAAATGAAGCTGGGCTGGGTGTGGTGTCTCATGCCTGTAATCCCAGCACTTTGGGAGTCCAAGGCAGGCGGATCACTTGAGGTCAGGAGTTGGAGACAAGCCTGGGCAACATAGTGAAACCCTGTTTCCACTAAAAAAGAACAAAAAACAAACAAACAAAAAACAAATAGCCGGTGTGATGGTGCATGCCTATGGTCTCAGCTATTCAGGAGGTTGCGGCAGGAGGATCACTTGAGCCTGGGTGGCAGAGGTTGCAGTGAGCCGAGATGGAGCCACTGAACTCCAGCCTGGGTTATAGAGTGAGACCCTGTCTCAAGAAAAAAAAAAAAAAAAGAAAGAAAGACATGAAGTGGATTTCTTAATGCAGTAGAGAAAGAGCAAACTCAGAGATGACAAATATGAAAGAACCAGAGTGAGATGGGTTATTTCTCAAGGTCACTGAAAGGCTTACCTTGTAAGACAATGAACTTTGTTAGCAGGGTTGGGCCTGGGGTGAGCAGGTGAGGATGGGGACTAGGGCAAGGTGCCTAGAATGCAAAATTCAGAGAGACCTGCACCACCCTGAAAGCAAGTGCCTTAACTTGGTACCCTACGGGCTCACCCTCTTGCCAGCTTGTCTGTTGGATCCCACCACTCACAGTGGTGGGTACAGTGGATTATAGCTGCTGTGTTTGCAGCTGAAAATCTCTCTCCAAACGTGGAGAAATGTGCTTAGGGAAAGCTCACTGCTTGAGGGCTGAAGCAGGGTGAAAGCCAGAAAAATGTGATACAATTACACTCTTCAAAAGACAGCGAGGAAAAGAATCACAAGGCAGCTCTGGCTGTTAGTCTCACAGGAAGAAGTGCCACCCTGGAGCAAAGGATTCCTACTGTAATCAAAGGGAACAAAGGGGGCATTTTACATCAATTAATGGTACAACCCACTAAGAAGATATAGTAGATTTAGACCTTTATTCCATGAAAAAGCAAAGCACCAATACATAAACAACTTATTGAAAATACAGGAGAACTTCTGAAAACACAGGAGAACTTCTGAAAACTACAAGCTCTCAGAGACTCACAAGTGAGGTATATGGAAAATAAGAATGTAGAGTAGGCCGGGCACAGTGGCTCACACCTATAATCCCAGCACTTTGGGAGCCATAGGCAAGTGGATTGCTTGAACCCAGAAGTTCAAGACCAGCCCAGGCAAAATGGTGAAGTCTTATCTCTATCAAAAATACAAAAATTCGCTGGGCGTGGTGGCAGGCACCTGTGATCCCAGCTATTCAGGAGGCCAAGGAGGGAGGATCACTGGAGCCCAGAAGTCAAAGCTGCAGTGAGCTATGATTAGACAGCTGAACTCCATCTTCCTCGGTAACAGAGGGAGACTCTGGGACAGAGAGAGAAAGAGAGTTAGGGAGAAAGGGAGAGAGAGAGAAAGAGAGAGAGAAAAAGAAAGAAAAGAAAGGAAAGAAAAGAAAAGAGAAAAGAAAGAATGGAGGGAGGGAGGGAAGGAGGAAGGAAGGAAGGAAGGAAAGGGAAGGAGGGAGGGAGGGAGGAAGGGAGGGAGAGAGGGAGGGAGGAAAGGAGGAAAGGAGAAAGAAAGAAGAGCATCTAAAAAACAAAATTAACAAGCTTGATTTAATAAGTGGACTTAAGATACATTTCCTAAAGCGAGAATACACATTCTTGTTAAACATATATGAAATATTTACACATTAACTATGTTTTTAACCACAAAGGAAATCTCAGTATATTATCCAAAGGGGAAATCATACAGGCTCCATTCTCTAGCTATAATGAAAAAAAAAAAGCCAGAAATGAATAATAAATCATAGCCTTCTCCTCCTCTTCTATCCGTGCCTCCCCATCTACAAAACATTATCTAGCCACTTAGATAGTTTTTAAAAATTCTCTTTTCAAGATAACTCTTTGGTTAGAAAATAGTAAAAGTACAAAATTATGGACTATTCAGTTATGAAAAACAGTAAAAACAATAAATAGAAAAACTAGTAGACACAGCCAAAACTGAACTTAGAGGATAATTTATAGCCAAAACATACTTATTAAAAATCAAGCAACATGTAAAACAACAGCAACTATGCATTCAGCCAGAAAACCCAGGGAAAGGTCAAACACATCAACTAAAACAAAGTAAAAGGAAGAATTCGTATATGATGGGGTTCAGGTCACACAACTCCAAAATATAGCACCTTGGAAATGAGA
Source organism: Homo sapiens (assembly GCF_000001405.40). NCBI lineage: Eukaryota > Metazoa > Chordata > Mammalia > Primates > Hominidae > Homo > Homo sapiens. The sequence goes on from NC_000016.10 coordinate 54,884,136, forward strand.
AAACAGCAGGAGCAGGAAGGTCCCTCTCACCCTTCTTCCCCAAAGCAGGCCATAAAAACCTGAAAAGGTCACTCTCTGACCTTCTCCCTCCCTGAATAAGGATACCCTCTAGGTATAGAGCAACACACCTGTCACATAAGGGTTTTCAGGAGAGACCCTTATGTGACAGGTGTCTTGCCCTATACCCAGAGGGAAGGAATGTCACACAGGAATGCCAGGAAGAATCTGAACAAACAGGCCTTGCTAAGCCCCCCACTCAAGTTTGTGACCACTAGGTCATACTGAGACAGCCAAGTATAAATGGGTCCCCAGAGAACCTCCCACCAGCCTGCACACTGGGAGGAACGCGCATGGGGGCGAAGCCTCCGGAAGTTTGCAACGTTTGCAGTGGGGAGGAGCCTGGCTCCTCCTCTTCCTGGGTGGAACCTGGGATTCAGTCTGCGAGGCCGGAGGTATATACTAGCAGGACTCTCGCTCTGCTGAGGGTCCCTGTTTCCCCTTTGTTTCCTTTTTGCCCAATAAATTCCATTTTTCTCACCCTTCAAAGTGTCTGCAACCCTAACATTTCATGGCCATGTGACAAGGACCCCGTTTTTAGCTGAACTAAGGAGAAAGTCCTGCAACAATAACCTTACATCCTCCAATTATGCTTCTGCAAGGACTGTCCCCTCTTCAACAAACCTAAGCATAAAAACACATAGATTTCCCTATTTCTTTGGGTCTTCATTTCTGCAGTTTCCTATGCAATGTAAAATTTATATTAAATAATTTTGTAAGCTCTTCCCTTGTTAATCTGTCTTTTGTCATAAAGGCCTCAGCCATGAACCTGGTGATAGGGGGTAGGGGGAATGGATATTATGTTTTCTCCCATACAAATAAAAAGAAGAACAAATAATTGAAGAAAGAACATATCGATAAAAACAAAACTTAAATAAAAGTGTGGCAAGTATGACAAAGAAAAAAAGTGGAGAAACCAAATTAAACCACATTTGGATTAAGAAAGTGGATACAATTACAGATAAGGGAAATATTTTTATTTTAACTTAATTTTATTTTTTTGAGATGGGAGTCTCACTCTGCCCCCCAGGCTGTAGTGCAGTGGCATGATCTCCGCTCACTGCAACCTCCGCCTCCTGGGTTCAAGCGATTCTCATCCCTTAGCCTCCAGAGTTGCTGAGACTATAGGCACCCACCACCACGCCTAGCTAATTTTTGTATTTTTAGCAGAGACAGGGTTTCACCATATTGGCCAGGCTGGTCTTAAACTCCTGACCTCAAGCAATCTGCCCGCCTCAGCTTCCCAAAATGCTGGGATTAGAGGCGTAAGCCACCACACCTGGCCTTGGGAAAGACTTTTAAATAAAAATATTATGTAGAATTTTACGGTGATAAATTGAAAATCCAAAGGAAATGGATTTAGTATTTTAATAAAATACTAAGTATTTAAAAAATAATTCAAATGGACTCCCTACCTCTCTTCTCCAAAAACAAAATAAAATACATATTCATTCATTCAACAAATATTTCTTAGCCATTATTGTGAGGTATTTTGAATGAAGATTAGCAAGATAATCTGCTTTCCGCTAAATCAATCTATAAATTCAATGTATTCCCAATCAAAATCCTGAAGAAATTTTAAAATGGGATTTGCAAACTGATTTTGATCTTCATCTGAAAATGTAAATGTGTGAGAAGTTAAAATTTTGTAAAAGTTAAAAAAAGGAGACTTGCCTTAATAAATATCAAAACATATTACAAAAATGTCTACAGAGTCACAATTCTGCAAAGACATTTCCTTCCCCCTGTCAGAGGTGTTTGAACCAGAGTGACTGCATCTTGAATAGAGTCTGGGTAAAATGAGGCTGAAATCTACTGGGTTGCATTTTCAGGAGGTTAGGCATTCTGTTACAGTATGAGATAGGAGGCTGGCACAAGATACGGGTCACAAAGACCTTGCTGATAAAACAGCATATGGTAAAAAAGCTGGCCAGATCCCACCAAAACCAAGATGGCTACAAAAGTGACTTCTGGTCATTCTCGCTGCTCATTATATGCTAATTATAATATATTAGCATGTGAAGAGACACTTCCACCAGTGCCATAACAGTTTACAAGCACCATGACAACGTCAGAAAGTTACCCTATATGATCAATTCCAGGAATTGCCCACCCCTTTCCCAGAAAACACATGAATAAGCCACCCCTTGTTTACTGTATTCTCAAGAAATAACTATAAGTATCCTTAGTTGGGCAGCCCACACTGCTGCTCTGCCTATGGTGTAGCCATTGTTTTATTCCTTTACTTTCTTAATAAACTTGCTTTCACTTTACTCTATGGACTTGCCCTGAATTCTTTCTTGTGCATAATCCAGGAACCCTCTTTGGGGGTCTGGATCAAGACCCCATTCAGGTAACACCCCACACCCCAAAACCTATTCAGAGTTGTTACTGCCTGGAGTGGACCTGGACTGGAGGGGAGAGGGTGTAGAAAACAGGGAGGAGAATTTTTACTTTTCACCTTTGTATACGTTTTCCACTGCTGCTATAACAAAGCACCACAAACCTGGCAGTTGAAGCGACATAAATTTATTTTACAGCTCTGGTCCAAAGTCTGAATTGGGTCTTACTGGGCAGAAATCAAGGTGTCAGCAGAGTGTGGTTCTTTTTCTGGAGGTTAAGAGGAGAACTTGTTTTCTTGCCTCTTCCAAGTGTCTAAATGCTGCCCACATTCCTTGGCTGGTGGTTCCATTCCTTCAGCTCTAAAGCCAGCAATGCTCAGTCTTCGTGTTGCATCACTCTGGTACTGCATCTTCTGCCTCCTTCTTCCACATTTGAGGACCCTTGTGATTACACTCAGTTCACCTAGATAATCCAGGGTAATCTCCCTATTTTAAAGTCAGCTGATTAGTGACTTTAAGTCCATCTGCAATCTTAATCACCTTTTGCTGTGTAATGCAACATATTCAGCTTCTGGAAATTGGGATATGGACATCTCTGGATGAGCATTATTCTGCCTACCACAACTAGAGCTTTCTAAACTGTTTGTATTTGTTAACTTAGAAATATGTATTACTTTTATAATTTAAAATTAAGAGTACCTGATGGTGAGCATTTTTTAAAAAGCTATAAAGATTTAAACTTACTTTTGTGTTATAATGATAAAAAGGTTGATGTTGCAGGATTAGGCAAATGAAACATTAACAACAACAAAAAAAAACCCTAGCAATTCAGAGACATATATAGGCGGGATATAGCATTAGACAAAGGTCATATTTCAAGCCATGGGGGAAACAGAATGGACAATGTATAAGAGGAAACTGTGGGTGTTACCGGAAATAAAAGGTTTGATCTTTATGTCATACCACATAATCAAATAAATCCCATGAGGTTTAAAGATCAAAACTTCAAAAAAAATTAAAAGTAGTAGGAAAAGATGTAGGAAAATATACTTGTAATTTTGGGTGTGGTCTTCTTATACCACAATCCATAAAGCAAAACTTGATAATATTAAAATCAAAGTCAAAATATAAGCAACAGGCTGAGAAAAAATATTTGATAAAATATAACAAAGAGTTAGTAGCCATAATCAATAAAGATCTTTTGTAATCTGACAAGAACTCAATGATATGGGAAAATGAACAAAAAACATAAACAGGATGATTCTCAGAAGAAGTAATGTAATGGCAACACATATGTGAAATCACGTTCAAACTCACATACTTAGCACACTCAAAAATTCCCCATGGGTCACTGGGTGCCGTGGCTCACGCCTGTAATCCCAACACTTTGGGAAACTGAGGCGGGTGGATCACTTGAGCTCAAGAGTTCAAGACCAGCCTGGGCAACATGGTGAAACGCTGTCTCTCCCAGAAATGCAAAAAAATTAGTCAGGCTTGGTGGTGTGCGTCTGTGGTCCTAGCTACTCTGGAGGCTGAGGTGGGAAAATTTCTTTGAGCCTGAGAGGCAGAGGTTGCAGTGAGCCGAGATGGCACCGCTGCACTCCAGCCTGGGTGACAGAGTGAGACTCTGTCTGAAAACAAAAAAAAATTCCCCATGGCATTATTTGCCAAAATGAAAACTGGATATATGACTTTAAAGGCATCGATAGCAAATAAGTAAATTTTGTACCTCCAAAATAGAGATAATAAATAGCTATTAAATACAATAAGAATGATCTTGGGCACCAATAGAGGAAGATGTCTGTAATAAAATAAGTGAAAAGCTGGGCGCGGTGGCTCACACCTGTAATCCCAGAAATTTGGGAGGCCGAGGTGGGCAGATCATGAGGTCAGAAGATCGAGACCAACCTGGCCAACATGGTGAAACCACGTCTCTACTAAAAATACAAAAATTAGCCAGGCGTGGTGGCGGGTGCCTGTAGTCCCAGCTACTTGGGAGGCTGAGGCAGGAGAATCGCTTGAACCCGGGAGGCAGAGGTTGCAGTGAGCTGAGATCGCACCATTGCACTCCAGCCTGGCGACAGAGTGAGTGAGACCCATCTCAAAAAATAAATAAATAAAGTAAATAAAATAAAAAGTGAAAAAAAAGCAAGTCACAGACTTCTATGGAATAATCCAAATATGCTATATGTAATATATACATGCAATATACCCATATGTTCCCATGTATAATATGCACGGAACATGTTACAAAAGGACTCCTTCAAATTGTTAGCAAAAGTGACTACCAGGCAGGAAGGTAGGACAGAGGAGAGAGTCAAAGGGAGAGGGAGAGTTTATCAAATAAACTTTTTTTTTTTTTTCAGATGGAGTTTTGCTCTTGTTGCCCAGGCTGGAATGCAGTGGCGCAATCTCGGCTCACTGCAACTTCTGCCTCCCGGGTTCAAACAATTCTCCTGCCTCAGCCTCCCATGTAGCTGGGATTACAGGCACCTGCCACCATGCCTGGCTAATTTCTTGTATTTTTAGTAGAGACGGGGTTTCACCATCTTGGCCAGGCTGGTCTTGAACTCCTGACCTCAGGTGTTCCATCTGCCTCAGCCTCCCAAAGTGCTGGGATTACAAGCATGAGCCCCACACCCAGCCTACATTCTTCTTCTCTATTTTTCCTTTAAAGTAAGCATGTATTGTTTTGTTTTTGTTTTTTGAGATGGAGTCTCGCTTTGCTGCCCAGGCTGGAATGCAGTGGCGCAATCTTGGTTCACTGCAACCTTTGCCCCCGAGGTTCAAGTGCTTCTGGTGTCTCAGCTTCCCAAGTAGCTGGAATTACAGGTGCATGCCACCACACCCAGCTAATTTTGCATTTTTAGTAGAGACAGGGCTTCGCCATGTTGGCCCAGCTGGTTTTGAACTCCTGACCTCAAGTGATCCACTGGCCTCGGCCTCCCAAAGTGCTGGGATTACAGGCGCAAGCCACCGCACCCAGTCCATGTATTGTTTTGAAAAATACAAAAAATAAAATAGAAAAGAAATGATAAATAAATTCTCAAAAACTGATACGGGGACAATGGTAAGCAAAAGAAAATTATGAAATCAATGTATCCTGTAACTTTTTTTCCCAAAAAAAAAAATAAAATGATTGGCAAAATAATTAGTCTAGTCATGCTTCAAAGAATGTTAGTTTAGCTATGGGGTTTTCTAATACTTTGAATGAGAGCTAAAAATGTCAAATTCATATATCTTTCAAGGATAAAAATTCTCTAATAGCCTTCATTAATTGCTTCCATTGTACATAATATTTTGTAAGTTTTACATCTCCAGGAAAGTAATGTTTACAAATTCAAACCGTGTACCTTCAATATTACTTAGGTGACATAAACAAATTAAAATAAGGCCAATGTATGCCAGTTGTGTTTATCAACCTGATCCCCTCTGAAAACGAGAAATGAAGTCAAATACCCTTTAATACTATTTATTAGTGGAGTAATATAATACATTTTGACAAGTTGAACAGTTGTAACAGGAGGCTACTTAAGTCTCTACAGGGCCTGTTTAGAATGAAAACAGGAGTGAGAGACAGCTCTATAGCTGGGTTTTAAGAACAGCTCAGCCATCAACTATATCCTAACCAAGTACTTTTATCCAGTTAATTTATGGAGTGAATCCCTTAGGGTCTCTAGCCGTCTACCCCTGCAGCTCATTAGAGCCCAATATCCAACTTTTCTCACTGTAGCACTGAGAGCATTTATGCTTAAAATGTAATTAAACTTAAAACAAACAAGATCTTTATTCCCTGACAGTCCCGCTATTTTTAAATTGACAAAGGCATGAACTTATATAGGATTATTTAGCAAGCACTATACATTTCAGCCACTTATGGCAAGACATTTGCCCAATTGTTCATCCTGCATGCAATTAGAAATCTAAATACTTGGGTAACGGGTTTCTATTGGGAATTAAACTTGCAGATCTCTTACAAACTAGTAATGTGGTAAGACTTGCTGTCCAATGAGGTGTCTTATTGAAATATCCCAGGCCATTTCACTTGTCACAGCTGTCGTTTCAGCCGCTTGCACTCACAGTGTATAGCTTTCATTACGAAAATAGAAATTTGTGTCCTAAGTGCTGTTACATTACTAATGCTAAATATTTAATTCCCTGGGGTTCCAATTATGGTTGAGCACTGGCAACACTGATTCTACTTTTTAATAACAACTGTAAAAGCAATTTGAGCATTTTTCAATTAATTAAATACATAGTGAACGAGTAACCTCTTGTCATTTTGCCCTCCAGGACCTGAGCTAATTGGTGTAGAATAAAATGTTTTGAAAATTAACTGATATTCTGGTCTGCACACTGTTATACCATTAAATTACAGTTTGCAAAATGAAGTTTGTCTTCTAATAGTTACACTCAATAGAGTCTGCAGATGTGAGTAAGTACCTGCATTTTATGTACGTCACGGTGCCTGTAATTACAGCCGAGTTGAAAGTCGAGTGTAGTTTCTCTAAACACCAATCAGTATCAATAATACTTTGCATTGTTCACAGATAAATGCAACATATTTCAACATAGGAAAGTTTCCCAGGTTTCATTACATGTTTTCACGATTTAGCTTAAATGTTTTGAAAGTTTGCTCACAGGAATTACTATCGCTAATTATATTCACACAGAAAAGTTAAAAAAAATTTTTTTTATATTTTTTTCACAAGAGAAAATTACAAATCGGATGTCTGGGAAAGCCCTTCCTTTTTAAACACTTTGTGGCAGTTTCTCGTTTCACTATAGAACAATGTCATAAATAAGCTCTAAATTGGTGTTTCAGCTGAAAAGGATGAATTATAAAAGCAGATGCAATTTTACTCACATTTTAAAACGAACCTTTTTCTGAAGTACAATGAAATATGATTAAAGAGACCATCTCCTTGTAGAAAAACGTCTCTGACAGGTGTTCTTCCAGGCCGGAGTCTTGATTGGCCATAATCTAAAATCCATGCTTGGAAAGTGAATGCCTTTTCAGCAGCTGTCTGCCTAACAGAGATGATCCCCTAAACAGGTTTCACTGAATTAGGAATCTCAGCAGAAGCATTAGGGCTCATGGAGTAAGACACAGAAAGTGAAATTAATCACGCTGGCAGAGAGAGAAAAAAATAATAGGGAAAATTTAATCACTTCCATACCCATCTTTAGGGTTAAAGCTTTAATATTTCTAAGATTTTAGTAACATCTTTGAGAAATGAATTTTTAATTACAGGACTAACTGGATAGCACCAGCCGGTTAAATAAATCAGCCTAAATTTCTGATTAAAAAAAAAAAACTTAACTGGATAAAGAGAACATTTTAGAATTCTGAGGTTGAGTTGACTTTTCTGGAAGCAATCTCCAGTCAATCAGCAAATACACACACACACATAAGTGAAAATCAAAATATAAATATAAATTTCTTTAAGGTTTATCTAAATATTAATCTATATGGAAGGTAATATCTTAATAGATCTTTAAAAACAACAGCTTAATATATCTTATCATAAAATAATTCTTAAAACAAGACATAGAATTTCTAAATGACATGTTAAATACAGTTTACAAATTATTTTTGCCAAAGACCATTTTTTTTCCAGCCCAAAGAACAGCTATATTTCAAAATAAAAAAGTCAAAATTGGCCTAGCGTGGTGGCTCACACCTGTAATCCCAGCACTTTGGGAGGCCAAGGCGGGTGGATCATGAGGTCAGGAGATCAAGACCAGCCTGGCCAATATAGTAAAATCTCTTCTGTACTAAAAATACAAAAATTAGCCAGGCATAGTGGTGCACGCCTGCAATCCCAGGTACTCAGGAGGCTGAGGCGGGAGAATTGCTGGAACCGGGGAGGCAGAGGTTGCAGTGAGCCAAGACTGTGCTACACTCCAGCCTGGGTGACAGAGCAAGACTCTGTCTTAAAAAAAAAAAAAAAAAAAAAAAAAAAGTCAAAATAAAGAAAACTTGTGCTTTGAATACAAGTGGCACAGATATTTTTTATATTAAGAAATGGATCCGAATTTATTCCAAAACACTTATGTATCTAGTTTTGAAAAATAATAATTTCGGCTGGGCGCGGTGGCTCACGCCTGTAATCCCAGCACTTTGGGAGGCCGAGGCGGGCGGATCACAAGGTCAGGAGATCGAGACCATCTTGGCTAACACGGTGAAACCCCGTCTCTACTAAAAATACAAAAAATTAGCCGGGCGCGGTGGCGGGCGCCTGTAGTCCCAGCTACTCGGGAGGCTGAGGCAGGAGAATGGCGTGAACCTGGGAGGCGGAGCTTGCAGTGAGCCAAGATTGTGCCACTGCAATCCGGCCTGGGCTAAAGAGCAGGGCTCCGTCTGAAAAAAAAAAAAAAAAGAAAAGAAAAATAATAATTTCATTAACTGACTTCTAATATGTGGCCAAACCACAACCAAACAAAACAACACCCAGTTCTCTAAAAACATGAGACGGTCATAATTAAAGTCACTATCTTTAGTATCAGGGTCCCCAGTTATTGCACGCAGCTAACCAGTTGGAGTTGGTCATCAAATCCCAGACAGCCTCCACCCATCTCCAGCTGCAGCAGCAGGATGACGACTAGCTGAAGATGGTGAGACTTTGACCCCTCAGGATCACATGCCCATTAAGTTCCCCTCCTTGTGACCTGACACTCCCTGTACTCACAGGGGTTGGCAGCCCCAATCTACACAGTCAGAACTAAGTCTTACCTATTATCCACCAACACCAGTACGTGAAGCCAGTGAGAAAACTCCACCAACCTTGGAAGCAGAGGATCTAAGCTCAAACTTGAGAATGCGAACAGCGGTGGGATCTAGGATGGGTCACTTCACACGTCTGCACCCCTGATCTCCTGGCTCTGACATGGGGGACAATGCAATCTCTGCATTGTTCTCAAGGTCCAATGAGAAAAGACGAAGTTGCTGCAGAAGCTGTAAAGCAGCATGTAAATATAAGATACCCAAGGCTTCCAGGCTAACGCTCACCTGCCATTTAACAAAGCATTTCTCATGTGACTGTGCAAAGTGCCTAAAGTAAAAAATATATGCAGTCAATCCATAATAATGTGCCTAAAGAAAGAGGTTAGAATCATTGTGGACTCTGCAGTTTTCACTAGAGATGCTGTTTTAGAATTAAGGCTTTAGCCCAAGTGCGGTGCCCCATGCCTGTAATCCCAGCACTTTGGGAGGCTGAGGCGGGCGGATTACTTGAGGTCAGGAGTTCAAGATCAGCCTGGTCAACAGGGTGAAACCCTGTCTCTACTAAAAATACAAAAAATAGCCAGGCATGGTGGCACGCGCCTGTAATCCCAGCTACTTGGGAAGCTGAGGCATGAGAATCGCTTGAATCCAGGAGATGGAGGTTGCAGTGAGCCAAGATCGTACCATTGCACTCCAGCCTGGGCGACAGAGCAAGACTCTGTCTCAAAAAATAAATAAATAAATAAAATTTAAAAATCAGGGCTTTAGACTTTAGCTTTAGTCCCAATAAATTGCAAGTCAAAAGAAGATATGTTTAGAGTTTATTAAAAAAAAAAAAAGGACCAATGGGATAAAGAAGACAAGGGGAATTTACAGGAGATTATCTCAATATAGGTGTCATTTAATAAACTATAAACTTAAAATGAGGCCTGTTTTAATTTTATTTTCTAAGGTGTATTCAAATACTCAAATATTTCCCTTAGTTCCCAGACTCAAGGCCCGATGGCTCCCCTATCCTGGCTAGAATCAGCCTCTGAAGAACTCTGCGAAGTGGAGAAGGATGTCAGAGGAGGGAGTTAGAGCAGATGTCCCTCATTTTAACACCCAATTGGCTAAAATACACAGAGAACTGAGAAAAGACTTGCTTGCAAGTTAATATACAACTGTGGCATCTGGCCCATTAGTGGGCTCTGGAAGCCCTTTTTCATGCTGGCTGTATTCTACTTAGCTCCACTACCTGGTCTCCAAGTCCGCAGGAGCATAAAAGCAGAATTTTGAAGGGCAGGTCGAGGCCTGCAGGTAGGGCCAACGAGAAATACAGCTGACAGCAATTGAAGACACAGAAAGCTTCTGAGAAATGCCAATGAGAACTAAACAGAAAACAAAAAACCAAAACAACTAAAAACGAAAAGGCCGAGTCCTTTCATGAGAACTGAGTTATACAGTCCAATTCTTACTGATGACGATGAGTTATTACCAAAGTTAAATGAGACTTGATATGCTTTCAAGATGAGACGGGAAAGTATAATCCATTTTAGAAAGATTTCCATCACAAATAGTTAATGTTAATTCCTAAAACTGGGCTATCTTGAATAACCCATTCCCTGAGGGTTCCAGATTAGCATCATTTCACTGTAGTTAGATAGTTTTATGGTTAATGTACTGTGGTATAAATAAATATAGCTTAGCCTGTCTCCACTGAAAATATGTGTTCCATAAAACAACAAGTAAAATAGGTCAATAAGCAACCCATAGTAAATAATTCAAGCATAAAAGTACATAACATTAGAATGAACCAAGATAAACCAGTCCTCTTCAAAATTGACAATACATTTATTCAAAATGGACTTTTAAAATGAAAACCTAAATATCTAAAGATAAATGGTGAGAAAAGAGGTATCAAATTATTAATTTACATGCACTACACTCCTATAAGAAGAGTCTGTAGGAAAATAAATCAGTTTATGCATCCACATGATGATGAAGTCATACTCTATACCACTCTTATTCAGTTTTACAACATAAAGTTATAGTAGATGTTCAATAAATTGTTGCACGGAAATATAATTTACAAGGCGTTCAGATGTCAGATGAAAAAGAGATGGGCAATAACAGGTATATCATCAGTTTTTCATGGGGGTATTTAGAGATGTGAAATATAAGGAAAGTGAAAGAGAGGAATTTGAAATTTTAAAGAAACTCAACCTGCTGAAGGCTATGATGCACACGTTGATTTTGACTACATCTTGGGGCAAAAGATGCTTGGTGAATAATGTCTGGCTCTGGTTAGGTTTCAGAATAGGAGACTAATCTGAAGACATTCAAAATGGCACCAGCAGATGAGAAGGATGAAGTCAGAGTCCCAGCCTCCTAGCTGCCCTGGCACTGGCTTCACTACTAGGCAGTCCCATTCAGCCAGGCTAACAAAAGATGTCCTGATTTGTGGCTTTGGGGAAACAAGGTAGCAGGTGACCTCCATGGAGCCCCTTGGTGGCAGAGGGAGGTGACAAAAGGTTCCCTATACTGTTAGCAAGCTTCCTTCACCTCCTTGCCTGGTGCAGGTTAAGTCAGAGTTTTAGTGATTCCATTGTTTTAGATTTTAATTTACATGGCTCTTTGGGCATTTTGCAGAGTATATCACCAAAGAAGTGGACATGTTTGCCTTTAATGTCTACGGGCATAATTTATGCATTACTATACTGTCCATCACTCTACTAACTCGAAGATATTAGTAATCTTTGCATTTTCCCCATAGGCTGTGAACTGTGGATAGCATAACCATACCAGGGACATGGGTATCCTCTCAGTCCTCAGCTTTACCCCAGTTTAGTTTATTTATTTATTTATTTATTTATTTGGAAATGGAGTCTTGCTCTCCTGCCCAGTTTGGGTAAGATGCGCCCACTGGGCAATGTTGCGATCTTGGCTCACTGCAACCTCTGCCTCCCAGGTTCAAGCAGTTCTCCTGCCTCAGCCTCTGGGGTAGCTGGGATTTCAGGGGCGTGACACCACACTGGGCTAATTTTTGTATTTTAGTAGAGGTGGTGTTCTCCATGTTGGCCAGACTGGTCTCAAACTCCTGACCTGAAGTGATTTGCCTGCCTTGTCCTCCCAAAATGCTGGGATTACAGATGTAAGCCACTGTGCCCAGCGTTATCCAAGTTTATGACCAGCTAAACTTTACTCTCCCAGTCCAGAATTCACACAGCCCACTGAAACATAGACAGGGCACTCTTGACATTACAAAATTGCTTTATGGTGAGGTTTTAGAAGAACTTCATGTGTCTATCTCATAAAGACCTGAGTAAAAAAATTTACAAACACTTACACAATGCTTAGAATGTGCGCGCTGGCTCACTGCTATAATCACAGTACTTTGGGAGGCCAAGGTGGGCAGATTACCTGAGGTCAGGAGTTCAAGATCAGCCTGGCCAACACGGTGAAACCCTGTCTCTACTAAAAATATCAAAAATTAGCCAGGCGTGATGGCTGATGCCTTTGATCCTAGCACTCCAGAGGCTGAAGCAGGAAAGTTGCTTAAACCCAGGGGGTGGAGGTTTCAGTGAGCCGAGAACTCGCCACTGCAGTCTGTCTCAAAAAAAAAAAAAAAAAAAAAAAGAATGTGGCCTACATCTTCCACCCCACTAGTGAAGGACATTTCAGGCCTCTGCAATAAATTGGCAAGAGGGGGCAGATAATTCATTGTTTATGTCATTTCGGGGGAGAATAGATCTGGGGATTTAGAAACCCCAAAGGCAATCCTAATGAGGTTTCTGAAAGGCTGTTTAGAGACAGAACAGAAGAAGGGGGATTCTTCTCTCTCTTTAGAACAGGTGTCAGTCAACTAAATCCAGTCTGCAGCCTGTTTTGTAAATGTCATTGGAACGCTCTTGTACAAGTGTCATTGGAGCACAGTTACACCCTCTTGTCTATGGCTGCCTTTGCAATGCAATGACAAAGTAACTGTGACAGAGATTGTCTGGGTCACAAAGCCAAAAATATTCACTCTATAGCTCTTAATAGAAAAAGTTGGCCAATGCTTGCTTTAAAGTAGCTCTCAGACTGGGCACGGTGGCTCACGCCTGTAATCCCAGCACTTTGGGAGGCTGAGGTGGGTGGATCACTTGAGATCAGGAGTTTGAGAACAGCCTGACCAACATGGTGAAACCCCATCTCTACTAAAATACAAAAATTAGCCAGGCATGGTGGCATGTGCCTGTAATCCCAGCTACTTGGGAGGGAGGCTGAGGCAGGAGAATTGCTTGAACCTGGGAGGTGGAAGTTACAGTGAGCTGAGATCACGCCACTGCACTCCAGCCTGGGCAACAGAGCAAGACTACGTCTCAACAATCAATCATTCAATCAATAAAATTAAGTCTCTCTCCCTGAGAAGGATAGGAACCCCAGCAAAGCTGTCTCTATCCTAGAAAGCACCTCCCCGAAACCCAGCTTTAAATAGCTTCTTCCCTGTTTGCCCCTCCCTACGCCCACCCCAGCCTTGACACATCCAGATGCTGAGGTCTGTGTTATTTGGAGATCACCCCTACCTAAAGGCCTAAAACACACCCCACTCGCCAGTTGTGAAACACCCAATGAAGACTCAGAACCATCAAGTCATCAGAGGAGTGGTTGAATTTGAAAGTTCCCTTTTCAGCTCCACATTCCCTTTTCAGTGACAGGGCAGAAAAAAGGGGATATTTTCTCTCCTTTAGAACAGGGCTTGGCAAACTAAATCCAGCCTGCAGCCTGTTTTTGTAAGTGTTACTGGAGCACTTGTTTATGGCTACCTTTGCATTGCGATGACGAAGTAGTTGCCACATAGATGGCTCAACACTGATTGAACACCTGGCTCCTGCCCATGCATTTGACCTCAAGTGCAGGGAAGCCTCAAAGAGGAGGATGTGAAAGAGTGTGTGGCATTTCATCAGAAAAGGATGAGACGAGAGAAGACCCTCCAAATGGAAGAGGCAGCAGACCCACAGGTGTGTGGGTGATCATGCATGTCATGGTCTACCCTAAGAAATGCAGCTGCTGGGAGAGAAGGGTGCATAGGCTGGAGAGGTGGGAAACAAGGCTGGAACAGTCTGCCAGTCAGGCAGCAAAAGACCTTGTGAATGGCACTGTTGAGAAGTGGAAGGCAGGAGGATGTTTCTGTTTAATTTTAATTTTTATTGTGATTTTACTTTAAGTTCCAGGATACAAGTGCAGAACTTGCAGGTTTGCTACATAGGTATACGTGTGCCATGATGGTTTGCTGCACCTATCAACCCATCATCTAGGTTTTAAGCCCCACATGCATTAGCGATTTGTCCTAATGCTCTCCCTCCCCTTGCCCTCCACCCCCACAACAGGCCCCGGTGTGTGATGCTCCTCTCCCTGTGACCATGTGTTCTGATCATTCACCTCCCACTTATGAGTGAGAACATGCGGTGTTTGGTTTTCTGTTCCTGTGTTAGTTTGCTGAGGATGATGGCTTCCAGATTCATCCATGTCCCTGCAAAGGACATGATCTCATTCCTTTTTATAGCTGCATAGTATTCCATGGTGTACATGTACCACATTTTCTTTATCTAGTCTATCATTGATGGGTATTTGGGTTGGTTCCATGTCTTTGCTATTGTAAATAGTGCTGCAGTAAACATACGTGTGCATGTGTCTTAATAGTAGAATGATTTATAATCCTTTGGGTATATACCCAGTAATGGGATTGCTGGGTTAATGGTATTTCTGGTTCTAGATCCTTGAGGAATCACCATGCTGTCTTTCACAATGGTTGAGCTTGTTTACATTCCCACCAACAGTGTAAAAGTGTTCCTATTTCTCCACAGCCTTGCCAGCATCTATTGTTTATTGACTTTTTAATAATCGCCATTCTGACTGGCATGAGAGGGTATCTCAGTGTGGTTTTGATTTGCATTTCTCTAATGTTCAATGATGCTGAGCTTTTTTTCATGTTTGTTGGCTGCATAAATGTCTTCTTTTGAGAATGTTTGTTCATATCCTTTGCCCACTTTTTGATGGGATTTTTTTGTTTGTTTGTTTTTTGTTTTTGTTTTTTTTGAGACGGAGTCTTGCTCTGTCACCCAAGCTAGAGTGCAGTGGCGCGATCTCGGCTCACTGCCCGCTCTGCCTCCCAGGTTCACACCATTCTCCTGCCTCAGCCTCCCGAGTAGCTGAGACTACAGGTGCCTGCCACCATGCCTGGCTAATTTTTTGTATTTTTAATAGAGATGGGGTTTCACCATGTTAGCCAGGATGGTCTCGATCTCCTGACCTCATGATCTGCCTGTCTCGGCCTCCCAAAGTGCTGGGATTACAGGCGTGAGCCACTGTGCCCAGCCTTGTTTGTTTGTTTTTTTTCTTGTAAATTTGTTTACGTGCAGGAGGATGGTTCTAAAGGATTTAAACAGCAGGGTGCAGTGGCTCATGCCTGTAATCCCAGCACTTTGGGAGGTCAAGATGGGCAGAACACTTGAGGTCAGGAGTTTGAGACCAGCATGACCAACATGGTGAAACCTCATCTGTATCAAAAATACAAAAATTAGCCAGGCATGGTGGCGCGCTCCTGTAATCCCAGCTACTTGGGAGGCTGAGGCAGGAGAATTGCTTGAATCCAGGAGGCGGAGGTTGCAGTGAACTGAGATCGCGCCACTGCACTCCAGCCTTGGGGACAGAGTGCGACTGTCTCAAAAAAATAAAATAAAATCCTTAAAAATGATTTAAGCAAGGGCACAATTGTGATCAGATCTCACTTTAGGATGGTCACTCTAATAGCAGGGGTGAGGTAGTTGGGGTAAGGGAAATCTGTGCCCTCTCCTAGGCTGCTGGACCCTCCCCACCACACCTCCTCTGAAAACCACTTCTCTATGTACCTCAGAGAGTTCAACCTTTTCCCCCAGGATCTATGGGCACCTTCTAGATAATAGCAAAAGCGGTATCGTTCTCATCCCAAATCATCACTTTCTGGACTGCCTCCCAGTCCCATGCTTCTCCTTCTATCAGCTGTTATTGTTGTTTTGTTTCTAATTTCCAATCTGCTAGAAACGTAATTTTATTATATACAAAATCTTACACTCGGGTACCGTGGCAATGTCAAATTTCTATACAGGTCTCTAAATGCTTTCCCTCATTTTCTGCATTTGTCTTGTCACAGGCTGATCAAAAATGTTTGTGGAAGTCCAGTTTCCAGTTTGGCATTTAAAGCACTTGGAAGCTGCCCCTTCATCATAACAGGTGGAAAGCTGAGCAAACTGAAAACTCAACAACCTGACTTGGGTCTGTAAGAGTGAGATCACAGGGCAAACTGCTGCCTCTGAAATTGGAGAGACAAACAGGTAGATACAGAAAACAACTTGTCAGAGCAGAGACCTCTGTGGGGACCAAAACCAGGTAGGAAAACCTGAATTGTAATTGACCAATTGCCAGAGACTGGTTGTGTACAAATCTGACAGTTAAAAACCCCTGAAGGACCCAGTCATGGGGAGGTAGGGGGCCATTTTTTGAGGTTTGCCTCTTAGAGCTCTACCAGGTTATTACAGTGAATATCAGAGAAAAATTCCCCCTCATGCTTCTAGCGGGGTGGGAGGGGGAAAGAAACCACTTGAAATACAATACAATACAGCACTCTCTTCCATTGTGTCCTTTTTTTTCCATTTTTTTCTTTTTTGATATGGATCCTCGCTCTGTCACCCAGGCTGGAGTGCAGTGGTATGATCTCGGCTCACTGAAACCTCCGCCTCCCAAGTTCAAGTAATTCTCCTGCCTCAGCCTCATCATGCCTGAATAATTTTTGTATTTTTAGTAGAGACAGTTTTGCCATGTTGGCTAGGCTGGTGTCAAACTCCTCACCTCAAGTCATCCACCTGCCTCGGCCTCCCAAAGTGCTGGGATTACAGGTGTGAGCCACCGTGCTAGGCCTCATCTGTTCTTTTTTCTTCATTTTTTTTTTATTTTGAAGTGGAGTCTTGCTCTGTTGCCCAAGCTAGAGTGCATTGATGTGATCTTAGCTCACTGCAACCTCTGCCTCCTGGTTTCAAGTGATTCTCCTGCTTCAGCCTCCCGAGTAGCTGGGATTACAGGCATCTGCCACCACGCCCAGGTAATTTTTGTAGTTTTAGTAGAGACAGGGTTTCACCATCTTGGCCAGGCTGGTCTCAAACTCCTGACCTCACGATCCACCCGCCTCGGCTTCCCAAACTGCTGGGATTACAGGTGTGAGCCACCGCACCCAGCCCCCATCTGTTCTTAACAAGATCTGCTATTTGACCACAGCCTAACCTGATGGGGTTTTATCAGAGCCCAGGTGTTTTGGGGGAAGTGAAATACTCAATTTCAGCCCCCTCTATACTTCCATGTGGGAGAAGAGAAATACCCCACTCCAGCTCTCTCCAGCCATCCTGTCCCTCCTAAGCGGGGGAAACTGAGAAACGCATGTGAAGTTCATAGTTCAGAGGCATCGATTCACTAAAAGACAGAGGCAGGCCTAATCACAGGACTATAGAATGTTTCCCCTCTCCCCACACCTACCGTGAGATTACTGAAGGCCTATTTACGGCAAGTCCTTTTGCCCAGTACATCACGCGCAGCTACCAGGAAAAAATTACAAGGCATACTGAAGGGCAAAAAACACAGTTTGAAGACACAGAGCTAGCATCAGAACCAGACTGAGACATAGCAAGGATTTTGGAATTATTAGATTGGGAATTTAAAAGAACTATTTTTTTTTAGGCTGAACTGTGTCTCTAAGTGATGTTTATTACCCTGTCTTTCCCAAGATCAAACATATTGCTAATGGTTAGATTAATTTCAGAAAAGTAAATTGAGCAGTGCCTGAAATTGAACAAGTGATGCTACAGTTCAAGTCAAAGTCAGACTTCGTTAAACTGAATTCAAGTATTAGGTTGGGGCAAAAGTAATTGTGGTTTTTGCCATTCCTTTTTTAAAAAAAATTACTATTTTTATTTTAAGTTCCAGTACATGTGCAGGATGTGCAGGTTTGTTACTTAGGCAAATGTGTGCCATGGTGGTTTGCTGTACCTATCAACCCGTCACCTAGTTATTAAGCCTAGCATGCATTAGCTATTTTTCCTAATGGTCTCTCTCCCCTCACCCTATGCACCAACAGGCCCCAGTGTGTGTTGTTCCCCTCCCTGTGTCCATGTAAACCAACTATAATTGTTATAGTTGAAATGTTTTTGTCCATTCTAAAACTCTTGTATTGAAAACTTAATCTTCGATGCAATTATATTGAGAGGTGGGCCTAACAGAAGGTTTTTAGGTCATGAGGGCCTGGCCCTTATGAATGGATTAATGCCAATATCAAAAGAGTTTGCAAGAGTAGGGTCTCTCTTTTTCACTCTTCCGGTATGTGAGAATACAACTTTCACTCTCACTTGTTCTTCTGCCTTCTGCCATGGGAGGACACAGCAAGAAGGCACTAGACACCAGATACTAACAACCTAATCTTGGACTTCTCAACCTCCAGAGTTGTGAGAAATAAATTTCTGTTCTGTATAAATTATCTCATCTGTGGTATTCTGTTATAGCAGCACAAATTAACCAAGACAATGATAAAGATACTAATGACTCTAAGGAATGAAGTAGAGGGCACGCAAAGACAGATGAGAAACATAAGCTGAGACATGGAAATTCAAAAAAAGAATTAAAAAAATACTAGAGATAAAAAACAATGTAAGAGAAATGAAGAATACTTTTGATGGGCTAATTAGTAGACTGAGGCAAGAATCTCTGAGCTTGGCGATATCTCAATAGAAACTACCAAGACTAAAAAGCAAAGAGAAAAGTAACTGAAAAAAAAAAGAGAAAACAGAATATCCAAGAACTATGGGACAACTACAAAAGGTGTAATCAGATGTGATGAGAATACTCGAAGGAGCATAAACAGTGAAAGGGCACATAAAAAATATTTGAAGCCATAATGACTGGGAATTTTCCCCCAGTTAATGTCAGACACCAAACCACAGATCCAAGAAGCTCAGAGAACATCAAGCAGGACCGATGCAAAACAACTGAAACCAAACAAACAAAAAACTACTCCTAAGCATATCACATTAAAAGTATAGGAAATCAAAGGTAAAGAAACAATCTTGAAGGAAGCCAGATGAAAAAACACCTTACCTATAGAGGAGTTCATTACATCTGAACTTCTCCTCAGAAACCATGCAAACAAGAAGACAGTAGTGTGAAATTCTGAAAGTGTTAAGAGAAAAAAACAAAACGAAACAAAATCATCAACCTAGAATTCTATGTCCTGTAAAATTACCCTTCAAAAGTAAAGGAGAAATAAAGACTTTCTCAGACAAACAAAAATTGAGGGAAAGCATTGTAAATAGATCTGCCTTGCAATAAATGTTTAAAAAGATTATTTAGAGAGAAGAAAACTTATATAGGCCAGAAACTTGGATCTACATCAAGAAAAAAAGATCATCAGAGAAGGAATAAATTAAGAAAAAATAAAAATTTTTATTTTTCTTATTTTTCATTGTTTTAACAGATAATGTTTTATTCAAAATAATACTAGTGACAACAGCGTTTGATTATATATACATATATATGCTTATCTATAAGCAAAATGAATGACAACAATGTGATATTAGGGATAGGAAGGAGGAACTAGAATTATTTTATTATGAAAAGGTAATCATGTTACCTATGAAGCAGTATCATATTATTTGAAAGAAGACCTGGATTGGCTGTAAATGTATATGGCAAACTCTAGAGCAACCACTGAAAAAAGTAAAAAAAAAAAAAAAAAAAGAAATATAACTCATACGTTAAGAAAGGAAACAAATATTGTTAAATAGTTAATTAAAACCATAAAAGGCAGAAAAGGAGAAGACAAAAATAGAAACAAAGAACAAGAATAACAAATATACAACAGGAACAACCATGATATATGTTAATCCAGCTATATAAATAATCATTTTAAATGTCAGTGGTCTAAATGTACCAATGAAAAGAAGTTGTGTATGAGCCTGACAACAGAGTCAAAAACATATGAGGCAAAACCTGATAGAACTGCAAGGAGAAGTAGATGAATCCACTATTAGGGTTAGAGACCTTAACACTTCTTTATCAGAAATGGATAGATCCAGCAGGCAGGAAATCAGTAACGACAAAGTCAAACTCAACAACACCATCAATCAACTTGATATAATACATCTATAGACTATTTCATCCAATAACAGCAGAATACACATTCTTCACAAACTCACATGGAACATTCATCAAGACAGAACATATTCTGGGCCATAAAAAAACACCTTAACAAATTTAAAGGAGTACAAATCATACAATATATGCTCTCAAAACACAATGGAATTAAACTAGAAATCATTGACAGAAAGATTAACTGCAAAATCCCAAAATAACTTGGAGATTAAATAATACATTTCTAGATAACACAGTGGTCAAATGAGAAATCTCAAAAGAAATTTCAAAATATTTTAAAATAAATAAAAATGAAACTGCAGTTTATTATAGGTTACAGAAAACCCAGTGCTTAAAGGAAATTTTATATAGCATTGAATGCATATGTTAGAAAAGAAAAAAAATCTAAAATCAATAATTTAAATTTCTACCTTAGGAAACCAGAAAAAGAAGAAAAAAATGAAATCCAAAATAAGCAGAAGAAAAGAAAATAAAACAAAAAGTGGTACAAATTATAGCAAAGGTAGCCTGCTATATACAAAGTTCATATTCAAAAGTCAATAGCTTTACCACATACCAGCAGGCAACAAGTGTAATTTGAAATTGAAAACATGATACCATTTACATTAGCACCACTACAAATAAAATAATTTTAAATTTAATGAAATCTGTGCAAGGTCTATAGGAAGAAAACTATACAATTGATAAAAGAAATTGGAGAACTACATAAATGAAGAGATATTCTATGTTCATGGATAGAAGGACTCAATGTGGTTAAGATGTCTTTTCTTCCCAACTTGATCTAGAAATTCAACACAACCTCAATCAAAATCCCATCAAGTTATTTTGTGGATATCGACAAACTGATTCTAAATTTTATATGGATAGGCAAAAGACCCAGAATAGCCAACAGGTATGACATGATATGAAATGATAAACAAGAATAAAGTTGAAGTTCTGACAATACCAACTTCAAGATTTGCTATAAAGGTATGGTAATAAAGATAGTGTGATATTGGTGAAAGAGTAGACAAATAGATTAATGGAATAAAATAGAAGCCAGAAAATAGACTCACATAAACATAGTCAAATGATCATAGACAAAGAAGCAAAGGCAATACAATGGAGGAAAGACAGTCTTTTCAACAAATGATGCTAGAACAACTGGAAATCTGCATTAAAAAAAATGAATCTAGACAAAGGCTTTAAACTCTTCACAAAAATTTACTCAAATAGATCACAAAACTAAATTTAAAACACAAAACAATAAAATTCCTAGAAGATAACATAGGAGAAAAATCTAGATGACTTTGGGTTTGGTGCTGACTTTTTACATACAACACCAGAGACATGATCCATGAAAGAAAGAACTGATAAGCTAAACTTTATTAAAATTAGAAATTTCTGCTTTGTGGAAGACACTGTTAAGAGAATAAAAAGACAAGCCAGGGACTGAGAAAAAATATTTGGAAAAGATATATCTGATAAAGGACTGTTATACAAAATACACAAAGAACTCTTAAACTTAAAAATAGGAAAACAAGCAACCTGATTTTAAAAATGGGCCAAGTTGTGTATGGTGGCCCATGCTTGTAATCCCAGCAGATTGGGAGGCTGAGGCAGGAGGATTACTTGAAGCCAGGTGTTCGAGATCGGTCTGGGAACATGGGGAAATCCCATCTCTACAAACAAATTTAAAAAATTTAACCAGGCATGGTGGTGTGTGCCTGTGGTTCTAGCTACTCTGGAGGCTGAGGAAACGGGTTGCTTGAGCCCGGGAGGTAGAGGCTGCAGTAAGCAGTGATTGTACCACTGCACTTTTAGCTTTGCTGACAGTCAGACCCTGTCTCAAAAAAAAAAAAAAAAAAAAAAGATGTTGGGGGGGAGGCTAAATGCCTTAACAGACATCTCACCAAAGAAGACATACAGATGGAAAATCATCCCACAAATATATGGTCGACTGATCTTCGACAAGGGCGCCAAGTATACGCAATAGGGAAAAGGCAGTCTCTTCAACAAATGGTATTGGGAAAACTGGATATCCACATGCAATAGAATGAAACTGGACCCTTATACCATAAACAAAAATTAATTGAAATTGATTAAAGACTTAAATGTAAGACCTGAAAATGTAAAACTGCTAGAAGAAAACATAGTAGAAAAGTATCAAGACATTGGTCTTGGCAATGACTTCATGGATATAACACCAAAAGCACAGGCAGCAAAAACAAAAATAGACAAGTGGGAGTCCATCAAACTAAGAAGCTTTTCCACAGCAAAGGAAACAATCAACAGAGTGAAAAAGCAACCTAAGGAATGGGAGGGAATATTTGCAAACCATATGTCAGATAAGAAGTTAATTTCAGAAATTAAAGATTTATTATTTAATTTCAGAAATTAAATTATCCAGGTGTGATGGCACGCACCCGTGGTCCCAGCTACTCAGGAGGCTGAGGCAGAGGATTGCTTGAGTCTGGAAAGTAGAGGCTGCAGTAAGCAGTGATCACACCACTGCATTCCAGCTTTGGTGACAGAGTGAGACCCTCTCTCAAAAAAAAAGTGGGGGTGTGCCAAATGCCTTAACAGACATCTCACCAAAGAAGATATAATATGGATGGAAAATCATCCCACACATATATGGTCATTTTTTTTTTTTTTTTTTTTTTTTTTGTGAAACGGAGTCTTGCTCTGTTGCCTAGGCTGGAGTGCAGTGGCATGAACTCGGCTCACTGCAACCTCCACCTCCCAGGTTCAAGCGATTCTTCTGCCTCAGCCTCTTCAGTAGCTGGGACCACAGCCGTGCAGCACCATGCCCAGCTAATTTTTTTGTATTTTTAGTAGAGATGGGGTTTCACCATTTTGGCCAGGCTGGTCTTGAACTCCTGACCTCAAGTGATCCTCCCACCTCAGCCTCCCAAATTGCTGGGATTACAGGTGTGAGCCACCACGCCCAGCCTATGTGGTAATATCTAATTTCAGAAATTAAATAAACTCCTGCAACTCAATAGCAAAAACACTAATAATCCAACGTAAAAATGGGCCTGGACTCGAATAGACATTTCTTCAAAGAAGACAAAAATGGCCAACATGTATATGAAAAATACTCAACATCACACTAATCATCAGAGAAGTGCAAGTCAAAACCATGAGATACTACCTCACACCTGTTTAGATAATGGCTATTATCAAAAAAAAAATAAAAAAGCATGTTGGTAAGGATGTGGAGAAATGGGAAACCTTGTACTATTGATGAGAATACAAAATGATGCAGCCACTATGGAAAACAGTATAAAAATTTCTCAGAAAATTAAAAATAAAAATACTGTATGATGCAGCAATCCAATCTAAAACCATTGAAATCAGGATCTCAAACAGATATTAGCACTCCAATGCTCACTGCAGCACTACTCACAGTAGTCAAGAAGTGGCGACAACAACCTGATGTTCTTTGGCAGATGAATGGATTATTTAAATGGTGGCATATACATACAGTGGGATATTATTTAGCCTGAAAAAAGAAGGACATTCCGACACGTGCTACAACATGGATGAACCTTGAGGTCATTATGCTAAGTGAAATAAGCCAGTCATGGAAAGACAAATACTACATGACTCCACTTATATGAGGTACCCAGAATAGTAAACTCATCAAATCAGAGAGCAGAATTATGCTTGCCAGGGAATCGGGATGGGGGAATGGGAAGCTGCTCAATCATCACACATAAAGTCTCAATTATGCAAGATGTGGATCTGGAGATCCAATGTACAGCATTGTCTCTATAGTTAACAACAGAGTGTTAACTGTGTACATTGTACACTTTAACATTTGTTAAGAGGTTAGATCTTATGTTAAGTATTTCTTATCAAAATTAATTTTTCAAAAAGAAGAAATACAAATGGCAAATAGGCATATAATGCTCCCCATTATATGTCCTTAGGGAAATGCAAATGAGAGGCCACTACACACCTATTAAAATAGCCAAAAGCCAGAACACTGACAACACCAAACGCTGACATGGATGTGAAGAAACAGTAACTCTCATTCATTGCTGGTGGAAATGCAAAATGGTCCAGTCACTATGAAAGTTTGGCAGCTTCTAACAAACCTAAGCATAATTTTAATGTTTGATCTAGCAATCACATTATCACATTCTTCGGTATTTACCCAAAGGAGGTGAAAATTTATGTCGACCCAAGAACCTGCACACAGGTTTACAATAGCTTCATTCATAATTGCCAGAACATGGAGGCAACCATGTTCTTTAGTAGGTGAATGGGTAAAAAAAACTGTGGTATATCCAGATGATGGAATATTATTCAGTGCTAAAAAAAATGAGTTATGAAGTCATGAAATGATATGGAGGTAACAAATACATATGACTAAGTGAAAGAAGCCAGTGTTAAAAGGCTACATACTACATGATTCCAATTATATGCAATTCTTAGAAAGGCAAAACTATGGATATACTGAAAAGATCAGCTGTTGCCAGGTGTTAGGAAGAGGGAGGGATGAACAGGCAGAACCCAGAAGATTTTTAGGGTGGTGAACTGACTCTGTATGATACTATAGTGGTAGAAACATGTCATTATAGCTTTGTCCAAACCCATAGAATGTACAACATGAACTGTGAACCCTAATGTAAACTATGGACTTTGGGTGATAATGATGTGTTAATGTAGGTTCAGCAATTGTAACAAACGCACCATTCTGGTGTGGGATGTCGATGAGAGAAGCTGTGTATGTGTGGGGGTAGCAGGTATGTGGGAAACTTTTGTACCTTCTGCTCAATTTTACTATGAACCAAAAACTGCTCTAAAAATTAAGCCTATTTTTTAAAAAATATATGTGGGCTGTCAGTCTATGGAGCACACTTGGAGTTGCACTGTGGACTGTGGCCTTTCTAGGTATGGAGACGTTGATTCCTCAACCCTGGGTCCCCAGCCCTTTGTTCAAGTATCGCTGATGGTGGAACAGACCCAGGTGTGAGCTTTGAGGGGGCTAGAAGGCAGAATTGACCCAACCTGATGAAGAGGAACATGTACTGATTGGGTAACTGGGGCAAGAGTGATGCCATGACCCAAAACATGATGAGGAGGAGGGTATAGAGAGAGACAGGCTCAGGGCAGAGGAGCCAGAGGAGGGGCAATCAGGAGCTGTCCTGGTAGACAGCTGAGCTCTCCATACCCAGGCTTGGGCCAAGGAGAGCACTGAGGTGGGAGGTGGAGCTGCAGAGAGGAGCTACCTTTGAGGGATACACCAAACGAGGTGGCCAGCAAAAGCAACACAGGCAGGGGCCAAGGAGGAACCCAGGAACGAGTGACACTGTTCCCTGCACAGAGAGAGCAAGCAGGATGAGGACTGAAAACCATCAGAGTTGGCAAATAGGCCTTCAGCAAACTAAGAAAACCAGGCTGGGTGTGGTGGCTCATGCCAGTAATCTTAGCACCCTGGGAGGCCAAGGCAGGCAGATCACTTGAGGTCAGGAGTTCGAGAAGAGCCTGGCTAATGTGGCAAAACCCCATCTCTATTAAAAATATCAAAATTAGCAGGGCGTGGTGGCAGGTGCCTGTAATCCCAGCTACTCGGGAAGCTGAGGCAGGAGAATCGCTTGAACCCGGGAGGCAGAGGTTAAAGTGAGCTGAGATCACGCCACTGCATTCCAGCCTGGGCGACAGAGTGAGACTCCATCTCAAAAAAAAAAAAAAAAAAAAAAGAAAGAAAACCTGATGGCACGGGGATGAATGAGAAATGAGAATGGGAAAACCAATAGAAAGACACCTTTCTATTGACTTTTTTCTAAAAGCTCAGTTAAGGACACAAATGCTCCCGGTGGAGCACAGAAAGAGAGTAGGTCTAGAGGGGATATTTTAGAATGGAAGCAAGTAAGGAAAAGAAATTAAGTGAAGAGGGAGAATTTTAAGATATAGAAAGAGTTAAGATACCAGAGGAAAACGGGAAAGAGAAAGCAAAGGACTAGCTAGATAGGAGAAAGGCTATCATTCCCTTAAAAATGAGGAACAGAGGTAAGACTGGGCACAGAAAAAATACAGAAATAGGCCAGGCACCATGGCTCACTCTGGGAGGCCAAGGAGGGTGGATCACACGAGGTCAGGAGTTTGAGACCAGCCTGACCAACATGGTGAAACCCCATCTCTACTAAAAATACGAAACTAGCCAGGTGCATGGTGGCGCATGCCTGTAATCCCAGCTACTTGGGAGGCTGAAGCAGAAGTGCTTGAACCCGGGAGGTGGAGGTTGCAGTGAGCCTAGATCACGCCATTGCACTCCAACCTGGGCAACAAGAGCGAGACTCTATCTCAAAAAATAAATAAATAAAATAAAAAATTAGAAAAAAATAAAAAATTACAGAAATAATGTATTGTGCTTTGCTGAAAAAATTATCCCATTTGGTTTTACAATTAAGTCTGCATTACTTCAGCTTCTCAGTGGGTTTCAAGGTTTTCAAAATGAAAATGTCAAGGAAGTACCAGTTTCCAACTTCTTCTAAAACTTGTCTATTCAATCTCTATTTTTTTGGTCCTCATCTTTTTGAGCAAATAAGTGATAACCCCTTATTTCTTAGCCACTCGGGAATAAACAGGAGCTACAGTCCATATCTGGTCCTGTTTCTGCTCTAAGGAACAATTCCACCAGCCCCAACACAACTGGCAAAAAATCAAGGCAGTACTGAATCCTTCCTTCCTTTCTTTTTCCACCTCTGAATATGGCAGTGCCTTCTGGAGGTATACATGTTCACTCTTGCAGGATTTACGAGTTGTAAGTTGTCCTCATGATGTATGTTAATTATATTAAGCAGATGCAGACAGGAAGATCATATCAGGGTTTATAATCCACAGCCGGGTTATAAACTCTGTGAAGGAAGGACTATGGCTACTGTGGTCTCCACTTACGGCCAACGCTGCCCCAGTACCCAGTACTTAGTAGGTGCTGAGTGAGTATAGTCATGTGCCACATAGCAACATTTTGGTCAATAATGAACTGCATATGTGATCCCATAAGATTATAATACCGTATTTTTACTGTACCTTTTCTATATTTAGACATGTTTAGAGACACAAATACCATTGTATTACAACTGCCTACAGTATTCAGTACAGTAACACACTGTACAGCTGTGTCGGCTAGGAGTGATAGGTTACACCACAAATTCGAGGTGTGTAGTAGGCTATGCCATCTAGGTGTGTGTAAGTGCACTCTATGATGTTCATGCAACAATGAAATCACCTAACAAAGCATTTCTCAGAATTATCCCCATCGTGAAGCAGTGCATGACTGTATTTGTAGAATGTCTGTTTGAAGTAATAAGATGCAGGTAACATTACATGAAAACCTGAAGATACTAATCATTTAAGCATATGTTGTAACCAAACTCATCAAATTTCTAAAAACAAAAATATTCTTAAATGCTTTTTGTCTCTGAAATGTTTCACTCCTCTCCATCTACTAATTGCTATGCACAACAGAAATTTACTACACTTAATTCATTGAAATGCTTATGGGACAACTAGAGCTAGGAACATTCTTTCTCTTTCCTTCTTTCATATACTCCCAAATCCCATCTTTTTCAAAACATTGCCCAAAATATTGAACAGTCTGTCTCACAGCTGGCTTTACACAGGACCATGATAGCTGTACTACACAAAAACAAAACAAAAAATAAAAATAATGAAAGGAGACACATTTCTTGAGAGCGTTTCTCAAGAAATGTGCTCTTTAAGAGGAAAAAAGATGAAACAATATGAAAGAATTTTAAACACTTAGGTATTTCAGTCGTGCCTCAAAACCAACTGCTGGGCCCACACTGAACATGGATCTTTTTCCCTCTAGACCTAATTTTACCGGGTTCCAACTCAAAACATCCCCATCCCACCACAACTTAATTGTTTAAGCACTCTGGATGCCATTGACATGCTTTTCCTCTGCCATCACATGGAATCAGTCATCAAGTCCATTTATTTCTAGCATCTGAGCATCTTCCATCAATTCAGATCTCTCTCCTTCCCCTGGCCACTCTTAGCTCAGGCCAACAACCACTTGCAGAAACCTAACTGATCTCTCAATATCCAATCTTGCTGGCCTCTAATGCATTCCCCATGCTACCACCAAAGTGATATATTTAAAATGCAGACCTGGTCAGGTAAATGCTTAAAACCTTAAGGGCCCCCCCTGTTTGCAAGATGAAATGCAAGTTTGTTGGCCAGGCATATAAAAGCCCTTCACAGCCTTGCCTCTGCCTGTGCCTGCTCTCTTCTCTCTCCCATCTCTGCATACATCCCTCATGATCCTCTATACCGGACTACTCCAAGGTTCTCCATTGTCACTGGTCTTTGTTCCCCTTGCCTGGAGCCCTGTTCCTGCCAGGGATCAACCCCAATGCCCTCTCCTCTAGGAAGCCTTCCTTAACTTTGCCCACACTCCACCAGATTTAATTAGGGACTGGGCCCATGTACTACCATGATCCCTGGAGCTCCCCCTTATCATGCTGTGCTGAAATGATCTGTTTATGGCTTCATCTCTACAATAGGTGATAAGCTTCAAGTTGTGCCAGGGTGAAGACTGCATGCCATTTAACATTTTGTCCCCTGGCCAGAGCCAATGCCTACTTTGTTGAATTCAGGGAGTATTTTTATTCATATTTGATTCTCTGGATTTATCACAACGTTAAAACACAGCAGGTATGCATGAATAGCAATGAATAAACAGAACATTCCATTGGATAAAATCCAGTTCTTAGATGAACACGCTGATGCTTTCTACTTGTACCCATATCTGGTGCCAAGATGTTTGCATGACATGTACAAATGACAAGTAGACATTTATTTCTGACATTTATTTCTAATGTGAAGAAACTATTATTAAGAATGGGGTTGTGATACAGACGTTGATAGGGTGAATTTCCAGAAGTTGGGACAAGCATCTTCAAGTTGGCAGAATGTGCTTTGGAGTCAAAAAATAAGTTTAATCGTATCACTTACTAGCAAGTCATTTCACCTTGCTGGGACTCAGTTTCCTCATGTGAAAAACAAGTCTTCTCCAGCTTCAAAAGCCTGCAAGTGGAAGTGGCCTGCTATTTTTATGCACTGCATTTAAAAGTATTTTGAATAAAGAGGCTCCTGAAAAAAAAAATAGTGCATAGATGTGTCTTGCAAATGACACTTTAGTATACTCATATATAAAGTTTAAAGATGGCACATACGTTGAAGTAACTTAGCAATAAGTTATTCTAAAACATGTTGTGAAGAAAAAATATATAAACAATTATAGACAAAATTATAAAGTGCCTGGTGTTTTAAAAGAATGTACAGTGAATACAGCAACCACTGCAGTCAGGAAGTCTAGTGGTAACCAACCTATGATTTGCAGTATTTGTAAAATTTTTTTAAACTGTCTAAAATTGCACCATTTTCTTTTTCTTTTTTTTTTTAAACTACTACATAAACAGTAGTACAAGATGATTCCACAACGCTTTGTCATTATATGTACTTGGAACTTTTAAGTCACTGGTCTAATATAGCCCTTTCATAAAATACAATTCATTTTGGTCTCCTCATTGGCAATGCCATAGTGTTGAAGATATTGGAATCAATATTATTACATATAAAATCCTGAGTATCTTAATTTTAATGTCTTTTATAACTGCCTTGCTCAAATTTATGATTTACATAAATTTAAAGAAACTCTGATAGAAACTTACGTCTTCTGTTTTCCAGATTCCCAAGTTAATGGGGCCTTGGCTATATGAAAGCTTCCTATTTTAGCCTCTTAAAATTGGATGCACATTTAGAAAAGGCTCTTAGCTCTCTCTTATTATCCTGTACACTTTAACAAAGTAATGTACAGAAATACTTGTGTTTTCTTAGGTTGCTCAAAAGAGTTTCTTAATAAGGCCATAAACTCTATGTACAGTCTTACCAAAAGTCATTTGTGTGTGTGTGTGTGGAGACAGAGTTTCAATCTATTACCCAGGCTGGAGTGCAGTGGCGCGATCATGACTCATTGCAGCCGCGACCTCCCCAGGCTCAAGCCATCCTCCCATCTCAGCCTCCCAAGTAGCTGGGAGGTTAAAAAAATTGGTTAATATTTTTTTTTTCTGTATTTTGTAGAGACAGGGTTTCACCATGTTGCTCAGGCTGGTCTCGAACTTTTGGGTTCAGGTGATCCACCCACCTTGGCCTCCCAAAGTGCTGGGATTACAGGAATGAGCCATCATGCCTGGGGTCCCAAAGCCTGCTTTATATAACGTTTTATCTATATGTGATCTTACAGTTTTAATTTTGGAGCTCTTCCACAGGAGCTTTAAGTTCTTTTGTTATTTTAAGCCTCAGATAAACTAAAATTTTTTAAAGTATTATAGTCTTATAGATTATGCATTTAACAGACCAGAAAAGTATAAAATACCTTATTCCTTCTTACCAAATATAAAAGAAAATGTTTTATACACACACACCCACACACACACACGAGCCTCAGAACCTACGAGACTCTTCAAAGTAGTAGTTTTTCAAGGAAGGGTACTCATTTGTTTTTCATGGAAACCCACATATTTAAATTCAAAGATTACTATTTTTTTTCTTTTTTAAAAAGCATGCCTTATTTCTAGTGAATTCCTAAAACATAGAAAGCTGTTAAATACTTTTGGGCAATGACATACACTTTTGATGCCTCAAACTCTGAAACTGTAAACAAACCAGATTCCACCCCACTTCCAACAAACCATGTCCCAGTTGATTTCCCTCTTTCTATCTGATGTGCTCCTTCAAGATTCAAGCCTCTTGCTGGGGAGGGGAGGAGAGTGGTGACGGCGGGGGGGGGGGTGGTGGGGGGCGAAGGGGAGAGATTGGTCAATGGGTCTGAAGCTACAGATGGAAAAGAGGAGTAAACTCTGGTGTTCTATTGCACAGTAGGGTGATTGTGGTTAACAATATTGCATTATGTATTTCAAAATACTAGAAGATTTTGAATGTTCTCATCACAAAGAAATTATGTTTTTGAAGTGATACATAAGCTAATTATCCTAATTTGATCATTACACAATATGTAAATGTATTAAAATGTCACACTGTATCCCGTAAATATGTGCTATTGTGTCAATTACAAATAAAATGAAACTTAAAAAAAAAGCAAGCCTCTCATTCTCTGTAATGCCTACTCCATCAGCTGCAGTTCTTTTTCCTCATGAATTCTGGAAGCTTTGGATTTCTGATTATGCGTAATTAGATTGGTTTCTCAGTTTCTTTTTACTTTTTCCCATCCCTACCCCCTAGTCTAAGAGCTAATAGAGCTACACTAAGAGAACAGGTGCTGTAGTGCCTTTTTATTTTTATTTTTTTTAGACGAAGTCTCGCTCTTATCCCCCAGGCTGGAGTGCAATGGCAGGATCTTGGCTCACTGCAACCTCTGCCTTCCGGGTTCAAGCGATGCTCTGGCCTTACCCTCCCAAGTAGCTGGGATTACAGGCGCCTGCCACCATGCCCAGTTACTTTTTGTATTTTTAGTAGAGATGGGGTTTCACCATGTTGGCCAGGCTGGTCTCGAACTCCTGACCTCAGGTGATCCGCCTGCCTTGGCCTCCCAAAGTGCTGGGATTACAGGCGTGAGCCACAGCGCCTGGCCTGTAGTGCCTTCTTTATGATGGGTTCCCAGTGCTGGAAGTGCCAGAAGATGGGATGCTACAACACGGCTCAATGAATGAATGACTATTCTGGTATTCAAAGATTCAAGTGTACATCCTTTTACCCAGGTCAGTTTTAAGGGCAAAGACTATTTTATTATCTCGTGTCATTTATTTAACTATGGTCATGACCATAATGAGCTAAAGATTAAACTATATTCATGAGGATTGAAAGACTCGGGTTCCCTGGGCCTAGTATCTCACTCAAAAAAAAAAGCTAGATTTATAATATTGACTGCTGTTAGAAGGATCACTGTGACCAGCCCAATGTTTCACCCGTGGTAACTTTTTTTTTCTGTTTTTTTTGAGACTGAGTTTTGCTCTTGTTGCCCAGGCTGGAGTGCAGTGGCGCAGTCTTGGCTCACTGCAGCCTCCGCCTGCCAGGTTCAAGCAATTCTCCTGCCTCAGCCTTCCCAGTAGTTGGGATTATAGGCGCCTGCCACCACGCCCGGCTAATTTGTGTATTTTTAGTAGAGACGGGGTTTCACCAGGTTGGGCTGGTCTCGAACTCCTGACTTCAGGTAATCCATCCGCCTCGGGCTCCCAAAGTGCTGGGATAACAGGCGTGAACCACCACGCCCAGCCGGTAACGTTTTAAAGTCAATATACTTGGCCAGCACGGTGGCTCACACCTGTAATCCCAGTATTTTGGGAGGCCAAGGTGGGTAGATCACCTGAGGTCAGGAGTTCGAGACCAGGCTACCAAATCCTGTCTCTACTAAAAATACAAAAATTAGCTGGGCATCGTAGCACACACCTATAGTCTCAGCTACTCGGGAGGCTGAGGCACGAGGATCACTTGAACCTGAGAGGCGGAGGTTGCAGTGAGCAGAGATTGCACCACTGCACTTCAGCCTGGGTGACGGGGTGAGACTCCATCTCAATCAATCAATCAATAAAGTCAATATACATGATAGAAAATCAGAGCAAAAATTATCCTTGAAAATTCTTTCAGTGGGTCTCCCCAATAATATAGCATATATGGTTGTGTACTACCTCACTATGTCTCATAAAGCATAATATAACTTTGTATAATTTCCACCAGAGTTTGATGGAAACAGAGCTGTTTCCTCCATTCAGCATTGTGGAAAGTCATCATTTTAGGGGCCATGTACTAGAAAAAGATACTTCTTTTTCCTAACTGCATATAATTGAATTACATGAGCATTTTCTGCAACAGCACTCAACAAAGCATTGTAAAGATGAGTTAATTCTACAAATAAAAACTGCAGGCCTGAGGGTAGTGACAAACGCTAAAGAATCTATCAATTCAGAAACTATCATAATACATCCTTGAATGTCAAGTCTCCAGTAACACTGGAAAACTGCCCTCATCTTTCTCAAAGTTGCCTGTCAGCTTTGCAACATCTTTCCTAGAGTATATGCGTCTTTTATTCCTTTACATAGGAATTGTTTGCCAATAAAGCAATTTTTTCAAAAGTATTTCTCTAAAATAAGAATAAAGTCTAGATTGTGGAAAAATCCTTCCTTATATTTGGCTACAACTTATATTTTTATGTTTTAAAATCATAAACAAATCGTCTCAAAAAAAAAATACTCTACATAATTACCATATGACTCACAATTTTCACTCGTGGGCATCTGTCCCAGGAAAATGAAAGTTTATGTTCACACAGAAACCTCTACACGAATATATATATAGTACTTCTATTTGTAATAATCAAATACCAGATACAACCCAGAAGTCCGAATTGATGAGTGATGTGGTACACACGTACCACAGAATACTACTGAACTAAAAAAAAGGGAACAAACTATTGACACATATAAGCTGAATCTCCAGAAAATGATGCCGGGTGAGTCAAACCCCAAAAGGTTACACACTTTAATTGCAATTATATAACATTCCTATAAAGGCAAATTTATAGAAATGGAGAACATGCTAGTGGTTGCCAGGGTTAAGGGAGGAGTGAGATGGTCTGGAAGTAGGGGTGGATATCAAAGGGCGGTAATGAGGGATCCTCCTCATGATATAAATGTTCTCTGTCTTGACTGCATCAATGTCAGTATCCAGGTTGTGATGCTGTGCTATACAGTATATTGCAAGAAGTTACTATTAGGAGAAACTGGGTAGTGTTCAAAGATCTCTGTATTATTTTGTACAACTGCATGTGAACTTAACAATCTGAAAAAATAAAGTTTGATCAAAAATAAAAAAGGAAATCTCTCTAGCCTAATAAATTTACTTTATGACTCTGAGATCTAAGCTTAAGAATTCATCATAGCCCTTGGATTCTTTGTCATCATCAGCCTTTGTGGACCTTCCCAGTTCCTTCCCTAAGCACTCCTTCTCACCAGATGTACCCCTTCACAGTGTCCACACCAAAGAGGCTAGAGACCTGTCTATACAAAAGAATTCTTCCATCTTCCTATAGCTGCTACAAAGGCCACAACAAGGTATTTCCCAATGGCAAGGTAATCTATCATTACTCAATTACCCAAATGCAGGGATTCTGTGAAGGAAGTGGATGTCAGCCTTCTTTACAGAGATGAAACTCTGCCATTTAGGGCAACTTTTTCTTGTATATGAAATGAGCCAATAGATTTGTTTGAGGAAGAGATATTCTATTCCAGAGGGACTATTACAGAAAATTAAAGTACACATAGGAATATCTTTCAAGTCTTTTTCCTCCCATAAATATGAGTCATATTAGAAAGTTATTTTAAACCTAGTCTAATATCTGATTGTCAAAAGAATGACTCTGATAGAAAAAGGAATTTTTTTGAACCTTTTTTTTTCAGGTATAAACATTCATTCAATCCAATAAAGACATTTTAGAAAAAAGTCAACCTATACAATTTATTTTATTTTTCCTATACCTTGGCTAAACAAAATATATTTGGTGATACTGTAAAATACTAAGCATTTTCAGTAAAACTGGCAATCAAATACAGCTTAACCTTCTTCTGCGTGACAACTGAGGATTTTAATTGGAAAAGTATTATAGTCTATAAACAGGAATACCCAAAACATATTTAAACCACTCGAGCACTTTGATTTTTCCATGTTCTTTGCATCTAGATTGAAACACATCACAGGAAATTTCAAAGACCAACGGCTGAATCTAAAAGAAAAAAAAAATCCATTTAGTTGCTATGATCATTGTCACCATCAATCCCTAATATCTTATACTTCACTGGTCACACTTAACTCTGCTATGCTGTTTTATGCTTGGGAGAAGACAAATTACTAATCAATTATGTATACTAATTTAAAATGCTACCTTTAGGAGGCATTTTAATAACTTAGTAATAGGGGTGAAGTGCTTCCTCTAACTGCTTACGTGAAAACACCTTCAATAACACATTAGCCAGGATGCACTGAACATTTGGGAACAATTAATGCTATAGTCTACATAAACTGTCAAATTGCCCCCCCTAAAGTAGTGGTACAATTCTGCAACTGGTTGAGGTCACATGGAAAATAGAATTATATGCTAATTTGTTCCCATATTAAGTTATCATAAAAGGTCAGACCAAACATAGTAAAAGGAATCCTGGAAAAAAAATTAAGTAGATTGGTATGTACTGTATCAAAGTAAACTGTTTATCTTAATAGATACAAATACAAGAAAATGTTAAAGCCAGGGCATTTTCTCCTTTTTAAAAAGAAATGTTTTAGCTAACCCTAGGCAATGACTTGCACGATTTAAAAATACTTTATAGGAATAGTTTTTCCCTAAAGGAGAACAGGGGTAGGGTACTTTTTTTTGCTTTCAAGCAGAGAAAAGCAATGGAAAAGGGCATAATATCCAAAAAGGAAAAATTTCTCCAGAAAACTATTTCCTCTACTTTACATGTTTCTTAAATTTAATTCACATAGTTCTACACATGAACTATAAAATGAACACACAAACACACATGCTTAGTTTAGCTGAAACTAAAGAGGGGTCAAGAGATGTTGACTATAATACATTTATTATTTTACTCCAAACTAAGAAATAATTTGGAGGGGTGATGGAGAAATGAAATATTACAGCATACGAAATCACAGGTCTAGTATTTTATAAAGCATCCAGTTTATTGCAGGACACAACTAAGACAAGTGACAGAGATCATCTGTCACACCCTTAGGCAAACTCCTGAGAAAAAAATAAAACAGTAATTTTGTGTCCTAGAGACTATCCTTTTTTCCACCAAAAGATATACTTACATTTTTCATTTCAACATTTCCAGTGGCATCCTACAAGAGAACTAGCACTCACAATGAGTCATCTGAATTTTCTTTAAATCGTAACTCATTTTTAATTTCTAAACAGGTTTTACCTATTGATTTAAATAAGATAATTATTAGTTACCATAAAATGAGTTAGGTTCACATGAAATATCAGTTTGACATCTTATTCAAATACTTACTTTCCTGCTATTACCAGCATTGTTTATCCTATTTTCCTTATCAAGTTAGATATGGAGATACCTAGGCATAAAATCTTCAGACACCTTGATGGACTAAAAATAAATTTATTTTTATAAAAAGTATAAAAATTATTATCATTCTTGTTTTGAAGGATTTTATGTATTGGGAAGTAAATCCATAAGAAGTTGAGAATTACATTAAAAGAGGGTAAAAGTCTGACAAAAATGAAAACATGCATTGATGCCTAAAAAATCAGGACTGAAGTAAATTAATCTTCATTCCCACTGAAAGCAATCTTGATGTCCAGAGACTGAGAATTATTCTACCATAAAATACGGCACATTAAATACTACAATAGCCCATCTGAAATGTCTTAATATAATTGATATCATCTACAAATGATTGTACATATATTTTAATATTCATTACTGGAGATTCCAATGCAAAATATATTGAAATTGTAAAAATATTAAGTCAGTTAAAGACCGCATCAAATCAGTAGCTATTCTATGACTAAAAGTAAGACTCAAAATAAGATTTGAAAAAAACCACTAAAAGCAGGGTCAAAATATTTGGATGTTGCTTATCAGAAACAACACTATCATTCCTGATGGTTTGCTTATAAAATTCTATATTCCTACCAGCTGGCTGAAAAGAATCAAAAGCTTCTTACAACCAGCTAAAAAGAAAGACTTTACCATGCCCCTTGAAAAAGCTCATTTTCACGTTACTCAGGCTTCATTATGCTAAATCAATATTCGTTTAGTCACTGGGGTTATTGACATATTTTAAAATAAAAGTATACCCTTCAGCTACTGCACTCATTACAGGTAATTTGTCTTGTCAGAGAGCAGGGAATATTATCCTAGTCTTTCAGGGGCTGACAGCCCATGAAAATACCTCCCCATGGTTACAACTGTAAATAATTTTAAGGTAAAATATTGAAAAATCAATGACTGTTTCCTGCAATCTGTCACAAACAAATCAATCATAATCTGTACTGCCAGAGAGTATGATTTGAAGGAGATGGGAGCAGATGTAATTCTTGGCTGGAATCTCTCATTTCAAAATCACTTCACATAATGGTGTCATCATTTAAACACTTAACAGTCAGTGCAACTGCCACTGTAACATCTAGTTGGACAAAACCACAAGGAGGGGGAGGAGAAAATGCCATCACTATTATGTTAACAAACATTTAATTTAAATGGTTGCTGCACTAGTAAATTTCTGCAGAAAACAGTTTTACCCGCCCCCTTTCACAGTTCCAAATTAATCAAGGATGCTTTTCTATAATCTGATGCTTAGCAAATTAGCTCATGATTCAAATTTTGCCCTCTTGAAGCACATATACCTTTTATTTTAAAAGTCCATTATAGAGAATAAAATTTGGAATATATAAGGTATTTGAATTGCAGAACACCCCTCTAATTCTGTTAATATAGCAAAGACAAAACAGTATCATATACATCAAGATCATACTTTTAAAGTAAGTTTAAAGGTCTCAATTGCCCAGATATTAAATTTATATTTTCCTTCTATTAAAAAATATTACATTTCAATTTTGTAATATTGTAACATATTTTAAGATGACCAGCAAGACCTAGTCAATTTGAAAATACCCTTGCATTCCATACACAAGCTATACCATAAGTAATAACCCAAGTATATGATGTGTAAAAGTTGGTGAAGGTCATAATACTGAATTTTTTTGCAAATGTAAACTGCTTTCCAAGTAATCAGCACCATTTTTTACTAGACTACATTTTAATCACTTCCTTAGCTGCTTACAACCTCTACTTAGGCATAAATAAAAGAATCTGAAATTGGTATATTTCCCCTTCCTGCTGTGTTAACCAAAAATACTATTTGACTTAAAGATCAAAGAGTCTTTTTCCTGAAGGTTTTTGTTTTTAAATGTACACTAGTTCTTTTAATGAAAGAAACTGGTTTTAGCCACGTTTCTAACCAATTTCCTAATTATATAACTAGACACCATGAAGTCCTTCATTGTTTTATTAATATTCCTCCCCAGATATAGTTCAGGGGGCAGATGTTTTTAAGCCAGTCAAATTTAGCGTTGGGGGTTGGGGGAAGGTGGTACATCAGCATTAGTGAAAGGGGCAGATATTTTTGATGCCTAGAAAAGTATATTATTTTCCTTAAAAAGGAAAACAGATATAAATACCATTACAAAATTTCAGCCTGTATAAACATTCTTAGATATAGTAATTGGCATATTATAAAAAGGTTTTACTCTGTTTTTAATTTAGCCTGCATATTCAATGTGCCTACATAGCATCAGAGGATAGAATCTTTTCTGATAGATACAAATTTAACCCAATTTTTGTTCTTCAAGAATCTTTCATTCTTAAACACCACTGGGTTTTTGAAAATGAAAAAGCACATGGGTAAATTATCAAAGAAATAATCCACAATAAAAGGGAGCCCTCCATTCCATGTGAATCCCTGCAACAGCTGCAAAGTAAGCAGCAAGCCAACCTAGGAAAAGATTACGTGAAAAGTGGAAAGGCACCTAAGGCTCTGAACCAGGAAAAGAACCCCTGTGCAGGAGCTCCCGGCCTCCAGGACACTACAATGCCCCAGGCTGGGCCCAACTACTTCTCAGCAGAGCACTGGAACCAGCTGCCAAACACCAAGTCTTATACTCAGAGTTTGGTCATGTCTAGCAGTAAATCATCCAGCAGAAAACACATCCCCCCAAATGAAGGCAACAAAGAACTGGGAGGCGAATGAGGACGGTTAAGCAACATGCTAAATGCATGCACGTCAACCACAAACTAAAATGACATCTACAAGAACTGTGCAGGACACCTTCACAGATCTAATTCTCAGAAAGAAGCTATTTTAAGGGTGCTGAGTATGGCTAAATGATATTTCTCAGCTCTACCAATGCAGTCCATGGCACTAGAAGAGGCAGGCTCAAAAACTTAGCAGAGGAAAATAAAATTGTTTCCATATACCAAATTCAAAGAAATTGCTGTCTACTGCACAAAGTTCTTACATGTAATAAAGATTCAGGATTACAGAGGAAAGTATTCTTTTAAAAGAGATAATATTACCTCCTTATCTTCAGAATCTCCTCCTTCCAATAGCCAGTACAGTAGCTCCATTATGAATTGCAGACTCTTAAAAAGAAAAACAGGAATAGTTAGCTTCATCTTTTGCACCACTTCCTTCCTTCATGGAATTACAATTTAATTACCAATACTCCATTTGATTTTCTTCCTAGATGATACACTTCTCAAAAAGCATGCTCTTTAGCCATTTCTACTAGAGAACGTTTAATACAACCTTCTCAGTTAATCAACCATAACCCATTATTGCTGAAAGGACATCTTTTCTTCATATTTTCAAGAGTGGGAACCCCCTACATCTATTTTATATAGAAGGAATATAAGAATTTTAATACATGTGAATACCTCTAATATACATGAAATATGAATCTTAATAAATGTGGCCGATAACAGATATAAAACTCAACCAATCTGCCTATGTGTTTAGATTTTTCCTACATTTATCCTTAGGAGGAAAAAAGAAATTACTTAATCCTCTTATCTTTTAAATTCAACAATTTTATACATGGTTTAAAACAAAGTAAAACAAAACAAAAAACTAAGCTTAAAGGCAAACAAAAAGGAATCAGATTACTCACCACCTAACATTTTCTTTACATTTGTGTTGTGTTTTCTAACTCACTGTAATGCTTTAGCTCTCAGTCATACGTGAAACCCAATTTCCATAAGCAATTAATAATAGGAAAACTCAAGGATGTTACTTTAAAATTATTATATATCACTTCATATTAGTTAAAAATCACTGTAATGCCTCGGAAAGTATTCAGAGAAACATTTATTTTATTGGCGGCTATATTAACTACTGCCTTCTGTAAAATTAGCTTTTTTTTTTGTTATAAGAACCATTTTTTTTACTTAATAAAATGTTCTGTGTCAATAAATTCAGTTCCTTGCTCTGACAACTAGACAAATATTCTGCAAAACAATTCTTTCTCATAGCTTTTCTTACCTGCCTATATTCAGCAGCCTCTATTTGATGAGAAATGACAAGTTTTACATACCTGTGTGTACTCTGTCACTAAAAAAGTTTGGTACCCATGACTGGAACTGATATTCCCACTAAATTTATTCTTAAAAGAAATAGGTAACTGAAATGATTAAAAACTGTAATTAGGCATAAACAGGTTATTTCTCTTAAATAATAATTCTATTTGTATAAAATATTACAAACTTCACTTTGATTTTTATGAAAAGCACTGAGTTTATAAATTTTACTGTCCAATTATACCATTAAAAATAAATTATTCAAAGTAATTCCATGATAAATAGTAAGTAAAAATAAATTATTCAGTTTTATTTCATGAACCTAAAATTTATCTATTTACTGTACTCTTGTTTAATGCATTAATAAAATTTTTAATAATCAAAGGCCTCAAGTAGCTGACATTCTCTACATTTTGTACTTAGCCTCTATTATCAATAATAAATACTTTGGTAAAACCAACATTGATGCTATTTTGGATCGACTCCACATACAAGCAAACTGTGTGCAGACACTCACTTGCAGACCAGCCTTGGGATGAATTTCAGCCAACATTTGGAGGAACCCCTTAGTTCAGAAGTGAACTTAGCTGACAGCATCCAAATGTATTATGGAAGCATCACACTTAACACCTGCACCGAAAATGGAAATGATTCTGTTTAAGGAAACACAGAAAACTAAGTAATACTTTTGGGATATTAGATTCAAATATCTAATTTTCTCGAAGGTATCACTCCATATTATGGCAAATAAACAAATAAAAGCTGTATCAAGGTATGGAATATCATTAGCCTGAGAAAAGACTAGAAAAATGGATTACGTAAATGACAACTGCAGGAGAAAATTATATTCTCTTCTCCTGAACAAATGTTAAGTGCATCCTTACTAATAAAGACTTAAACTCAAACTACATTAGAATATACTGGTTTTCAATTTTGAAGCATCTAAGTTAATTTGCTAAGCTAAATTGGTGCTTAGGTACACTACAGCTATAAAAACACTGCAGATTTATGCAGAAATAAGCCTTCAGCATCACACTTCAGAGCAGTGCTATGAAAGCAAACCACTCATTATTGAAAAAGGAAAAAAGAATTCCTAGATTTGACATGTTCTTAGAGTTGCACCAGCTGCTATTCTATTAAGAAAAATTATTCCCTATAAACAGCTAACAAATATACCAAAAAGATGTTAAAATATAGGAGTCAACAAAAAAGAGATATTGAAGAGAAACATATAAAGATAATGAAATACTACCACTCAAAACAGGCTGTACTATCCCAGAGTTAAAACATTATTCCAAAGTATGATGCTATGTTCATCATCTATTTTGAAGAGCATATTTAATTCACTCAGGATTACATGATTTAATTTACTTTCCTGTTATCAACTAAAGAACATTTTTTCCTAAGATTTCTAGAATGTATACACATAATAATAATTATTGAGTTATTCGTTAAAATGGATAATTAGTTCATATTCCTATTTCATCTCTTTTAATGCAATATATCAAATTTGAAAATAACACATGGATAACAGCATAAGAATGCTCATCATAGCTGCCAGAGGGGAAAAAAATTTTGATTAGGGGTGGTATGGGAGATAAATAAAGCAATTATCTCAAAATTAATGGTCTTGTTTTAGTTTTAGCAAACAAATCTACGTAAGTCTTTCTTTTAGTTTACCATGTAATTCTAACCAGGTAATTATCCTTGGAGTCAAGAATGAGCTGTGACTCTACACCTGGCTTTTCCGATCATATGCCTATGGTCTCCTCCACTTTCATTTCCTCTTTTTACAGTGACTTTTAATATTAAAGAAAAACATACACACTTCTTACATACACACTGATAGACAGCCAGCTTCCAGGAAATCCTAAGCTACAAAGAGAAGAGAAAATCTTAATGCAATACTTATGTTAAAAGGTATTAGGTGCTGGGTAAGCCAAGGGTAATATCATCAACAGCATCCATCTTGCCAGTGTTTTTGCATTCCGAGATTTGTAGTAAAGAACAGCAATATTATTTTAGTGGTCACCCAGGTTATGACTCAGATCCTTAAACTAGTAAGAGACTAAATGCACTATCTTCACTTACTCATCAATTCAAACACACAGAACAGTATTTTGGAAGAAATAAAACAGTTTTCTTCTATTTTTAGAAATAAAAACAAGGCATTCCGTAAACATTGTATCTAGGTATTTAATGATATGAAAAAGAAATTGTTTTAGATCATTAAGGCACCCCAGGAGACTGTTTCTTTTCCAAAAAAACGAAATAGCATAAATTTCTCATATATTTACCTCTTATTATATTCCTGTTTCTGCACATTAAGCATGCCCTCCTCTACAGACTTATTCTGAACACTAACAAGTGTTTGCTTAATAAAATACTGCTCTATTTTATGCTTTTCTTTCAAAATTAGAAACCATTATTCCACAAAGGTAGAGCACAAAGAAAGCCGACACAGGCATTGCCAAAAAGCCACAAGT
Organism: Homo sapiens; assembly: GCF_000001405.40. Classification (NCBI taxonomy): domain Eukaryota; kingdom Metazoa; phylum Chordata; class Mammalia; order Primates; family Hominidae; genus Homo; species Homo sapiens. The sequence goes on from NC_000016.10 coordinate 54,927,070, forward strand.
AGTATTAGTACATGCCAGAACACTTAACATTAAACTATCATTTCTCTCTAAAACTTCTGTTGCTAAAGTGCTCACAAAATCTGGAAGCTCAAAGACAGGTTTCAAGTGCAATTAAATTCTCCAAAAGCAAAACTGTACAAAAATATGCCGCCCTTCTTATGTCACCATTTATAGACAACATTTTCTCAGGATCTTAATTAAGATAACGATGCACACCTGTGTCAACATTCTCTGGCAAGACAGCCTTATCAATCATAATCCTTTAAGTACACTCCAAAACAGCAAAGCGATATGACAGAAGCAATCTGTTGCCTTTCCTGGTGTTGGTGTTGTGTCTCTCCCACAAGAATGATGAGATCTTTAAAATACAGCAGACCTACTTCTATGAGTCTTTAAAGTTTTAACTGTAAATAGCTATTAACACTAAATAAACAGGAATAACCTCTTTTGCACTTGACTGAAACAATGACAACTGTACAGCCAAAACTTGAAGAACAAGCTCTAGGGCCATGTCTTGACAATACAATTGCGAACCGTACTTTAAAGCTTTAAATTTTAAGAGTTATGCGAAACTGGATCGGTGCAGACATGACAAACCAATAAACCTTTAGGAAGTTTCAAAATGAGAATATTTAATAGTCCTACGTCAAAAACAACCCGAGCAAACTTATCCCTAGTGTAAGTTTAAATGTTGGGAAAGACACAAATTCAATAGAAAGTAAGGGGAGAAAAAGTCTTCTTGGTAACCTAGGATGGGAGGGATACAGATCCCACCTCTGCTGGAAGAGAAAGCTTCAGAGTCAAGACACCAAACTACCGCTAACAAGTATGCAGCTTTCCAAACGGAAAAGCTAATGAATAGGAAGTAAAAAGGAGGGGAGAGTGAAACAAACGGTCACCACTACCCAGATAAAAAGTTAAAACCTCGTGTTTACCAGCAAACAAGTGAACGCTTTCATATAAAAACGGAGAAAACCCGCCAGATGCTATCTGCATGCCGTCTGCCTGCTAATCATGATCGGCCGTTCCCTTTCTCATATTAACACAATTCTATCTCAGACGCCGGGCGGCCGTGGCCAGCTGAGCAGCAGAGCCATCAATGTGCAAATAAAGCAGAAAATAGAGACATCCTTAAGAAATGAGTCTTAAATTTGGCGTAGAGCGGAGGTGACAACCACGGCAACAGAACCATACATTCTAAATGCCTCAATATCTTGCAGGAGTCTCTCCAGCCCCTGACACCAAAAAGAAGACAGTACAAGAAAAGGGGTTAAAAAAATTAAAAAAACAACCAACAAACAAGCCACGGGGCGGGGGCGGGGGCGGGGGCGGGGGTGGGGGGAGAAAGCGCGGGACTGCCGGAGTGGCAGGATGATGTAATGAGGATGTCTGTGTGACAGACTCGGGTTCTCGGTGGCACAAACCTCCAAGGGCTCTACTCCGGAAAGCCGTGTCCCGGACGAGAGCCGCGGCGACGAAGGGAACAGGCGTGGACAGAGGAGCCACGCCCACGCGCGCCCGCCCCGAACCCCGACACCCGGAGAGGCTCGACCGGCGCCGACGCGGCCCGAGGCCCAGGCCCTAGCCCACGGGACGTCTGGTCGGGCGCGGGGCACCGCCGCGTCCGTTCGGCCCACGAGGGGACACGACTAGAGGGGCGGACGGCGCGGCCAGAGGGCCTGGCCCGGGCGGGGGCTCACCTCTCCTCCGCCGCGCGGGCGCGCGGGCCGCGGACGCTCCCTCGTGGCTGGCGCGAGCCCCCGGCGGGCGGCGCGCGCGGGCCGTTACCGACCGTTAGCGCCAGGGGCTGCGGCTGCGGCGGGCGGAGCCGGGGGCGGGCGCTGAGGGGCCGTGGGGCCGCAAGAGGCGGGAGCGAGGGGAGCAGGGCGGGGACGCTGCTCCCAGGAGCTCCCGGCGACGACTCGGGCCTACTGCGAGCCCGGGAAGAGGCCGCCGGCGAGGCCGCCACTGGCCGGCTGCGCGCTCCCCCAGGCTCGGGCCGCCTGGGCCGCTCCGCCTCGCTTAGACATTGGCCGGCTGGCAGCCACCTCGGCCCCACGGTCCCCGCCGCCGCTGCAGCCAGCTTCCCGTCTCCATGACAATAGCGCGATCGAGACCCCGCCCCTCCCCGCCCCTCTGGCGCCGAGACTCGGAGGAAAGCGGGGTTACGTCACCAGGGGGCGGAGCCCAGGGAGGCCAGCGCCCAATCATAGGTGAAGGAGGTGTCAGGCACTGGGCTGGGCGGACCCAGGGGCTCTCGGAGAATGTAGTCTGAACCGCTCAGGCCTCTTGGTGGGCGGTGTCTGGGGGAGGGGAGCAGACGGAGGGGAGGAGCCAACGCGCGTGCACGAGAGCGCAGCACCGAGCGGGTGCCGGTGCGGCGCTGGGTTAGTGTGAGATCGCGAAATAAAGTACATCTCGCCCGTCAAAGTCAATGCGAGAAACTTTGTATATAGTTATGCTTCGGCTTGCGTGTGGCCCCATTATGCGAAGTTCCCGATATCCCGAGCTTCCGCGGCGTGCCCAAACCTGTGCCATCTTCTGTCCTGGTTCACCAGCGCCCCTGTCTGTCCCAGAGTTCGAGTGCGTCCGTGGCTTGTGGTGGCGGGAGGTGGAGAGAAGAGGAGAGGGTCTGTTTTGTATTCTAACTGTGTGGCCGTCGTGGGCAAGGGCTCTGCCTCTGACTCAGTTGTGTGTGTTTGCTTCGCCAGCGCCTCGCTGAACAAACAGTGGTTGGGTTGGGCACTGCTCTGCCCAGTGTTTGCAGTGGAGCGTGGGCGGATGCGAGAGTGCGTGCGAAGGGGAAGGCGACTTAGTTAAACAAAAGGGAAGGGGACCCGCACCCTCCACCACCACCGACTTGGCGGTGCGAGCTGCGTGCGGTGGGAAAACCGGGAGAAAGAGGCTGCGAGGCGTGGGAGTGGAGCTGGGGACGGTCCCGAGATCTCCTCGGGTGTAGCTGATTCTCTGTCTGGCAGTTCTTGCCCACCACCCCTACTCTAGAAAAAGGCTACCCCGGTAGTTCCAGGAACCAGTGTCTTCTCCCTCGCCGTCCGGCGGGGGGTCGGTAGAAGGAAGGCGAGGCGGAGACGTGCAGACGTCTGAGGCCTGTCTCTCGCCCACCTGCTGCTGCCGGCGCAGAGGGGCAGTCATCCCGGACTTCCTGCGCCCTGGGCGCGGGCCATCCATCGGCTCTCCCAGAGACTTTCATTCCGGATCTCCAGCTGGCTCTCCGGGCCCCCTGGCTTGGGGAAGACGCCAGAGGGGGGTGGGCAACGAATGGCCTCGGAGCCCAGCCTGCCGGAGAACAAGAAATCCGCTAAGTCCGCGATCTACTGTGGCTAGGAGAGCGCAGAGCGTTCGCCGGCGCACAGCCCGCGGCCTCGTTCCCTTTGTGCTTCGGGGCGGCGGGACTGCCACTCCGCCCCGAGTTAGCAGAAGAGGAAAGTTGGAAGAGATCGGCGCTCCTGGGATGTGATTGTCATCCTGGGGCCGGCGCTCGAGAGTCTGAGAGAAAGCGAGAGAGAGGGAGAGACCGGGGAGGGGAAAAGGGGAGGCAAAGAGGAGGGGTGAGAGGGGGGGCCGCGGAGGGGAGGCGGGCGCTAGGGAGGGGCGAGAGGAGCGCCAGCGAGCGGGAGAGAGAGCCGAGGAGGAAGAGGGAGAGGGCGAGGCGCGCCTGGCGGCCGGGTTGGCTGCGGCCGCCCAGAAGCTCCTGCCAGTCCTCCCACCGACTACACCCCGGGAAGGAGGAGCTTCGGGCGCGCACAAGGCGTCAGAATCCTCAATTTCCAACTTAGCATCTTGGCAGGACCTTTGCAAAGGCAAAAGCAGAGCCCCCCGGTGCAAAGAGCGAGGGGAAAAAAGAGAAAGCAGCAAGGGAGGGGAGGGGAGGGGAAAAAAAGCCCAGCTGGGGCGAGCGAGGCGCGCAGAGGAGCGGGCGCGGCGGTCGCAGCCGGAGGCGCGCGGGAAGCCAGCGAGGAGGCGCCGCGGGCCGGAGCCCCGGAGCCGGGGCCAGAGGAGCGGCGGCCCAGGGCAGCCAGAGGCCAGGTGCCCGCCCGCTCGCCCTCGCAGGGCGCCGCCCGGCTCGTTGGCGGCCGCGGCGCGGCGCGCCCCATGCCCGTGTGTGGCCATGTCCTATCCGCAGGGCTACTTGTACCAGCCGTCCGCCTCGCTGGCGCTCTACTCGTGCCCGGCGTACAGCACCAGCGTCATTTCGGGGCCCCGCACGGATGAGCTCGGCCGCTCTTCTTCGGGCTCCGCGTTCTCGCCCTACGCTGGCTCGACTGCCTTCACGGCGCCCTCGCCGGGCTACAACTCGCACCTCCAGTACGGCGCCGACCCCGCGGCCGCCGCCGCCGCCGCCTTCTCCTCGTACGTGGTAAGTGAGCGGGATCCGCGGCGGGCGAGGGGCAGCAGGGGCCGGGCGGGAGGACGGGGGCGGAGGGGGACACGGGCCTAGGCGCCAACACCGACCTCCCCCGCCAAGCTTCGCGGCCCCTTCAAACTTGGGCGATTGTCTCCGCCAGCTTCGCCCAGGCCTTGGACTCAAGAGTTGCTCGCAAAAGAGAGCCGCGTCTTGCTCGGATCGCTGAGCTGGCGGGAAGGGGTTCTGTGGGGAGAGGTAGCTGCAATTAAAGAGCAGCATTTGGTGTAAACGTAAGCTCCGGGCTGCCCTGCAAATTTTATATTTTTGGTTTTGCCATTTTGGAAAAGTAGTTCAAAAGAAATAGACTCGAAATTTGAGCAGAAGCGTGCTAAGTCTATGTAAATGTGTTTGGCCTAGCCTTTAATTAGTCCTCCAAAATGTTGCAAATCCGTAATCCTATCTTCGCAATCCGATTTGGGAGTATTAAATTTCTGAAAAGTCGGTCGAGCTGCGGTGCATCCGGGATTTTTCGGCCGGGTTGTAACTTCGGTCTGGGGTAGTATTTTTGGAGGGTGGGAGTGCGTGGGCATGGCTCAGCTTTTTGTTTGCATTTCTTAGCTGTTGAAAAAAGAAAAAAAGAGCCTTGACTTCCCTTGTTTTCCCCCCTTGCGCCCAACGTGCGTCCGCTCCCCCGCCGAGCGCGGAGTCGCCTCAGTTGCCCAGGCCTCTATCTGCATGGAGGGCCGGGCCGCCGTGGCCAGATCTGCGCACGGGGTACGGACGTGCCCGGGCAGATGGGGGCCTACGGGGTGACACCGAGGCCGGGACAGCTTCAGGGGCCCCAGAAGGACCTGACCCAGAAATTGAGGTCCCCGCTGCCTTCTGAGGAGGGGGAGGAGTTGCTCCTAGGTCTGAACCCCGCCAGCCTTGCCCCGTAGGAAGCTGGAGTGCGGGCCTCGTCCACCCACAGACCCCGGGGAGCGCAGGGAAAAGGGTGCTTCGGTCGTTCCGATGGCAGTGGAGACCACGGTCCACACTCACCTCTCTGCGTCTCCACCGCAGGGCTCTCCCTACGACCACACACCCGGCATGGCGGGCTCCTTGGGGTACCATCCTTACGCGGCGCCCCTGGGATCGTACCCTTACGGGGACCCAGCGTACCGGAAGAACGCCACAAGGGACGCCACGGCTACCCTCAAGGCCTGGCTCAACGAGCACCGCAAGAACCCCTACCCCACCAAGGGCGAGAAGATCATGCTGGCCATCATCACCAAGATGACCCTCACCCAGGTGTCCACCTGGTTCGCCAACGCGCGCCGGCGCCTCAAGAAAGAGAATAAAATGACGTGGACGCCGCGGAACCGCAGCGAGGACGAGGAAGAGGAGGAGAACATTGACCTGGAGAAGAACGACGAGGACGAGCCCCAGAAGCCCGAGGACAAGGGCGACCCCGAGGGCCCCGAAGCAGGTTGGTGGACATGGGAAAGGGCGTGTTGGGCGGGAGTAAAAAGGAAAAGAGAGGCCTGGAGGGGGCGCGCACGGGGCCTGGAGGTTGGGGGCAGGGGTCCCTGCCTTTGCGGGCGGGAACCGGGTCCCGCCGCGCGGCCTCTGCGCCCCTGACAGCCTGGGTTTCGCCCGCAGGAGGAGCTGAGCAGAAGGCGGCTTCGGGCTGCGAACGGCTTCAGGGACCACCCACCCCTGCAGGCAAGGAGACGGAGGGCAGCCTCAGCGACTCGGATTTTAAGGAGCCGCCCTCGGAGGGCCGCCTCGACGCGCTGCAGGGCCCCCCCCGCACCGGCGGGCCCTCCCCGGCTGGGCCAGCGGCGGCGCGGCTGGCGGAGGACCCGGCCCCTCACTACCCCGCCGGAGCGCCGGCGCCCGGCCCGCATCCAGCCGCGGGCGAGGTGCCTCCGGGTCCCGGCGGGCCCTCGGTTATCCATTCGCCGCCTCCGCCGCCGCCTCCTGCGGTGCTCGCCAAGCCCAAACTGTGGTCTTTGGCAGAGATCGCCACATCGTCGGACAAGGTCAAGGACGGGGGCGGCGGGAACGAGGGCTCTCCATGCCCACCGTGTCCCGGGCCCATAGCCGGGCAAGCCCTAGGAGGCAGCCGGGCGTCGCCGGCCCCGGCGCCGTCACGCTCGCCCTCGGCGCAGTGTCCTTTTCCAGGCGGGACGGTGCTGTCCCGGCCTCTCTACTACACCGCGCCCTTCTATCCCGGCTACACGAACTATGGCTCCTTCGGACACCTTCATGGCCACCCGGGGCCCGGGCCAGGCCCCACAACCGGTCCGGGGTCTCATTTCAATGGATTAAACCAGACCGTGTTGAACCGAGCGGACGCTTTGGCTAAAGACCCGAAAATGTTGCGGAGCCAGTCTCAGCTAGACCTGTGCAAAGACTCTCCCTATGAATTGAAGAAAGGTATGTCCGACATTTAACGCGGGCTGCGTCGGTCCCGGACTTTTCTAATTTATTAAAAACATGGCCTTGGCAGTTATTTTTCCATCACCGAGAGAGAGAGACAGAGAGAGAAAATAAACTACCCCTCCTATTCAGAAGTTTATAGTTTATGGAGATGGATGACATAAAAATGTAAACATCTCCACACAAAAAAAAAAATGTCTTAACCAACCGAAAAGAAAAATTAAAAAAGGATTTGTATTAAATCTTATTCTGTATATTTAATGTAGCATTTTTGTATTTAAATTGATAATTCAATATCTTTGAAGTAAATTATGAAATCAAGACACCTGTACAGGCATTTAATGTTTTTTTGTAATATAAATATATACATTTGTGTTTCCCCCAAAACTGTTTCATAGTTAAAAAATACAAGTTTAATTTAATTTTTTACACCTATTGATTCTGCTGGGTATGAGCTAAAGTATTACAGAAAGGAAACAGGTTATACTCTTAGATTTAAAAAGTGAAAGAAACTGCAGGCGCCTTTGTAAAATGCAAAATATTTAATTAAAAGAGATTTTAACATAATGAGAGCCACTCATTACTTTTTAGAAGCCTCAATAAACTGTCCATTGCCTTGGTCAAAAGGTGCAAACTGCAACTTTTTTCAAAGTGGGGATTGAAAGGTTCCACAGACCTTCAAGTGTACCAGGGGAAAACCATAATTAGGCTGCAAGCCCCGGGGAACCTGGCCCTGCCCAGAATGCAGATCTGGATCACTGATGCGGGCTGTTTGGGAGAGATTGGACCCTGGAGGAAGGAGAAGAGAGACCCAAGTGTGTGCCCAGAAGGGAGAAAAGATGGCAAAGCCAGCTAGGGACACGCACCACTCGAGCGCCATCGCTTAACCTAATTACTTCCAATCAGTGTCGTGTTTTATGCAAAGCAATCAGCTGGTGAACTTTGCTAATGAGTTCGATTTTATGCCGGATTTAGCCCTTATTACTATTTCAAGGGTGCTTCGGGCTAGTGCGGGCGGGAGCATTCAGGGATGCCAAGGGGAAGACTTTCCCAAGTCACCGTCTTCTTCTCTGCCCCTTCAAATTTGCGCATTGATCTCTTCTTTGGATTTGATTAAATTATGAACGTTCCATCTCAGACCGTGCGGGTGGCGGGCGGCCCAGAAGTGCCCGCTCAGCTGCGGGGCTGGGGTCGAGCGGGACGGGCGAGGGGACGGTTTCCCCCTTTCACAGGTAGGTGTCACACTTGTCCTGAATTTCAAGCCTGCACTTTGCAGAGTCGGAGATTGCAGAGTGGGCGGAAGGGGAGGAGGGAGCGCCACAGCCACTTGGGGGAAGAGAGGGGAGCCCCTGAAAGGATCCCTCCCTCTCACAACGGGCCTCTTTTTGGACAAGTGGCCTTCAAAAGTTCGAGGCCATTTACCTAGATAACGAGGCCGTTGTGGACTCCATCAGGCTTGTCGTCGCTTTAGCACTTTTCCCAGCTCAGATGCAAGAGTCCGAGTAGCTACAAAAATATTTCTGGGGTTTTATTTTCTCGTTTTAATCCCACATACTTCATCTCAAAATAAAAAGTCAGGATGCATTTGAATCCCTAATGAGGAAGAATCCACGCCCTGTCCCCGAGGCCGGCCAGCGATGTGGGTTCGGGCTTGGCTGCGGTGCTGGCGGCTCCATTTTGCACCCGAGATCTGGAGCCCGGACGCGTTTTACTTCGTGGGAAATTTTCAGTGGTTGGGGGAGGGACTAGGGGTTGTTATAGCAAAAACATACCCCAGCGACGGGAATTAATTTGCTCTATTAAACCCAAGCCTGAGTGTAGAGAGGGAATGTGTTTGCACATAACACCGGCTTAATTAGACTAAATCAAAATGCACATATTTGCATTTCTACTGAAGATGACTTTAACCTTAACTCGGTGTTTTAAACCCACCCCGAAGTTTCACTGGAGTTGCTTTTGCTATTTCTTTTTTTTAGCCTGCCACGGGGCTCCTTTATAAGCTTATTCGAATTTAAACAAGTTTGAAAGCTGCATTGTCCAGATGTTTTAGCAAACAGCAGTCGACTTTAGGGTTTAAATTAGTGAGAAAATTCACGCAGGGAAAATGGTTTCAAAGCTGGAAGTGTGAATGATTAAATATGCATGAGACGATCGTATTTTATTTTGTCCCTTTAATTATAAATGATTTTTTTAAACAATTGAATTCCAGAGATGACTTGCCTTCCCTCCTTTCCCCCCTACGCCGCGCCTCATCCCCCTCCACTCTCCCCTCTCTCCCCCCACAGCCTGGTTCACAATCAGCTTTCCCCCCTGTTGAATATGCAGCCCCAGGAGTCACCTTTTCTAAAAAAGTCAGAAGAATAGGCCAGTCCCCTTCTCTTAAGGGAGAGTTTAAGGACGACATCAACTCGGCGGGGTTTTGGAAGCATTGGCCCTAAACCCTGCCCAACGATTTTAAAAAGAAAATTACAGGCCTCCCAGTGTTCCCGGGAATATGCAAATGCCAGGGCGCAGGCCTCCCAAATCAGACCGCGAAGGCTCGGGGCTGCGAGCCGAATGCCCGCCGAGCTGCCTGGGAACGGGAACCGCGCACCCGGGAACGCCAGGCGTTTCTCTTCATCCAGGAACGGCGCGGAGAGCCTCCGGCTGGGGAGCTAAACCGCTGGGGACTCCGCGGCTGCTGCCTGAGTCGCTGTCCGCTGCCCGCATCCCTTCCGCCCTGGGCCTCTGCACGGTCTGCGGTTTTCTGTGCGCACTTGGTCTTCAGTACTAGCACCCAATTACGTCTGGGTTTTTCTTCTTTACAGAGCTGGGTTTCGGTGGCCACCAGCTTTTCTGGTGTTTAGTGACTCTGAGTTTGGAGGTGGCCTACCAGGCAAACGGGGATTCAGGGCATTTAGGAAACGTCTTCCGCGCTTAATCCCAGAAGTGGTTGCGTGTCCGTACGATCCCAAGTTCCTCCCGGAGCCTCTTCTTTGCTGCGTCTCGGGCCCTCCAGCAGGCGAAGCCTCTTAGACGCGCTGGGGAAACTTCCGGCGTGTTCGGGGCTCAGGGTTTCTTCTCAGGCATGGATTGGGGCGCAGAAGTTGCGCGAGGCAGCGCCTAAGGTCCCGAGGTGCTGAGACTGTGCTGGCGTTTGCCACCTGCCCCTGGCTAGGCCGTTTCTGGGCCCCAAGAAACGCCTACCTTGGCACTTAGGGACCAGAAGCCTCTGGATGTCTAGCAACAGGGGTCACGGGATCACTGCGTGGGGTCTCTGTAAGCAGTCCCCTGAGGCAGTGCAAAACCGGAAACCTGCTCTGTGCGGGGCCGAATCAGTTCATGGGATTTGGGAGTCAGGAGAGACGTCTTTCTCCTCCCAGCTCCTACACTCCGGGTACCAAGGCCCGAAATGCCGTTCCCCCAGCCCGGGTGCGGGGTCTGCAGCAAGGCCTCCTGATTTGCAAACCCCTCCGGGCTGCTTATTCCTGGTGCCATGCGCAGCCCTTGGGACCTAGAAGATTGTGGGGGAGGGAAGGTCGCACGTGCGGTTTTGGCACCGACCGTGCCTCCTAGTCCACCTGTCCCCCACAGCTAGCTGCCAACTCGGACGGAAGCGCGGAACAGCGCAATGCAAACCGCCCAAAGTGAAAGGAATGTAATTGCGCTCCCATGACAGAGCCAGACGCGGATGCAGTTTAGGAAGGGCGCCGCCTACCGGCCCCTGGGAGCCATGCGATTCGAAGGGAGGGGGACCTAGAGGAGACCCCCGCTATCCCCCCACCCACCGTGGGGCCTTAGCTTTGAACTCCGGCCCGGACAAACTTAAACTGCTTCGCCACCCCAACGCGCCACAGCCCTGGACCTAAGACCCAGTTAGCATTGGGAATTTGGGGAGCAGGGCCCACGACTAGAACAAAGTTAACCCTACCGGTTCCCGCCACGGCTTCGGCACATTTCAAAAAACCAGGCGCAGGCAATTGAGAAATACGCTGCCGGCTGAAACAGCCTGCGGGTGGGGGCTGCAGCCGTGCGCGCCCGGCAGTTCCCGTCCCGCATCAGGTGTACGCACTTCCACTCCTGCGGGCCCTTCCACGCTCCAACTCTGGACCCCGCGCAGTTTTAATCTGCGGTTTGGGAAATGGGGGTGCTACCGTGCAACCGCGCCCTGAAAGACCGTTTTGGTCTTAAGAGCTTTTGGCCTGTGGGGTGGACATCTGTAGAAAAAGGAAAAACAAAACAAAAGTAACCTCCCATTGCGTCGAACCCTCCTATTCCGAAAAGAACTTTAATGAGGTTGGCTTGGCAAGGCCTGCGGTGCTTACCTCGGCTTCGCCCTACCCCGCCAGAAGCCCTCATAGGTTGTATCCACTGGTCTCCCCCAGGTGCAGGGTTATTAGGGGAAAGGGGGGCGCGCCCTCGGGCTGGATCTTTGTTTCCCTCGTCGCCCGGTCATCAAACAGGAGGGAAATCGGGCCCGACTGGGACCTTGCTGCCCGCCTTCCCCTTAAACTGGCTAAAGCTTCAGGACTGTCCCTAGACCCACCCCGCGGGTCTTCCTTTGTGTCCAGGGCATAGCCGATCTCCTTTTCGTTTTCACGAGAACTGCGACTTGGGCCTCGGGCACTAGGCGAGCCCAGGTTGTGGCCTAACAGCAGATCGCCTCGGGAGCTTGGCTGCAGCTCTGCCCGCACCTCCAGCGCTGGGCGGCCTCTCGGGGCCAGTGGGGATCTCTGGCCTCGTGTAGGCCACGGGCCCCAGCCCTGGGTCCCCAAGGCCGCTCGCCGGGCAGCGCTCGTTTCCGGCACCGGGACGAGCCCAGCGCGCTCAGACACCACTTTCCCGGTGAAATCTGCTTTTATTTGCTCCGAGCAAACCTCGGGCTCTCAGCGCTCCCGCCTGATGGATGCAAATGTAAATGTGCACTTATTTAATTGGATCAGGCCCCAAGATAAAAGAGATAAACGGCTCCCCGCTTGCTAACTTATTTTCCTAGGCATGCAGCGCCGCGTGGAGGGGAAGCTAATGAAGGAGCAGCGCGGTGCTGGGCACTCGAGCTCTCCGCAGCCGTGGCACGCTGGCCGGCCGGCCCCGCGTAGGCTGCAACTCCTTGTCGACCTGTTTTGCACTGGCCCTGCCCGCTAGATAGGGTCCCCCCGGGACCTTCTGTGCGCCAGGCTGGGAAAGTGAGAAGGCGTGGTGTTGGCATTGCGCTTGCAAATACCCCACCCTCGCCACAACTTTCTCTTTTCTCTATCTCGGTTTGTCCCCCTCCCCTTTCTTACCCAAGTCTCCACGCTTGGGTCATACTGGCTGGGCCCATTCCATAGAAAATCCTTGCTATCTTCTTTCCCAGTCATCTTCTTAATTCCCCAGGCGTCGTCTTCCACTTCAATTGGAGGTTTCAGAAAAAGACGCGAGGGCCGTGAAAAAGACCAGGTGCGACCCTCCAGCCCCCAGGGTCCTGCGGAGCCGCCCTCGAGAAGGAAGGACCCCCTCCTCTGTTCCCACAAGGCCCTCTTTTGGAGTATGAGATTTCTTTCAGAATCAGCTGGAAGACATGGATTAACCTCTTTTCTCCCAAATAATGTAGGAACACAATACACAGAGCACTTAAGTCATTGCAAGGGGTCGCGGAACCCCGAAAACCAAACATTAGGAGAAAGGGGTGCCTGGCTCTTGCCTCCCCGGGGCGGGAGTTCGAACCTCAAGGCCAGAGCATCCTCCTTCCCTGCAAGTTTGTTTTCCAATTTGGGGTCTTGGTTTTTCGTTCCTGCAGTTTCTCTCATGTTCAGAAGGGCTGCGGAGGAAGTCGGGATGGGCTAGGGCGAGAGACCTGATGAAACAACCTGCCGAGAATGGGTACACAGCAGTCGGTGGTGAGGGGCGCCCTAGGCTGAGACACTGTGGGCTGGATGGCTGGACTGGCGAGGTTGGGAAGGGCTGTGTGGGAGGAGGCCAGGCCGGGCAGGGCGTCCCGGCCACGCCCCGTCCCCAACGCGCTGATGGATCGGCTTGTCAGGAGAGCTCTGTGCGCGGAGCCCATCAGAAAGCACTTACCTCGCTAAACTGAAATTACTGTCTTTTCAGGGGCTAATTTGTGTAACTCCCATGGAGGGGCTTGGAGGGGGTTTGATGAGGCATAAAATGATGATTAATGAATTTATTGGCCGCTGCTCATCAAACAAGGACTGGAGAGTTCGCGTCTGCACCCGCGGCCTGGCGGCGGTGCTCAACACAACTGGGGTTCAGTCTCCAGGGGCTCAGCGCCTGCTTGAGTTTCCCCAAGTGCCCGGTCCTGAGTGCTTTCCTTAGCTGCTTCCTGCTGGCGGTCTCCCCCACAACCCCATCCTAATTCGGGGCACAGGCTCTAGCTGCCGCCATCGCCCCCTGCGAACCAGCTGTCCAGGCCTGCGGGGAGGTCGGCTGCAGGCCCATGGGGACAATGGCTTCTCCAGGACTGAGTGTGACTGTGGCACCCGAGGCAGCCTAGAGCTGGGGGACTGGAGTTGCCTTCCCAAAATGTTATAGTTTACCGGGTTGGTACTTGGGCCTTCGTGGCTCAGCCCTGCCTCTGCAACTTACTAGCTATGTGTCCTTGGACAGATCCAATACCCAATCTGAGCCTCAGTGTCCTCATCTGTGAAATGGGGCTTTACCACTCCTGGCTTTGTGAGGATTCAAGTGCACGGCACATGGCTATCCTTCAATATGGTTATTAAAGTCATGCTATTTTAAGACTTCAGTTCACTGGAGATGCTAGCTAAGGCCTGGGAATAAACAGAGGGTGGGAGACAGAGGCTTGGGTTGTGACTTGAGGGAGAGAGAATCCTGCCTGAATGGCTGATCTTTCTCAGCACTTGCCTCCACCTTCCCAGCTTTCCTGGCTGGGGCTTGATAACTGGGACAGTGAGGGAGACTGGAAGGCAGTTTGACCAGGGAGTGACCTGCTCAGAGTTGAGCTTTCTGGAGCTGACTGGAGCTGCTACGTGGCTTGTTTACATGGCAGAATCTACTTTCAGGTTAGTCTGCTGGACAGTTCAGAACTTCTTCTTCTCATAACCCACCCTTCGTCTGCAGGCTCCTGTCTTTTGGAATCTGTCCACAAGGACCTTTTGGCTATTTCTGCTGGTTTTAATCAAGAACCTGCAACCCATGAACTTACAATTTCAACTTGGATTATTTTCTCCAATTGAATCACCTCCCCTGCCTACCTCACACCACCTCACTCTGTCCGTCCCAGATCTCCCAACAGCGGACTTCTCCCTTGCCTTCCCAGGACATCCCGTGTTCCTGCAACAGAAGACAGGAAAGACCTTGACATTGACCTCTCTAGTGGAATGCCTATCCTAGTCTCTGTGTTAGTACAGCCCCATTTAAACTCTTCCCTTCCCTTACTCTAACCACTGTCAGTTAAGCACCCATAATATACCAGATGTACTGTTCTAGTCATTGGTGATGCAGCAATGAACAAAACAAAGTCCCTGCCTTCCAACACTTTAGAGAATATGACAGAAAATAAACAAATGAGTGAGATAATGACTTATTGCCATGTCCAGGTGATGAGAGTTATGAGAAAAATTTAGTAGGGTAAGGGGTTAGTGAGGGCAGTCTGGGAACCCTCTCTTAGGAAGCTCTCTTAGGTGTTTGCACAAAGACCTGAAAGAAGTTAGGGAACAGGCCATGCAGATATTTGCAGGAAGAGAGTGCCAGGCAGAAGGAAGGGCAAATGCAAGGATCCTGCAGTGGGAGCAGGGTTTGATCAGCAAGGAGATCTTTGTGGAAGGGGAAGAAGCCTAGGTAAAGCTAGGGTCAGGTTATATGGGACCTTGTAGGTCCTGGTGGGATATTTGGGATTTATGAGAGAGGGAGAAAAGGAGGAAGTGTGGGAGGATTTTGAGGGGAGTAACAAGATCTAACTTATGGGTTTTTTGTTTTTTTCTGTTTTGTTTTTGGTGTTTTTTGTGGGTTTTTTTTTTTTTTTTTTTTTGACAGAGTCTCACTCTGTCGCCCAGGCTGGAGCGCAGTGACACGATCTCGGTCACTGCAACCTCTGCCTCCCAGATTCAAGCGATTCTCCTGCCTCAGCCTCCTGAGAAGCTGAAACTATAGGCACATGCCACCATGCCTGGCTAATTTTTTATATTTTTAGTAGAGACAGGTTTCACCATGTTACCCAGGTTGGTCTCCTGACCTCACGATCTGCCCGTCTCGGCCTCCCAAAGTGCTGGGATTACAGGCCTGAGCCACTGTGCCCGGCCCAACAAGATCTAATTTATGTTTTAAATGCATCTCTAGGGTGTGAGAGCTGAAAGTCTGGTAGGACAAGAGTGCAAGTAGGAAACAGTTAGGAGGCCAATGGAGAATTCAGGGGGAGGGAATGTTGCTTTGCACCAACCTCTACTTGGTGGTACCCAGAGAGACGGGGAGAAGTGCTCAGGTTTGGGCTATATTTTGAAGGCAGAGTCAACAGGCTTTACTGATGATGGATTGTATATGGGCCAAGAGAGAAGAGCAGAGAATGCTGGATGCCTCTAAGGATTTGGGCCTGAGTCCCCAGGATAATAGGGGGTGTCATTTGCTGGTATGCCTAACATTAAGGGAGGTGCAGGGATTTTTTTTTCCCCAGAAAGAGGGTAAGTAAAATACTCATTGCCCTGACCCTCAAGCCATTGGGCCAAAAGGAGCTGCTTTTGTGGACACGTGAGGCATCTAGTGGCAAAGCACTCAAATGCCCAAGGCAGATGCACAAGTCCAGGGAAAACTCAACAGATCCTCTCTCCTGAAACCATAGACCTTACAGTTCTTTGACCACATCTCCCATTTCTTTTCTTTTTTTCCTTTAAAAAATAACCTATCTATCCATCCTCTCTCTTTCTCTCTCTCTCTCTCTCTTTCTCTCTCCCTCTCTCTCTCTCTCTCTCTCTATTTCTCTAGTAAAGATGGGGTTTCACTGTGTTGCCCAGACTGGTCTTGAACTCCTGGACTCAAGCCATCCTCCTGCCTCAGCCTCTCAAAGTGCTAGGATTCCAGGTGTGAGACACCGCACCCTGGCCTCCCTGTTTATTTCTTTTCTCCTTACCAGTGGAGAAACTAAGACTGAGGAAATGAAAATGATTTCTCCAAGCTCATGCCATGGGTTTAGAGACAGGGATGGATCCAAAACCCAAGTCTCCTAACTCCTAGGCCTGCATTTTTCCCTGCCTCATCCAAACTAAGTTCTCTGGGATATCTGTATTTTAACAGAGAACTCCTGGAAACAAAATGCTTTAACAGAGAGGAATGAATTTATAATGGCGGAATCTCAGACACCGTGACAGGCTGTCAAGGGAGATATATTTAGGCTGGGCTGGGAAACATCTTAGCCCTCCTCAGACACTGCTGGAGGATGACTGCCTCCTCAGGACTCCATGTATGAAGTACAGATGAAGAAAAAGCTTGGGATGTGTCGTCTCTCCCAGAGACTCAACAACGAGGAGGAACTGGGGCCATTTCGCCTACCAGGGAGTGTTTTCTTTCCTAAACAATTGCTGTTTGAAAGGATTTACTCATTTCTTCTGTTTGAAGTGACATCTGCCTGCCCACAATTATCCCATGTGATGCCAGCAAAAATTAATGTTCCTTTGCCCATCATTTCACAGCAACTCCTATCAAAGACAGATTGGAGTTGGGGGCAAGGCCCCCCATCATGGGTCCTTCATGCATTTATTTTGAATTTTTTTTTTCTGACATTTCAGCTTCACTGTTTTTTTTTCAATCCTTTACTTGACTTGGGGATTTTGTTTTGTTTTATTTTTTTTTCTGTAAATGATCGGTAGCTTTGTCCCCAAGGGAATCCACAGGCCCTTAGAAACAGCATCTCAACATCTTTCAAGCAGAGTGAGACATCTGTTATCCCTAGATTCCAAATCCCTTCACCGTTCCAGAATGTTCCAGACACCTTCCCAACTAACATGGTTTGACATCAGACACCACATAGTTGTTTCTGAGGCTTTTTTTAAGATCCAAACCACAAGATTTTCTGTTTGTTTGTTTGTTTTGTTTGCCCTCTATTTGTATCCAGTATCTAAGTCCAAACCCTGTGTAATAGGTGTCTTTTTTTCCAAATACTCATCTATGAAAGATATTCATTGGTCGCTGAGGACCAATTTTCCTGGATCACATAAAAGAGAAGATTAGTGGCAACGTGGGGAAAAGGGCTCATTTGGAATAAATACCACCTCTTTGCTCTTGTGAAGAGTGTGGCAGAAAAGTCATTGGCCTGGTTTATTTTGGTTGGTGGAGTTGTTTTTCTTTCTGGTTTTTTTTTTCTTTTTAATTTTCCCTTTCAATCTGACTAAGGCCTGACAAGTTCTAGAGCATGTAGGAGGAGCATCTGGGGCCCCACAGGGCTGGGGACTAGAAGGAACCAGAGCCCTGTACTCCATGCTCTTCAAACTCACTCATTCCAGGGCTGGAATGAGTGCAATTTCTATTTTGATTACTATTTAGAAAATAATTTCCTTCCAATTCTTTCATGATTTGCTTATTTAGGAATATTTATAATGCTACTGAAACTGAAACAGAAGACCCTTATAAAAAAATTAATTCAGTGAAATTATTGGCCCCATGTGTTTGAAAGTGACTAAAGTTTCTCAGGGTCTCTGATTGCTTCTAGAGGCTTCCCCTCACCCTGTTCTTTCTTCTTTGCAGGCTGCCCTCAAAGTTATATGGGCTGCATGAGTATCTCTTCATCCCCACCTAAAATCATGTCATGTCTTTCCAGAGATGTACTTACTACACTTTGGAAAATAGCAACTGCTTATTTTACAGATATGGAAACTGAAGTCCTGTGAGGTAAAGCAGCTTACTCAAGATCAGTCAGCTGGTTGGGGACAGAGCCAGGGGTGTCTGCCTTCCCTTCCCCACCCTGCTCCCCCGACTTCCTCATCGGTTCCCTCTGGGAGCTCTTTCTTATCAAACCCCTTGCACTGGAATCCTCATCTCAAATGTGGTTCTAGGGTGCAGGACTCAAACGGGAGGGGCCTTGCAAACCCGTGAGATTTCAATGCTTCTGTCCCACTGGTCCTGCAATACCTGAACCCTTTTTTCCTGTCTGTGGGTCACTCTTTGGGGGTAAAAGGCCAAGACCAACAACCAAATATGCTCTTTGACATCATAAAAATCCCTGGCCCTTCTTTTCTTCTGCAGGGACAGGAGAGGTGGCCAGAGTTTGCACCTGTGAGAAAGCACAGCGGGGTGGGGAGTTGGGGTTCTCAGGTAACGTCGCAGTGAAGGGGTAGATGTCATCTTCCATCCAGAAGTTTCTGCCCCAGGAGCCCCTCGTGTCCTCTTTCTCCAGTTACTCACAAATGGGGTTTCTCATCCCAGTCCCCTCCTTCCTAAAGCCAACCACAGTGACATGTGGTAATTTTTGAGTGTCAACAAGTGGGGGCTTTGGGCTCCCAGCTGTAATGTCACTCAAAGGCAACGCCCACTAGCTTGTCCCTTTTCCCTTCTTTTCTCCTCGGGTTGGGGATCAGATAGGCCCTCCCCTACCTGCCCTGGAAGATCAGCCATGCCCCTCAGTGCTGCTACCGCCCACCTGGCTTAGCACCCACTCCTGCCTCTCACCCTTGCTCTAAGCCACACATCGACTAGCTGAATATATACAGGTTGGGCATCCTTAACCTGAAAATCCGAAATCCAAAATGCTCCAAATTTCAAAACTTTTTGAGTGCTGACATGATACTGGGTGAAATATTTCACACCTGACCTCACGAGACAGGCCACAGTCAAAACATGGGTAAACAACACATGGTGTATTCAGTGTCCCCAAGGGAAAAATAAAATTATCTTCAGGATGTGTATATAAGGTGTATATTAAATATAAGTGAATTACATGTTTAGATGTGGGTCCCCAAGATATCTAATTATATATTTTCCAATATTCCAAAATCCCCCCAAAATGCAAAATACAAAACACTTCTGATCTCAAGCATTTTGGATAAGGGATACTCAACCTGTATCTGCAACTAGAAGGACCACATGCAACTCAATGTCAAAATGCCCCAAACTGAAGTTAAGCCCTCCCCATTCCTCCCCTTAGCCCTAGGTTCATATCAGCTTCTCCCCATGTCCTGCACCCAGTCACCCAGTGGAGGGAATGTAGAAACCTCCTGGCGCCTCTCTTTCCCTCCCTTCCATACTCTAATTGGAGCCTTTGTCCTCTGTTGCATGGACTGTCACATATCTCTGGAGTGTCTACCTGCCCTTATCAGCTTTGTACCACTTACACGAAGCCTAAAGCCTGGTGTGTCCTGAGTATTCAAGAAATGCAGATGGAAATGAAAACAAATGAATGAATCCTAAGCCAATGTATTTGAACTTTCCTATACAATTTCCCTATGAATTTTGAAAGCAAGCTGGTGTCAGACAGATGTGGGTTCAAATCCTGACGGCCCTCTGTTATTTGGAGTATATTAGTGAGCTAGACTAAATGCTCATGGAATCTAGACAGAGATGCCCAGGACATGTGGGGAGTGAGAAGGTGAGCTCCAGAGTATGCATGCCTGTGTTCCATTCCAGTTTGTGACATGTGCCAGCTGTGGAATCCCAGGTAAGTTCTTTCATCCCTCTGAGCCTCAGTGTTCTCATCTGTAAGATGGAGATAATAACAGTATCCGGCTCAGAGGGCAAATGAGATAGTGCCTGCCAAGCCCACCAAAGCACATTGTCGACAATCAATAAATGGAAGCTGGGCCAGGCATGGTGGCTCACACCTGTAATCCCAGCACTTTGAAAGGTCGAGGTGGGTGGATGGCTTGAGCTCAGGAGTTTGAGACCAGCCTGGGCAACATGAGAAAACCCCATCTCTACTAAAAATACAAGAATTAGCCAGGCGTGGTGGCGCACGCCTGTAATTCCAGCCACTGAGGAGGCTGAGGCACGAGAATCGCTTGAACCAGGGAGGTGGAAGTTGCAGTGAGCCAAGACCGCACCATTGCCAGCCTGGGTGACAGAGCAAGACTGTCTCAAAACAAAACACAAAAACAAAATAAATGGAAGCTGTAGCCATTATTACTTGATAAATATTGCTTCATGTTATTGAAGATGACTTCATCTGAGAATTTCTAAAATTGCGTAGTGTGTTTTCTTCAGTTCTTAACTGCTTCACATGTTTTTGCTGACCAGCAATGTTTAAGGTGTCTAGAGTTAAAAAAAAAAAAAAAAAAAAAAAGCTTATTTAAGAATCATGCCTCGGAACATTATTTCATTACTTAAACTTGCTGCTGACTCATCTGTCCCTTGGTAACTGAGTCTTTCTTTACCAATAACTTTAATTACATCAATCACTCATTTCAAAAACTGCTGAATAATGAGAACTCCTAGAGGTGACACCATGGACTTCTGTCACACAAGCAGGGACTTGTGGAAGGGGAACAGGTTTTTCTTTTCTTTTTTAATAGCATTCAGTACTTCAAACGGGGAAAATACATTCAGTCTTCATTATTTACTTTCTGTCTATCTATCTATAATTAGCAATCTTCATAGCAGGGGAAAATGACAATTCATAACTTCTTGAACTGAATTGAATTTGTTTCATCTTCTGACATTTCTGAGTCATAAGGCCCAAGTCTCTGCCTCTGGGGTAAAATAAATGTTTGATAATTCTAGCACCAATTCCTTTGCTAAAAGCTGCTAATTACATAGTTTATGATTTAACATATTACCTAAACAATTATCTTGTCATTAATAACAATAGCTACCTTATTAAGCTCTTAGTATATGCCAGTTATTGCATTGAAGCTTTTATGTACATGATCTCAGCAGAATCTCATCAAACCCTATAGAGTAGGTGCAATTATTATCCCCATTTTACAGCTGAAGAAACTAAAACATTGCAAGATTAACTTGCCTAAGTAGGTGTCAGAGTAAGAGATGTGTGTAGGAATGTCTGTCTCTCTTTCTGTGCCTAGACGCAACCAGGAGAGAGCTGCTGGCTGTTCTTTGCTGCTATAGGCATTAAATGCTTTTCTGGCTATTCATGGCTCAGTTCTACTGTGAGTTGAATAAGGTACCTGCTATTTGCTGAGCTTGAAATGCTATCAGACTGCAGGGAAGCGGTACTCCTCAATGTGGTGAGAGGAGGAGGTGGATGCCTAGGCTGGGCATCTCTCAAAACCCTGCCCCGGAGCACACAGTCTTCCTTCCTCCTCTCCAAGCCCTTGTACCCTGGCTCCTGGACTGTGACATCGGACTCCCACTAGGTCTCTCTGACTCCAGACTCTCCCTGCATCTTTTCATCTGCATACTCTTCCCTTATTAGCCAGGAGACAATGGAGCTATGGAAGGTTGTGGAGCAGGAGAGTGACTAAATCAAAGCTGCCCTTCAAAAAGAGTAAAGTCAGGCCAGCCACGGTGGCTCACACCTCTAATCCCAGCACTTTGGGTGGTTGAGGTGGGCAGATCACTTGAGGTCAGGAGTTCAAGACTAGCCTGGCCAACATGGTGAAACCCTGTCTCTCTAAAAAAAATACAAAAGTTAGTTGGACGTGGTGGCAAGCGCCTGTAATCCCAGCTACTCAGGAGACTGAGGTGGGAGAATCGCTTGAACCTGGGAGGTGGAGGTTGTAGTGAGCCGAGATCACGCCACTGCACTCCAGCATGGGTGACAGAGTGAGACCTTGTCTCAAAAAACAAAAACAAAACCAACCAACCAAACAAACAAAAAACAAAAGGAATAAAGCGCGGCTCCTGTATCTGTCATTCAAAGCCCTTCTTCCATCTGACCCCACTCTCCTTGTAGCCTCATGTCCCCAGACTCTTCATGGGTATCTTGTGCTGAACAGCCCCTGCCCACACATTTTCTCAGGCTCTTCCTCTGCTTCAATGCCCTTCATCCAGGTCACATGTCTAAATCCACCTGCCCTTTTGAGATTCATCTTAAGCCCTTCTAGAGGTCTTCCTCAATGGCTCTAGCCCATAGTGCTTCTGCCGAGCCAGAGGCGATGTAATTTACGGGGTCTGGGGTCAGGGTAATCTGGGTTTGCATCTCACCTCTGCTACGTATCAGCTCTGTGACTTTGGGTAAGGGCTCAGCCTCTCAAAGCCTCAATTCCACAATAGTAAAGACGTGAATCTCTGTGTCCTGAAGCTGTTAGGATGAGTGTGGGCATTTCTGGGGAATGTCTTATGAACTCACTAATTTTAGCACTGCCTACAGAGCCAGGTATGTTCGTTGGCCACATACTGAGTGCCCAGGTAGAAGACTGGAAACAAGATGATTCCAAAATGCACACGCTCCAGTGAGATCTGGGCTGGCTGGCTACTGTGATCTTTTCATGTATGTTCCTTTGAACACATAGATCTGGCTCTGGGCTTTCCTGCTGTTTGTCCTGAGCCAGTACCATACTCTTTGTCTTACTATGGCTTTGTAATATGCTTTAATATCTGGTAGGGCAGTCCTTATATCTTGTTTTTCTTGGTCAAAACTATTTGACTTGACTCTTTGGGGGCATTTATTCTTCCACACGAATTTCAAGATGAGTTTATTAAGTGTTTAAATCATTATATTTGTACCCTTTCTGCGCCTGACACAAAGTTTTAGCTTCAAGACTATGGGGGTGAGAATATCCAGGTGGTTCTCTGAGGACACAGGTTGAGAAAGTAATAAAGTGCGTGCCAGTGTTCTGACAGGACCTGTCTCGTGCACCCTGATGGTTCTTAGGCGAAACCGAGGACCCAGGTGCCTTGCCTTGGGTGGGTGGAGGGGAAAAAGCTCTGAGGTAGTGTGACAGAGGAGTGCATGCCCTGGTCCTGCAAGGCAGCACTCTCCTGTGCCTGCTGCTCTGGGCAGGGTGCAGAGCTGGCTGCCTGAGGACTTGGGGCTTCTAGTGCACCCATACCCAGTGAAGGAGGTTTCCTTATTTCAATCAGGTTCCCCTGAAATACCCTTGGCCCAGTCCTGACTCTTTCCTATCAAATGACAAGTACCAGGGATCCAGGTCATATGGTGACTAATAGCATGGGCCCCAGAGTCAGGCTACCTGGGTTCCTGTCCCTCTATGATGGATCCCTCCTCCGCCTATCCGCCCAACTCACCACCACTCTCAGCAAGTGGCAGCATTGCCATCTAAAAACCCAGGAGTCAGCCAGCTTTTCTCATTTTCTCCAAATTGTCACATCTAGTTACCAAATCTGGTGGATTCAACATCCTTGACTTTTTGCCGGAATCTCTCTTGTTCTCCATTCCCATGGCCACCGCTAATCCAGGCCATGGTCACCTCTCACTTCCTCCGTGGCCTCCCAGTACTCCAGTACTGCTCCCTGCAGCTGAAATTCCCCACCGAGGATGAGCTGCAGATGTAGTGATATGATTCCCCTGCCTAGAAGAGTCAGTGGCTCCCTATTGCCCTCATACGAGACCCAGAGACTCCTAAGTATGATGGTGCTTCAAACTTTAAGCTCTGAACCTGTAAGACAGTGTGTCATATCTGTGCTCTACCTTGCCTCTGAGGCTTTGCACACACCATTCCCTTTGCTTGGCAAGCTCTGTGTTTCCCCTTCTCCTGCTACCTTCCTGCAGTCAGCCCCTGCATAGTGAAATATCTGTACTTGAAGCCTCCCCTCCCTTAGTGTCCTGCCTCTCTCTATGCTAAACATATGAAATAAGGGATAAGCATGAGTTAAAACCTCACTTCTACCCTTGACTAATTGCGTGCTCTTGGGTACTTAATTCACCTCTGAGATTCAGTTTCTCCATCTGTTAAAATGGGGCACAATCATAACGTTAGGAGTCCATTTCAGGCAGACACTTTAAAAGTCAGGGTCTGCTTTCCTGGCTTGTAGGATTGTCGTGAGAATTAAAGGAGATTGCTGCAGGCAACCTTTCTAGGCCTGTGGATTGTTGCAGGCAAACTTTCTAAACAGATGCATAAGGCTCAATCCTACCCTAAGGAGATTTCATTGAGATCGGACTCATAGCACAATGATTAACAACTTCTTGAGAATCATTTTTTCTTTTTGTTCCCCAAGGGGACCCCAGTCTTGTTTGGGGTGGCAATGTGCCCTGCCCTAGGGGAGGAACCGATTATATTCTGTTGTAAGAATTACATTTCCCTTTTGCATGATGCTTGCTTTTCCAGTCTTCCTTGCAGCTAGGTGGTCATGTGACCAATTCCAGCCAATGAGATATAAAAAAAATCTACTAACCTTTCTGAATCTCAGTCTCTTATTTTATAAAATCAAAGTGCAGTGATGTTTAATCTCCCCTTTTCTTTTTTTCCTTCCTTCCTTTCTTTCTTTCTTTCTTTCTTTCTTTCTTTCTTTCTTTCTTTCTTTCTTTCTTTCTTTCTTTCTCTCTTTTCTTTTCTTTTCTTTTTTTGAGATGCAGTCTTGCTCTGTTGCCCAGGCTGGAGTGCAATGGCATGATCTTGGCTCACTGCAACCTCCACCTCCCAGGTTCAAGTGATTCTCCCACCTCAGCCTCCTGACTAGCTGGGATTACAGGCATGCACCACCATGCTCAGCTAATTTTTGTATTTTTAGTAAAGACAAGGTTTCACCGTGTTGGCCAGGCTCATCTCAAACTCCTGACCTCAAGTGATCCACCCACTTCAGCCTCCCAAAATGCTGAGATTACAGGTGTGAGCTACGGTGCCCAGCCTTTTTTTTCTCTTTTTAAAGCAGAAGATCCTCTTTTTTTTGTTCCAAAGAAATCTTACGTGGAATCCTAATATATAACAAACAAAGCACAATTGTTGTAATTGAAATGGAGATTGGAGACTGCAGGAGTCCCCTCCCAGCCTTTCTGGGCAGTCCCTGTAGATGTCTACAAAACAATACTTGGTAATCCTCTGGGTTGGAGAATATCTGTATTCTGTAGTGGATATATGTTATCTTGTTTAATTTTTGGGACACACAGATTCCATTCCTGCACCCTGAATTTCTCCTTGAGAGCCACCATTCCATTTCCCCAGGTCCATATGTTTTTGATGAAGTTAATTCAATTTGGCTCCAGGGCTAGGCATATGATTTTGTCATGCCCAACATTTCATCCCACTGGACTCAGTGATTGGTTCAGGAATGTGCACATGACCCTATTTAGCCCAGTGAGATTAGATCTAGGATTTTTATTAAAATTTAAGAGAGGTGGAATTTTTTCCCCCCATTAAACTTGAACTCTGGGACTATGAAACCTGAAAATAAAGTCTACATGGAAGTAAACAGAGCTGAAAGATGGAAAGAGACCAGATCTCAGAGGTGTTAAGCCATTGGATTAAGATTTGCCTGAAGACAGACAGATCTGCCACTGGACCTTTGGTTTTGTGAGTCAATATATATTTTTTTAATTTAAGTAGCTGGAGTTTCACCTTCTATTATTTGCAACCTAGAGTCCAAACTAGTATGGATTCCTTCCAGATCCAGAATCCCAGGATCCTCGGGGAGGTAGATTTTGGGGCTGTTCACCAACTTTCCACTTTTTCTTCTCCTGAGCACATGGTAGGATTGCACTTCCTCACTCGTTCTGAGTGGGGCATGACATATGACTATGGTGTATGACTTTCTTTGTCAACAAAATGTGAGTAGGCGTGATATGTGTCACTTCCAGGTGGGCTCTTTAAAGTCAGTGCATGATTCACTCCACTCTTTCTTTCCCATAATAATGTTCCAGATGTTGGAAGCTCCATCAGCCTGGGTCCCAGATTGAGGACAACGAGGAGCACAGATCTCTGCTGACCCTTGATGGATTTGTACTGTGAGCAAGAAATAAACTCTTGTTATTTTACGCCATTGAGATACTGGATCAGTTGCTAGAGTAGCATACCTCAGCCTACCCTGAATGATAAATGAATAATTCTTTACTTCCTACTCCTTCTGTTCTTCTCCTTCTTCTCTTCCTCCTCCTCTTTTTCCTCTTCTCCTCCTTTCTCCTCCCTTTCTCCATCTCTATCTTCTTGCAGCCTTGCTCTGGCCAGCAGTCTTGTAACTCTATCTCTTAACTTACCTTCTGTCAACAGACCATTAAAAGGGTTCCATGATTGCTCTTCTCCAGCCTTCCCAGTGACATCCAAGTGGACACTGGCAGGAGATAACCAGTTTACCTCAACAAAGTCATGCTGGTGGTATCCCCACTAGTGCCAATCAATTACAGCTGTCAGTCATTCATTCTTCCTAGTACTGGTCCCAGCAGGGGCCAACTTCCTGATCATATTGTTGGACACACAGGGCTCTGAGTTCTGGAATAAAACTTTCTCCAGAAATTTCCATTCATTATCTTATGACAATTAAAAAGATTCTGGAGTTTGGGGCATGGTATTCATAACATAATGCTCTGCCAAGATAAAAAATGGACAGGCAGGCACGATGGCTCACGCCTATAATCCCAGTTCTTTGGGAAGCCAAGGTGGGAGGACCGATTGAGCCCAGGACTTCAAGACCAGCCTGGGCAACACAGGGAGACCTCATCTCTACACAAAATTTAAAAATTAGTTGGGCATGGTGGTGCACACCTGTAGTCCCAGCTACTTGGGAGGCTGAGGTAGGAGGATCACTTGGACCTTTATAGTTGAGGCTACAGTGAGCTGTGAGCTTACCACTGCACTCCACTGCACTCCAGCCTGGGCGACAGAGTGAGACTCTGTCTCAAACAACAACAACAGCAACAAAATGGACAATTAAAAAAATTATATGCATCAGCTTTAGTTGTTAATAAGCAATTTTTAGGGCTGATCAGCTAATTAAGCCAATGCACAAGATTCTGCGCCTGGGGTGGATATTTGGAAATGACTAAGTTCTGTTGAATGAAAAAGTAGGAGTAAATCATTCCTGAAGCTTGAGTGAGATCATTATCATTAACATATGGGACACTGTATAGCTCAGGAGTCTCAGACGCATCTGCTAATAGGGGCCAGACAGACCATGGGAGTTATTAGAGCAGGCCAGTGGGAGTGGTGGGGACCGTGGGGACCTTCACAGGGATACTTCTTCTACATTCAGCTCTGGCTGATTGTCCCCATGTAGGAATGTAGGCCCAATGTTGCTAGTTCTTCCATTTTTTTTTTTTTTCAGGAGACTTGAAATCCATCTGCTTGTCAACTAGATTTTTTTCTAAAATAGTGTAAAGTTCAAACTTTGTCGGTGACCACGGGTAGAATGTTTGATAGTGTATAACACATGGTCACCCTTATTATGTCTTGCCATTCTACATTGTCTCCATTCTACAGATTAGGAAACCAAGGCTCAGGAAGGTACAGTGACTCCCCAAGATGGACATAGCCAGGTTCTGAAACTTGAACCTATGCCATTTGGCTCCATGTCAACTGCTTTCTCTTCCTCCTCTATCATAGCTGTCTCCTCATGGCTGAATATGTAATGGAGAGACTGATAGTACACCAAAGATTCATGCTTCCATTTCCATAGCACAGGTGGTGAGTGGGAAGTGGCTATGAGCTAGGGACTGCAATTCCCAGCCTCTCTTCTTGTTTTATTTTTTATTGTTTTCTTTTATTTTTTATTTTTTTCTGCAGCCTCTCTTCTAGATCAAGTCATGTGACAAGTTCTTGCCAATGAATGGAACATGACAGGAAGTGATATGTGTTATTTCCGGGCAACAGCAATTAAGAAATGGGTGCATCTTCTCCACCCTCTCTTTCCCCTCCCACAGCTTGCTGCAGAGGAACCCAGCCACTTGGAAGCCATGTGTTGAAGATAAAAGGACCACAAGATGGAATACATCCGGTTTCCTGATGTATTTTCCTCCAAATACATCATTTGGAGGAAAGCCAACTCCAATGCGTAGTGCTCATTTTGGACTTGATAAATAAACTTTCATTGTCTTTAAGTCATTATATATTTTTGGTTTTGTTATAGCAATTAGCATTACCTTAACTGATAGAAATATGAATGGACTTTAAAACATTTTTCCTTTTTCCCTTCCATAGTAACAGGAGGAGTTCATAATGGACAGGGTTATCCACTTGAATCCAGCAGGGCTTCGATGAGAAAATGACTCAAATTAGGTTTGGTTTCTAGGGATGGGAGTGTAGTGGCCCTCAGTGTCCCAGTGTCACTGCCTCTTGACCCTCTGCCCCCTTCCCAACCTGGCATTAAAGGAGGCCTCATTCATGCTTCAGCCTGGGGTGAACATATTATCATTGCTGTCTTCTGGAGAAAGGCAACAGACAAAACAAGCATTCGGCCTGTCTGGGCCGCACACCCTCAACCAAGATAGGAGTCAACATGTTTGGGAACATCAAAGACAGTGTGGTATCTTAAGCATAAGGAGATTAACATTTACAAAGGTTTGCCCCTCAGCCTAGTCCCAGGAATCCAGCAGACAGAGCCAGAAGGGACAATTAACATCACCCATCCACACTGGGGTCTTCTGGCATCTCAGAAGATTTTCTTTTGAGCTTTCTGCTAGATCTGGGATGGAGGAGGCAAAGTCTAGTCTCGTATTTGAGCAAGAACCCTCTGCACTCAAAAGAGATGTTAAAACATGCTGGGCATGACAGCATAGGTGTGAAGTCCCATGGGAGAATTCTGCCCCACTAAGTACTGTGCACTGGCACTCAAAGGGAGAGAGTTTTTACCCAGAAAGTCAGTACCCTCCTAAGCCAGCCAGTCAGTACAAAGGGACTGAGGTGGGCTGTGTGGCCGGAGGAGGGGTGAGGCACTGGTTTGCCTCTTTGAAGCAAGAGGTCAAGAATATCCCAACACACTCCAAGCGCTGGCAACAGTAGGCAAAAATGGGGGACCTAAATCCTTTACAGCTGTTGGAAACCATACCCTATTCAGAGATAATTGGCAATTAGTTAAACAACTCCTGTTTAAAACACTCCTCCTCCCCATCCTTAAAGACAGCTGTGTTTAAAAAGGGAAGGGGAGAGACTTCTCAGGAAACCTAATCTTCAAATCTATTCCCAGAGCTCTGGGAATCAATGAGTTAGAGAATTTAGAACTATGTCCAGGCAATAGAACATCTTTCTAAGACCTATTGCTCCATTTTTCTCTTGCAGTACAACATAGCAACATAGTGGCCAAGAGCACAAACTTGGGAGTTAGAAAGGCCTAGGTTTGAGGACCTACTCTGCCACTTATGAGCTGTGGGAACTTGGGCAAGTTGCTTAAACTCTCTAAGCCTCAATTTTTTCATCTGTAAAATGGGCATGATAGTAATTGTACTATGAAGATTAAATGAGATGGTGCCTGGCACAGAGTCAGTACTCAGAAGTGTCAGCTCATAGGCATACAGGCATATTCAAACCCAAATTCCTTAGCCTGGTATTCAAGGTCTTCTACAGTTTATCTCCAATCAACTCTTCCTAACTCTGCCTCACCTCATGTCCTCTATTATCTAGCCAAAAAGAACGAACCCACCAGGCTTTAGTTTCCTCTTCTGTGAAATGAGATCAATGAATTGGATTGTCTCTAAGTTTCCTACCAATCCTACTCTTCTAGGCCTTGGGAAAGCCCCACCCCATACCTTTGACCACACCATTCTCTCTGCCTAGGACTCCTTTCTTCTCATCTTCATTTGTCAGTCTTACCAAGCCTTCAAGAAACCTTCCCAGGGAAGGGATTTATTTCTTCTTATAAATCAGCTCAAACCAAAGTTGTCAATTGGTGCCCTTTTGTTAGTCCTGTACTGTATTTTTTTTTTTTTTTTTTTTTTTGAGATGGAGTCTTTCTCTGTCACCCAGGCTGGATTGCAGTGGTGCAATCTTGGTTCACTGCAACCTGCACCTCCTGGGTTCATGCAATTCTCCCTGCCTCATCCTCCCAAGTGGCTGGGATTCCAGGAGCACAACACCACACCCAGCTAATTTTTTTGTATTTTTAGTAGAAATGAGGTG
The DNA here is from genome assembly GCF_000001405.40 of Homo sapiens. Lineage (NCBI taxonomy): Eukaryota > Metazoa > Chordata > Mammalia > Primates > Hominidae > Homo > Homo sapiens. The sequence continues at coordinate 54,956,677 of NC_000016.10, forward strand.
TCACCATGTTAGCCAGGCTGGTCTCCAACTCCTGACCTCAGGTGATCCACCCACCTCAGCCTCCCAAAGTGCAGGGATTACAGGCGTGAGCCACCACGCCCGGCCCTGTGCTGTATTTTTTAAAAGCAGAAAATATTACTTTTTTTTAATTTTCAACTTCTTTTATTTTTATTTTACTATTATTATTTTGAGACACAGGCTTGCTCTGTTGCCCCAGGCTGCAGTGCAGTGGCACCATCATGGCTCACTGCAGCTTCAAACTGCCAGGCTCAAGGGATCCTCCCGCCTCAGCCTCCTGAGTAGCTGGCATGCACCACCACGCCAGCTAATTTTTTGGTAGAGTCTGTGTCTTGCTATGTTGCCCAGGCTGGTCTTGAACTCCTGGCCTCAAGTGATCCTCCCACCTCAGCCTTCCAAAGTGTTGGGATTATACGCATGAGCCACCACACCCAGCAGCAACTTCTTTTGAAAAGTCAGGCCGGACACGATGGCTCACGTCTGTAATCCCAGCACTTTGGATCACCCGAGGTCAAGAGTTCAAGACCAGCCTGACCAACATGGTGAAACACCGCCTCTACTAAAATTACAAAATTAGCCAGTCATGGTGGTTCATGCCTGTAATCCCAGCTACTCGGGAGGCTGAGGCAGGAGAATAGCTTGAATCCAGGAGGCGGAGGTTGCAGTGAGCCAAGATAGCGCAATTGCACTGCAGCCTGGGCAATAAGAGTGAAACTCTGTCTCAAAAAAAAAAAAAAAAGAAAAAAAAGAAAAAGAAAAGAAAAGAAAAAAAGTCAGAAGACCTGGCAATCTGGGACCTGGACAGTTGTCTGGAGATGGCTAACTACTGCCCCCTACAGGTGGGGCAGGTGTTCCTGAATTTTTTTTCACCTCTGATGCTTTCCTAATTGACTGATTTTCTGCCTGGGCCCAGAAGGCAATTTTCCTTCTCCTCCCCCTTCTCCTCCTCTTCCTCCTCCTCCTCCCCCCCTTTCCTCCTCTTCCTCCTCCTCCACCTCCTCCTTCTTCTTTGTCTGGTCCTCCTATTCCTTTGTGTGTGTGTTGGAGGGTGGTAATTATTTCTTGTCTCCCAGCTTATGTTGGAATTACTGATGTTTATAGGCACCCTCATCTTCTCTACTGGCCTGTGAGATTCTTGAGGACTGGATTCTTATTCATTTCTGAAGCCCAAAGGACCTGGCCCAGAGTCTAAATGCAAAGAGGGGATGAGCAGGGGCCCTGCATGCCTGTGAATGGAATCCCTGCAGTTGTACAACCCAGCCAAGTGAGTGAGTGAGCTTGTGAGTGAGTGAATAGGTTAATGAATGATGAAGATGTGTACTTACATAGCACGTTTTATGTGCCAGGCACTGTACTAAGTACTTTACAGATGTTAACTTATTATAAAATGAATGGACACAGGAGTAAATATTGAATGAATGGGTCCCTGTGCTTGGTTCTCGGCTTAGGGCTGATGACCTCTTTTCTCTGGGAGATATGAACATACATTCTCAGTTCTGAGCCCCAGTTGGCTTGGGAGCTCTTTCCATGTTCTAGACCTTGGTTTCAACAAGCTTTACTCACATCAGTGGAATGGGGATGAGGAGATTGTGATTGTCCCAACCTGATAAAGTTGTTGATTACCCAAAGAGCTGCCCCATCGCCTGATGGAACCCTAAACAATAGACAGAGGTCGCTACAGCTGCAATCTAGACTGCCTGCTTGGTTTCCTTTTTTTTTTTTTTTTTTTTTTGAGACAGAGTCCCGCTCTGTCTCCCAGGCTGGAGTGCAGTGGCGCGATCTCCGCTCACTGCAAGCTTCGCCTCTCGGGTTCACGCCATTCTCCTGCCTCAGCCTCCTGAGTAGCTGGGACTACAGGTGCCTGCCACCACACACGGCTAATTTTTTGTATTTTTAGTAGAGACAGCATTTCACCGTGTTAGCCAGGATGGTCTCGATCTCCTGACCTTGTGATCTGCCCACCTCGGCCTCCCAAAGTGCTGGAATTACAGGCATTAGCCACCGCGCCAGCCTGGTTTCCTCTTCAATGTTCAGTCTCATTCCCTGAGAGTAGGACATTCTTTGTGTTTGCACAAATGTTTGCATCAATCTATTTCATGTATATGACATTTTAGAGCTTAGTATTTCTTAATTCATTATCTACTTTGATCCTGAAGAGTTACTTATTTCTCCCTCTTCCCTACCTCCATTATAAGGTATGGAAAACACACATTACTTTATACTCATTTTACAGATGAGGAAACAGAGGTCAAAATGGAGAAAAAGGATTTGCTCTAGGTCGTACTGCAAGGTAGAGACTCTCACTTGCACTTCTGGCTCAACTCTTTTTCTGTTTCATTGCAAAAATGTGTAATACTTAGGTGGAAAAACATCCCAATCCATTGGCCACCATTGTGATATCAACAGAGAGGAGGACATGGTGGTTCTGTTGATTGAGGGTGGTGGAGGGAAAGTGCAGGAAGAGAGGCCTGATTGGAGGTGGCTGGGGAAGACGTTGAGAAGGGGCTTGGGGACAGGGATAGAGGAAGCGAGAGTGATAGCACTCTCGCACACCCACTGGACCCATTTGTGTTAGCTCCCTGGGCCCATGGGCAGGCACATTTCTGATCCATGATGTTGACAGAGGACCCAGAACCCAAGCAAGGCCATATGCAAGTTCATGTTTTAAGGGAGCAAACTCTAAGAAAGCAAGAGGTGTGAAAGTAGAGGAACAAGGTACTCCTGGGGCAGCTGACGAAGCCGATTGCCCCCACCACCCACAAACCCCTGAGCTTGGTAAAGCCCATGTAGACAGGTAATCCACACACTCCTGCCTTAGGGCCAGAGCCACCCTCCCATCCCTGCCCTCTGGAGACCAGCTGTCCTTCCTCTAGGTCCTGTCCCCTGCCCTCCATTCCATGAGGTCCCTGAGTAGCCTTGCTGCCAATAGAACCCAAATGGAAGAGGCAGCTTGGATTCTGTGGTACTGTTCCCCGTCTCAGGCCATCTTGCTGGTTATCTTATTTGAGTTTTGTGATCATGTGGGAAGGAAGCAAGGAGTCCTCCCCATTTGACAGATGAAAAAACTGAGGCCAAAAAGAGTTCGGGGGCTTGTCCAAGGTCACACTGTGAGATACTGGCTTAGCCAGGACCAGCATCCAAGGCCTGGCTTTAGGAGTTTCAGTTTCTCGTCACCTTCTCCAGGTTTTATTGACATTAATTCCCCTCCTGATGGCTCACCTTCCCCTTTCTGTCTCCAGAGGTAAGACTTGCTTGACAGAGTCTGCCAGAATGATTTGGGTTTTAGTTAAAAACTAGGAATTTCTGCCCCAAGCCACCCAATGGGAAAAGAGTAAGCAGAAAAGAAATCCCTCAGAGAGAGAAAGCAGGTGAGAAAACAGTTTTCAGGGACTATGTTACTTGGATGATGGTAGTAACTGATACCCAACAGGGTATTACCCTGTGACAGACACTGTGTACTAAGGTCTTTACATGAATTAACTTATTTCATACCGTTAATAGCCATATGTGAGAGAGACAAGATTATAACATGCGATATCAGAGAAGTTAAGCAACTTGTGCCAGGTCACACAGCTGACAAATGGCAGAGCTGGGATTTGAACTCACAAGGCCGGGATTTAGAGTCTTTGCTCTTAACATGTATTAGCTTATTTCATCTTCCCCATGCTTCTGTGATAGGGGTACTATCAGTACCTGCGCTGTAGAGATAGTCAAACAGAGATTCAAAGAGAAAAGGTGATTTGCCCAAGCGGTAAACTAACACCCTTGTTCTCTTTGAGTCCAGGCCAGACAGCACCTCCTTCATGTGCATACCCCAGGAGTGGAGATGATAGATGCTGACCATAGCTAGCACTGAATGTGTATGCATAATGTGTCAGCCACTGTTCTAAGTGCTTTGTGAGTATTCACACATGCAACCCTTACATGGGCCTTATGAAGTTCATACAAATTACCCCCATTATACAGATGAGGAAACCGAGGTCCAGGGAAGCTACGTAGCTTGCCCAGCATCACATAGCTGGTAGGTGGTACAGTCTGGCTCCAGAGCCCTTCTTCTTTTCAGCCTTGTGTGCTAGACAAAGGCCCATTTTAGGCCTAAGGGACATGAAACACTGTGCAAAAATAGCATCTAGGTATGGGAGAGTTGTATCCAGGGAAACATCAGCCTCCTCTACTCTGAAAAGCACCAGAATAAAAGCCGATGCTCTCTGGTGCAGCCCAGACCAGAGTTTGGGAGGCATCCTCAGCTGAGATGCTGAGAACCCAAGAATGAGACAATGAGATGCTCCCCAGAGGCTTGGCAGCCTGGGGAATTCAGTGGCTTCTCATTAATGGAAGCCCACAGGATATGCCCAATAAAGGATGTTGCTGATTGGGAAGGCCGGCCCCTTGCTTTGCACAGAGGAGATCCCAGTGTCAGAAATTATTAGGGGTCAGGTTTGTCTGTGAGCCAGGCTGGGAGCCAGGGCAGAGGTAGTGGGGAGATGAGAGGAGAGGGCTATTAATAAGACAGAGAGGAGGGGAGATGGGATGGGGAGGGAGTGAGAGTGAGATTGAGAGAGAAGGGGAAGAGAAGGGAGGCATATTGAAGCAATCGGAAAAAAAGTCAAAGAAGACAGCATAATTTTCAGCAGGCTCTTTTTCATCTCCTATCCCCCACATCCTTGACTCCATTCCTTTTTGCCTCCCGCCTCTAAGTTGGTGATTAAGTTATCATGCAAATAACAAATACAATGGAAGTGGCTTCTTGAAAAATGATTTCAGGAAATAAATAATTGTCTTCATGAGCACTGGCCAAATACAACGATTCTGGTTCCTTTTTTTTTCCAAGATGGGGCTAGAGAGGGAGAGGTGGGGAGCAGGTCACAGGCCTGCTGGTGGAATTGCCTCTCTGTGGCTCTGTCTCTCTCTCTCTGTCTCTCTCTCTTTCACAAGTGAAGGTACATTTCATCGTCATGTCTGACTATCCCAGCCAGGTAAGTGCTCAAGACAATGAAAACTAGAGACATAAAGCAGGCCGCAGCCTCCATCCCCAGGTGGAACCCAGAAGCCAGCACTCAGAATGACAGGGAGCCCAGGCCTCCCCTGAGACTCCAGCAAAATCTGCAGTCCTCTGCCCCACAGTTTTAGGGCAGAAAAGCCTGCCACCCTCTTGCACTCTAGGAGAAGCAAAACTCACCCCCAAAATACAACCCCCACCCCAAAAGAGCTGGGAGGGGGAATGTGTTTCATTTGACTCAGGCAGAAAGATAAACTTGTTCCTCCCAAGAAGAGGTAGGTACATTTCCCTTGATGACTCCAAGTCCTACATTCAGAGCTCCTGGTAAGAGCTCCTAGCTAAGGATGGACAGCTTCTGTGGAAGTCTTTGCAGATCATAACAGGTGGTTTTCTTTTTGTTTATGTTTTACAGTGTTGATGGTAGCTTCACGGTGTGGTGTTGTCTCCTACTTATGTGTAACACTTTTGTTCTTCTCTTCTTTCATCCGTCTCTCCCTCCCTTTTTTCCCTCCTTTCTTCCTTGCTTTTTTTCTATCTTCCCTTCTTTCCCTTCCTTCCTTCCCTTCTTCTCTCCTTCCTTCCATCCTTCTTTCCTTCCTTCCTTTCTTCCCTCCTTCCTTCCATCCTTCTTTCCATCCATTCTTACTTCCATTCTTTTCTTCTTTCCTTTTTTCCTTCCTTCCTTCCATCCTTCCCTCCCTCCCTCCCTTCTCCTTCCTTCCTTCCTTTCTTCCTTCCTTCCTTCCCTTCCCCCCTCCCTCCCTCCCTTTCTTCAATACACATTCACTGAGCACCTACTCTATGTCAAACTCTGTTCTATATTCTGGGAGTACAGCAGCAAGGTAGGCAGACAAGGTCCCTGGCCTTATGTGATTTACATTCCATAAAGAAACTACAGACAATCAACAATCAACTACAGACTCACCACCAACAATACTTTAAATAGTGTTAAGCGCTATGAAGGAAAAAATGCAGGAGTGTCACGGGGTGAGGCAGGAGTTTCATGGTGTTGGCTGGAGAGGTGGCGGTGGGGGTGTCCATACTAGGTTGGACAGTGAGGAAAGGTGCCCCTGATGCTGTCTGTGAATGAGGGGAAAAGCAGTAAAAGGAAAGGTCAGGACGGAGGACGGGGAGTGGCATGGGATCCTACAGGACATGATTTTAGATTTTCCTCGGGTAAGTTGGGAGCTAGGGCAGAGGAGCGGCATGATCCCTCCAGCTGTGGTGGCCATGGGTGGAGGGGCCGAGACAGAGGCAGGAAGGCTGATGCAATGATCTGGGTGGGAGACTGGCAGAGTGAAAGCAGTGGAGACAGTAAGGCCGGGGGATCCTGGATGAATTTTGAAGGTAGAGCTGGATTTGCTTAGGAACTGGAGAAAGTTAGTGTCATCCTTGGGTGATGACAAGGTGAGTATGAGTGAATGATCTGCAGCTCTCCCCTGGGAGTGAGACCTTTACGGCTTCCATGCGTGCCTCTGCTTTGGAAGCAAAGGCAGGGAAGCTAACATGTTGACCTCCTTCCAGAGCTTTCTGGTGGCCAGGAGAGAAGGCACCCTCCTGGAACGTTTATCCTTGCTACCCCTGCCAGGCGCCTCTCTGCAGAGTGTCCCTACCCCCTTTTTGCACAGGGTAAAAAATACATATATGCCTTGATTTTCATTGATCCATCCTGAATCAATGCTTTTAAAAAATCTCACGCACATTTGGCTTAAGAGCCAAAGCATGCATTTTATGTTTTGACATGGTGTCATCGATCTGAGGCACGTGTGTGTGTGCCCCACCTGCCCAAGACCCCCGCCCATCCCCCCGGTGGCCGCCCTGTGATTCTGCGTCCTTAATGGCCTTGCCCCTGCCTGCACCTTCAATGCCTCCCCTGGCCCTCAGCATGGGGCCCTTTCTCGGGTTTTTTGAAAGAATCGATAAGGTGCCGGGGCCTCCTGCGGCTGCTTGTCACTCACACTCCACCATATAATAAATTATGTATCTCTCTCTCTCTCGCTCTCTCTCGCTCTCGCTCTAATTTTTATTGCGTTTGTTGATGGCTCTGTGATGGTTGACTTTGCCCAGGCTCAGAGGCAGGGTGCAGTTGAACTTTAGTGAGGACATGGAGAAGGGGCAGCAGTCTTAGGAAAAGGGGCCATGGGGGCAGTGGGGGAAGAGGAGAAGGCATTAGCTGCAGACTATGAAAATGGGCTTGCTCTGAGCCTCTGGGGCTCAGGAGAGCTAAACTGCTTCCTGTGGTCCTGGGACCTCCTCGGTGGGACAGGGCTGGATCAGAAACCCCCCAGGTTTCAGCCGACGAAGAAGACACATATTTCTGGGGGGAAAGGGAGAGATTAAGGTGGCATACAATAGCATCTCCTGCTGGGTGTTCTACCCTGACTTTTGGGCCAACAGGGAACTTTGCTGAGGCTGGGTCAAGCCATGGGTGTGGAAACAGTGGGTGTGCTGGGGAGTGGGCTTCCTCACTCAGGGGCCTCCCGAACACCCATCCTGAATGATGTGTTAAAAGAACAGTAGGCAGGAATGCAGGAGGCCCAATCCCTTGGCCCCAGTTACTGTGTAACAAGAAACAAGCTTGTTCTCTTCCCTCAAATGTATAACCAGGAGATTAAAGTAGCTGATACTTCCAACAGTGGCCAATTATTGAGCACTCGCCATGTACTCTCTCAGGTCATCTCCACAACAACCTTCAGGCATGGGCAATCGCAATCCCAATTTACAGATGAGCAAACTGAGGCCAGAACGGTTAAGTTGGTTGCCCAAGGTTGCGTGGCCAGAAGTGAGCAAGATTTGAACCAAGGCCTATCTGGCTCCAGAGGCCATGGTCCTAGTGGCTCTGCCTTGCTAACTATTTTTGTTGTTCCTGAGACCCCTGCTCTTTGCCTCTTTGGTTCTCTTAGAATCTGTCCCCGTGGCCTTTGCACCCTCTGTCCCATTAGTGACCTCAGTCACTAATGTCTGGTTTGCCTCACCTCCTCGTTGCTTTTTCAGCTCCTCTAACATATTTGTGGCCCACTCTCTGAATTCGCTTCCCTCTGTTGAGTTCCTGGAGTGGGTTTTGTTTGCCTGGATGCATTTTGAGGGACAGATTCAAGGGGCAGCCACTACTCAGTGCCAGCTAGCTATTGCTCATCAGTAGCAGGCCCGTGGGCCTAGCATGGCCTGCTCTTCTAATTCTCAAGCAAAGCCAAGTGTCTGGATTTTTATACAATGCCTCATTTTTGCATGTTAACACCAATTTAAGCTTTAAAACAACATTCCAAAGACTGAATACAACCGGTCCATGGGTCCCAGTTTGCAACTCTGCTCCTTATCGTGACTTAATGTTTTTTGCTGCTGTTTCCTTCTTTCAGTACTTGGGTCAGGTCCTAAGGAGGGGAGTCGGTTTAGTCAGCTCATGCCTTATGCTAGGTCAGTCACTGACCATTCAATGGATTCTCTGCCTTTGAATTGGGTGCCCTCCCTTGGCTGAACACCTAAGGTTAGGGGGTGATCTCATGGCACAAAACCACATTGATTAAGCCTGTCTATTTGGCAAGATGGCTTGCCTTTTAATCCAGTGTTCTTTCCATCTTACTTCTTAGGCTTCCTTTGTTAGTCAGTACTTTGTTTTATTTTGTTGAGAATCAAAGCCAGGACTATAACCTAGATCTCCAGATTTGGATAAATCTATTAGGACTTCAACTTATTTTTATGAAAGACCAAAGGCTCAGGGCTTCTTTCTGATGATCCTTCTAGGCCTCGTGGTCTACGGTTCCAGAGATGTCCTTTCTGTAGCATCCATCCATCCATCCATCCATCCATCCATCCATCCATCCATCCGTCCATCCATCCATTGATCCATTTATCCCATCTGTCCAACCATTCATACATGCATGCACTCATCTATCCTTTCATCCATCTATCCATTCATCTGTCCATCTATCCATCCATCCATCCATTGATCCATTTATCCCATCTATCTATCCATCCATCCATCCATCCATTGATCCATTTTTCCCATCTATCCAACCCACTATCCCATCCATCCATCCATGCATGCACTCATCCATTCATCCATCTATCCATCCATTCATTCATCCATCCAGTATTCATCCATCCAGCAAATATTTATTAATTATCTATTATGCAGCATACCAGGCACTGTACTGCGCTGTATAAAGTAGTAAATGACACAGATCAGCACTGTCCCCATAGAACTACATTCTAGTCAGAAGAAAGAGACAATAAATAAGCAAATAAGTACATATATCAGGTAATTTTAGATAGTGATAAGTGCTATAAAATAAAGAAAACCAAATAGAAAAATAGGACCAAGGGTGAAGGGATACTGTAGGGTGGCTGGTTAGGAAAAGCCTGTTTGAGGATGACATTGGAGTTCAGATTCGAAAGTAGATCTGAGGAGAGAATATTGTACATAGACAATATTCTAGATAGAGGGTCAGTGAGTATAAAGACACTGAGAGTGAAAGAAGGAGCAGAATGAAGGCCAGAGTGGTTGGATCCACAAGGGATACAGTGATAGGTGATAAAGATGGAGATATAACTGGGCCCAGATCTTCCAGAGCTTTGTAAGCCATTGAAAGAACTTGAAGTTTGATTCTGAGTACCTGGGAAGCCATCTCTGACCAGGGGAACTCCTTTGCCTATCCATGTAGCTGTGACCACTGCCTGGGTATTATATCCCTACAGAGACCAGAAGCAACTGATGTGGTGGGCCAGGTCCCAGAAGTAAGCCTGTGTCATGAATGTGGGAGGCTGGACATCCCACTTGGCCTGGGTGAAGCTCTGAGACTTATGCTTTCAGCTGCGCCTGTGCTTCAGGATTCAGGTGGGGAGAAAAGTCATGAGGTCAGGCAATTCATGCTGGCGGCTAGGGGTCGGCTAAGCTGGGGTTAGGTCCTGACTCTGCTACTTACTACTGATGACCTTGCACAAGTTACCTACCTCCTTGAGCACCAGTTTTCCCATCTGTAAAAGGGACACAATCACAATGCCCTCCTGTGGCTGTTGAAATGATTAAGTGAGATAATGTACAGAAGAGCTGAGCACATGGAGCTCAATATATTTTAGTTATTTTTTCCCATGATCATAATATATCAAGAGCAGAACTCTCTGGAGTTTGGGTTCTTGTGGAAGGAGGCAGGGCGGGGATCCTGGGTACCATTTGTTTTAGTCCAGGCCTCTATTAGAGGCAGAACTACTGTCTGAGACAGCTGTCTCTGCCCCCAGCTTAGAGTGTAACCTTGGGATCCTCATCTGTAACATGAGGGAAATAGGCTCAGTACCCTCTTTGACCTTCCCCTCTGACATTCCGAGGCTCAACTCTGACCACTCCCAGAGGTGGGACTGAGTCTGCCCTGTACTGTGGGGAAGTCACTCAGCCCTTGAGGCTCAAGGTTGGCTGAGGGTCGTCTGTGGGCTTGAAGTCATCCAAGGTAGGATCCTCAACTCCTAGTCAGCTAAGATAAAGGTCCTTGGTAACCAACTGAGAAGAAGCTGGTTAAGAGCAAATAATGGTTCCCATTGTGCTTAGACTATATTTCAATCAGCCAACCCAGCATCCATCCATCTGCAAAAAACCCAAACTTCTAGCACACTGTGTTCCCAGCATGGTGCAAAATTAATTTCTGACAACTCTTTGAAATAGATTTCTTCATTTTATAGATGAGAAAACCAAGAATCTAGGAGGTCAAATGGATTATCCAAGGTCACACAGCTAATGCATGTCAGGATCTCAACTCTTTCCTGTTCTCCATGCCTTCACTGCTTCCCAACCAAGGCCACCACTGTCTCTCATCTGGAAGACATCGATAGCCTCCCCACTGGCCTTTGGGCTTCCACTCTGCCTCCCTCCAATCCATTTTCTACAATAAAGACAGACTGATTAAAAAAAAAAATAGAAACGTCATACCTTGTATGTACCAGGCTGTAACCTAGGTGCTGGGGATACAGCAGTGCAAGGTGTCTTCATGCTACTCTGGCTTCCTGTTGCTCACAGGATAAAATTCAACATACCAAGTGTCTTGACTGCGGTAGGGGCAGTGGGAGTATCCTGCCCTAGGGTCAGGCAATAAGGGTTTTTCTCTGGAGAATGTAAACACAATAATAAAACCAACTAAAAACTGATCTTTCTTTATGATCATCCTGCACCAGCAATTCTACACAATGTTAGTAATAAAATACTCCTCTCTGCTTGACCTGTAAGTGGGTGGCCATATAATTGATCATTACTAATAATTACATCAAGACAATAGGCATAAACAGAGACATCTAAGGCCCTACCTGTAAGGCCCTACCTGTAAGGCCCTATGGAATCTGTCCCTGCCTACCTCTTTAACCTGATATCTTTAAAGTTTCTACCTCATTTAAGCAAAAAGGCCCACTTTTGACTCTATACTCATTTCCAACTTCTCCTTACCTTGGGGCTCTGCCTAAGACCTAAAGGATGGCACTTGTCCAGAGAAGGGGACTGGGCACTGCAGCCAGAGGGAGGGACAAGGCTCAGGGCTTTGTAGCACTTCCCTTGGTTCTCATCCAGGATCTGCAGGCCATGGGAACTAATTAGGGTCTTGGCTGAAATATTGCATCCTCAGAGAGGCCCTGTCTAAGCCCAGAAAACCAGGAAGTCTCTAGTGCATAGTTCTTTCCCTTTATGTCTCTTATGACAATGGTGATTGTTTTGTTACTGGTGTGGTTACTATTTTATGACCCTCTCTTCTAGCAGTCTCTAAGTGCCATGACATTGGAGGCCATGCCTGATTTGCTCATGATTGTACTCCCAACACCTAACACGGTGCCTGGCACATGGTAGACACTCACTAAGCATTGCTGGAATGGATGGATGGATGGATGGATGGATAGACGGATGGATGAATGGTGAAGCTGAGATCCAAATCTAGGCTGACTCAAAAGCCCATGATCTTCCCACCATCTTAATTCCAAGGCTGCCAGCATGGTTGAAAAATCAGATTATATCCAGGCAGGAGGGCCTTCTTGTCAAAGTCAAGGCCAAGATCAATGGGGGAAAGGATCAGGTAAAAGCAAAAGATCCAGATGTGCAAATTCCCTTCAATGAGGCAGATGTGACCCAGTGATTCCATGCCAGGCGTAACCGTTGCATCTGGTTGCTCATTTCCATTAAAGGAATTGTAGCAGGTGCAAAAACCGGAGATTATCCCAAGAATTAAGATATGAAAAGCATGTTAGATCACTAAATTCCAATTAGGGAAATTAAATTGTGCACACTCCCTTCCTGACGCAATATTGGGAGCTTGCATTAGCTCTGGGCTCCGGTTCTAATAAAATTAGAGAATAACACTTTAATTGAATTGTGCTTAAAAGGATCATGCTGACAAATGTGATTGTATCTGGCTGGGATGCACACCTTCTCCAGCAATCATTAAATCCAATGAAATGCCAGTCTCAGGATCCTGACAGTTTTCTGAAACAATCTGTGAACCGTGCTGTATCTTGGAGTATCTAATCAATTTAGAGCCGCCTCATTAGGACTTGGCTGCTAACGGATACTTAAAAATCAAAGCAAATTACTGCACTCCATGGATAACTAGCTAATCATATCGATACAACACGGCTGGACTGTGTTGCAACAATTCATTTCCTCTTTAAGAAGCCACTGTCACCTATAATTTAGGGATTGAGATTCATAAGCCTGATGCAGACAGCTCCGATGTCAAGGATTTTCCCGAGCACAGGGCCAAGGGGTGCACATCACCCCAGCTAATTAGGATAAGCTAAAGCCAGCCTCTGACCCCCATCATTCACACCCTACCTCATTCCCAGATATTGAGCCCAAGACTCTGTTGTGCAAAAGAAGAATCAGAGGTTCCGAGATGGGTAGCAACTTTCCCAAGATCACACAGCAAATGAGTGGCAGGGCCAAGATTTTGCCCTTCTTGACATCACATCAGACTTTCCAATATAATTTCAACAGAAAATTAGAACAGTGATTTTTCTTTCATCGATAGTTTACGTGAGTCCCATTTTAATGATCTTACTAATAATGAACATCACCATCTTCATTATAATACCAATGGCCTATCCTTATACAGAACTTATTAGAAATAGAATTCATTTAATCCTCTCAACATTCCTAGAGGTATGTTCTGTGATTATTGTGATAGGTGTTAATGCTGTCTACTAAATATGTCTGGCTCTCCTGCTCCAGGATACATGGTAGGTCTGTACTTCTTGGCTTCCTGGGGTCAAATTGGCCAGGTGGCTGGTTCTAGCCAAAGAGTTGTGAATTGAAGGACTGTGTGTTATTTACAGGCAGAGCATTTAATTTATGTTTCAAGATCTCTACCATTCTTTTTTCTTCTGCTTCATCAGGCTGAAATATTTGAGTCAGTGGCTGCCCCGAATACAGTAAGCAGAAGCTCCTAGCTAACCAACAATGGTGAAGTGGCATGAATTAAAAGTAAACCTGTGCTTTTGGAAGCCTCTGAGATTTTGGGTTTGTTTGTTATTGCAGCATAACCCAGCTTGTCCCGACTGATGGAATCATCACCCCCATTTTACACATGAGGAAACAAAAGCACACAGACATGAAGTGGCTAGAGCTAGGTCATATTCGGACCTGTTGGTCAATTTCTCCACAGCCCGGATGTCTCTTTGGGCCTGCAGAGTCACAGTGAGTGATGGGTGCTGGGAGCTGCTTTTCAGAGATACAGGTCAGGCGTGTTGAGACCACTTGCCCCTGCCACTCAGCTCATGCTTGGGCAGATGTACTTTTTAATCTGCTCTTTTTTAGGCATGTGAACCACTGGCTGCTCTGAAAAAAGTCCTTTTAATGTCTTCAGAGATAAACTCATCTCATCTTCAAAGATGCGAGTCCATGCTTCACCAAAAGGAGTCTCTTTGATGGAGAAATTCCAGGCACAGGGAAGGCCTAAGCAGGAAGCTACATTCCACAGGGACCTTTCTGCACCCACCCTCCGAGCCTGACTATGCTGGCAGCCATGGGTTTTAGCTATGGATGAGGAAGACTCTGCAGCTATGCTCTCCTGAGAGTGCCGTGCCATTGGCCTTGCAGAACCTCTAAGGTGTTGGCTGCTTGGAGTTCCAGGAGCAGTTTGAGGGGTGGGGTTGGGGGAGGGAATCTGAGACCCCAGAGCTTGAAGAAGGAGTGGAGGAGAAAGTTTGTAGAAATTGTATACAGCTTCAGGAAATGTATACCCTTGGCGAGCCATATCTGAGTCAGTTAAGACAATAATTGCAGGCCTTCCCGACACAGAGAGAGGGCAGGATGGCAGGACCTGCTATTATCATGTTCTCTCAGGCACAACAGCTTGTTTACAGGAGGGCTGTGGACTGCAAAGTGATTGTCTGGTGGCTCCGGAGGCAAAGGCTGCTCCCCACACCCCCTGGTTGGGCCCAAGCCTGGCCATCAACCTCAGTGCTTAATCCTGGGGTGCCCATTGCCAGGATGCTCCAGGGAGCAGCCGCTGGGGTGCAGATGGTTAACCAGGTGCCATTATCAGCTCCCATCCATACCTCAAGTCTTCTCCACCTGCCAGAGGCCCAGAGAAAGCCAGCACTGCCCTGGCCGGGATATTTAGTTGGAAGGCACTTAGGACCTAAAGGCAAGACATCCAAATTCTGGTCTGAACTCACTGCTCACCCACTGTGGGACCCTGGCTGGGTCCTTCCCTATCACATCCTCAGTAGTCTCATTTTAAAATACAAGAGTCCCAGCAGATCAGCGTTTTTCAAGTTCAGATTATATTTCCAACTCTTTGAGGGTGTGTGTGTGTGTGTGTGTGTGTGTGCCTTTCTTGTGGATGCCAAGGTTTGACACAGATTATTTTTATTTTAATGTTACTTCCATATTTATACGTATGTCACAAACAACAGAAAACAATGGTGGCTAATTTAAGCAGAAATCATATTAATGAAAGGATATAGGGTACATTATAGATGGTCCCTGAAGATCACAGAAAAAGAATGGAGGCTTCAGCACATCAAACCACATGGCAGAATGGGTCCTGCAGAGCCTGGTGTGGGGCTGCAGCTGGTGTCAATACCAGCGCTATCTCTACAGATACCACCCAGGCTGCCCCCTAGATACTGCTGCTGGAGTAGGGGTAGCAGCCACCCTGGCAGCCAACCTTCCCTAAAAGGTTTTCACATAGCCTTGCTCTTTTTTCTTTTTCTTTCTCTCTCTCTCTTTCTTTCTCTTTCTTTCTTTCTTTTTCTTTCTTTCTTTCTCTTTCTTTCTTTCTTTCTTTCTTTCTTTCTTTCTTTCTCTCTTTCTTTCTCTCTTTCTTTCTCTCTTTCCTTCCTTCCTTCCTTTCTCTCTCTCTCTTTCTTTCTTTCTCTCTCTTTCCTTTCCTTTCCTTTCCTTCCTTCCTTCCTTCCTTCCTTCCTTCCTTCCTTCCTTCCTTCCTTCCTTCCTTTCTCTCTCTCTCTTTCTTTCTTTCTTTTTTTTGAGATGGAGTCTTGCTGTGTCACCCAGGCTGGAGTGCAGTGGTGCGATCTTGGCTCACTGCAACCTCCGCCTCCCGGGTTCAAGTGATTCTCCTGCCTCAGCCTCCTGAGTAGGTGGGATTACAGGTGCCTTCCACCACATCCAGCTAATTTTTGTACTTTTAGTAGAAACATGTTTTCACCATGTTGGCCAGGCTGGTCTCAAATTCCTGACCTCCAGTGATTCACCCACCTTGGCCTCCCAAAGTGCTGGGATTAGAGGCGTGAGCCACCACACCGAGCCTGGTTTTCTTAGTTTGCTGAAGGCCTGGTTGCCAACTCTGATGGTTTTCAGTCCTCATCCTGCTTGCTTTCTGTGTGCGGGGAACAGTGTCCCTCATTCCTGGGTTCCTCCTTGGCCCCTGCCTGTGCTGCTTTTGCTGGCCACCTCGTTTGGTGTATCCCTGAGAGGTAGCTCCTCTCTGGAGCTCCACCTCCCACCTCAGTGCTCTCCTTGGCCCAAGCCTGGGTATGGGGAGCTCAGTTGTCTGCCAGGACAGCTCCTGATTGCCCCTCCTCTGGCTCCTCTGCCCTGAGCCTATCTGTCTCCATACCCTCCTCCTCAGTATTTCTTGGGTCACGGCATTTCTCTTGCCCCAGTTACCCAATCAGTCCGTGTTCCTCCTCATCATGTTGGGTCAATTCTGCCCTCTAGCTCCCTCAAAGCTCACACCTGGGTCTGTTCCACCACCAGAGATACTTGAAAAAAGGGCTGGGGACCCAGGGTTGAGGAATCAACGTCTCCATACCTAGAAAGGCCACAGTCCACAGTGCAACTCCAAGTGTGCTCCATGGACTGACAGCCCTGCCTCTCCTTTTTCTATCACAAGCTTCCAGTCAAAGTCTGGTGAGAGCACATCTGATTGGTGGATCCAGGTCAAGTGATTGTTTTCTAGCTGCAAGGGAAGATGCGAAAGCATATTCCTGGCATTTCCAGCTTTTCCATTAGGAAGTGGATCCTGATTCATTAGGTGGGGATTCCACAGTCA
This sequence comes from Homo sapiens, assembly GCF_000001405.40. Taxonomy (NCBI): domain Eukaryota; kingdom Metazoa; phylum Chordata; class Mammalia; order Primates; family Hominidae; genus Homo; species Homo sapiens. The sequence continues at coordinate 54,973,174 of NC_000016.10, forward strand.
TAGAGGAAGAGAGTTCAAAGGTCATGAGGTCAGCAAGAGTTCCCTACAAGTTACAAATATAAAACTAGCTTATAGCCCTTATAATGCTATAAAATGCAAACATATTGATGAATGAAATATAAATTTTAAAGAAGCAGTAACATTCACTTATTAAAACCACTTATTTAAGATGAACAACACTGTTTTGCTGAAACCAAATCACTACTTGAAGTAAGAATATGATGCTGACTGCTACATCAATGCTCTTCTGAGTTGTGGAAACGTTATGTAATACATTTGCCAATTGGTCTTCATTTGGCACTAAGACTTCTTCCCATATTAAGTTTATCTCTGTTCTTTTCTCCTTAGCCCTTGACAATTATACTTGTACTTTTTGATACCAATATGATTGTAGGCACAAAAGCAGATATGACATTGGAAAGTGTGGTAGTTCTCAGTTATGTGGTCATCCCAGTGGCCCAGAATATTCTGAAATAGTAATAAATGTGAAAACTCTTTACAGTCTCCAAAGTATCCTACGATGTAAGAAATTCTCTCCTGAATAGAAATGCTCCTCCTGAAATGGTAGACATCAGTCTTGCTTCACAGTATTTCCAGATCTTCTTCCTTTCCATATACACAGGGGAATTACATTTCCTTCTCTCTTCAACATCAGGTGTGGTTTTGTGACTTGCCCAGACCAATGACTGTGTCACTTTTGCATGGAAACATTTCTGAGTTGATTCATGATTTTCAACTTCCCCTTCACACTATCATGATGGCTAGTGATATTCCAGGTGGTGTCTCTGCTATCCTAAGTGAATGAAGATGACATGGAACAGAGCCCTTGCCAACATATGATGACATGTAGTATAAGTGAGTGAATAAATCTTTCTTATATTAAACCACTGAGGCTTTTAAAGTTATTCGTTGCGCAGCATGGCCTAGCCTGTCCTGACTGACACACTTAGTAAGGCATGGATTACAATTGCTGTCATCTCCTTTTTATACAACAAATACTTCTTCATAAGCACAGAGAGTTTGAGAACCTTGCTCAAAGTCAGACAACTAGAAAAATTCAGATACAGGACTCCAATTCCCAGTCCAAGTCATTCCAAATCCCATGCTTCTCCTAGCAATTCCCAAAGCTGAGAAGACGGAGTTCCAGCAACCAGCAGCAAGGCTGATCGAAAACATGGTATGTCTTAGTGGCTGGAGTCCATGTATTTCGAGGCACCAGTGTAAGCGATCATTTTGAGTGCCAAACACATTTGTACTACAGAGCTTCCCAACTTTAACAATGGGGCATTCTGAATCTTTGGATTTAAAAAGTCATAGTTCTCAAATTCCCCTCCACTGCCGGGGAGGTTGACATGATGATAGATGCATTTGGAGTGGTTGAGCTTCCGTTCCAAGAAGCACTCTGAGGCCATAAACCTGTTCACAAGAGTGATGTGTGTCCCTGGGTCTGTGGGTGGTCATGCAGTTTTTGAGAGAAGGACTCTACTTTCTGCCTTGAGGGCTCCGCCCACCTTCACTTGAGAAACAAACCTCTCATCTGGAGGCAGAAAATGTGGCTTATAGGACAGGTGGCTCAGGAAAAACACCAGGGCTGATTGCAATGCTCCCAGTCACTCCTCGCAGGATGATATTAGGGGGAAGTAGGCAGAAATTGCATATTTTAACCAACATTTTCTCCAAGGGAAGTAACATTTATTGGGGACTTAGAGCTCAATTCTAGTCACATGTTTTGAGAACCAAGTGCTTCCTATGGGTTCCTGAGCATTTCCAACTTGAGGTTTCTTGCCAAGCCATCTGGGCTGAGAACAGGTATATTAGTCAAAGATCTTCAGAAAAACAGAACCAATGTCCAGATCTACATCCATATATCCGGCTTCTGTTTTCTATATATACGGAGAGAGAGAGAAAGAGAGAGAGAGAGAGATAGAGAGAGAGAGAGATTTACTTTCAGAAATATCGTGAGGCTCACACCTCACAAGATTAGGGTTGGCAAGACTCAAATCATCTGTAGGGCAAGTTGGCAGGCTGCAGATTCAGGTAAAAGTTTTTGTTGCTATCTCGAGTCAGAAGGCTAGTATATTGGTCTGTTCTTACACTGCTATAAAGAACTTCCTGAGACTGGGTAATTTGCAAAGGAAAGAGGTTTAATTGACTCACAGTTCCGCATGCCTGGGGAGGCCTCAGGAAACTTACAATCATGGCAGATGAGGAAGGGGAAGCAAGGACCTTCTTCACATGGCAGCAGGAGAGAGAAGTGCAAGCAGGGGAAATGCCAGATGCTTATAAAACCATTAGATCTCATGAGAACTCATTCACTATCAGGGGAACATCATGGGAAAACCACCCCCATGATCCAATCACTTCCCACCAGGTCTCTCCCTCAACACCTGGGTATTACAATTCAAGATGAGATTTGGGTGGGGACACAAAGCCTAACCATATCAGCTAGAAACTCAGGTGGGATTTCTATGTTGCAGCATTCCTTCTTTGGGGAAATTGCAGGCTTTGTTCTTCAGGCCTTCAACAAATTCCATGAGACCCACCCACATTCGAAAAGGTCGTCTGCTCTAGTTAAAGTCAACTGATTGTAAATGTTGATCATATCTTAAGAATAACTTTACAGCAACATCTAGACTAGTCTTTGACCATACAAAGACTAGGTTACCACAGTCTAGCCAAACTGACACATAAAATTAACCATCATATCAGGATCAATCCTAAAAATGTGCACTGGGGAGAGGCTTATATATGAACAATGAGGCCAGCTAAGGCCTTATGGACCACAACTATATACAAGAAATTCCACTTCCTTTAAAAATTATCAAATTATTTTTATTTTTTTTTCTTTAGTAAAGACAAGGTCTCGCTATGTTGCCCATTCTGGTCTTAAACTTATAAGCTCAAATGATCCCCCTGCCTTGGCCTCCCAAAATGCTGGGATTACAGATGTGAGCTACTGTGCTCACCTTTCCTTTTTTTTTTTTTCTCCCAGAAACGGTGTCGCTCTGTTGCCCAGGCTGGGGTGCAGTGGTGCAATCATAGCTCACTCTAGCCTTAAAACTCCCACCTCAGCCTCCCGAGTAGCTAGGACCACAGGTGTGTGCCAGCACTCCTGGCTATTTTATTTTTATTTTTATTTTTATAGAGATGGGGTCTCACTATATTGCCTAGGCTGATCTCGAACTCTTGGCCTCAACTGAAGATTTCCACTTCTGATGTCTCCAAACTCCTAGCTCCAACTCCAGTTTGGGGCTCTTCTGATGAGTGATAACATTTGATAAAAGTAATAATAAAGATAGCAGATAGCATTTATTAAGGCCTATGCTTTACATACATGCCTCCATCTAACAGAACATCCCTGTGAAGTGGGAACTATTACTATTCCATTTCACAGGTATGAAAACTGAGACAGAGAGAGAGATGCAGTTAGAGCAGTAAGGACTGGAGCCTAAATTCCTCTCACCATCTATTCTTTCCCTCATAAACTTCCTCTGTAGTTCACTGTGGAGGGAGCTGCCAATTCATTTTCTTCATCATGGAGCCAGAAACACCGATGATCTGGAACTGTGTAACCCAACAGATTCTTTCTGTCTGTCTAGGGTACAATTGGCCCCAGGACCCTATGTAACCAGGGTTATTTTAGTTCTTCGCTGGGAAGAAAGCACCTGCCTCTTTGCATCTGCCAGAGCTGTCAGCTCTTCCTTTCTGTCATTTATGCAGCGTCTTACTCATTCAAAACATTTGTTCAGTATCCACTCATTCCAGTGTTAGGATGTAATCATGAATAACAATGTTGATAATGGTGGTGGCGATGCTGCTGCCGCCGCCGCCGCCGCCGCCACTGGTAACGATGATGAGGCAAAGGTGGTGGCGATGGTGATGATGACAGTACAGCCTCCTGGATGGGGTCCGATCAGTGCAAGACTAACACCTCCCTTGCACTAGACATTATGCTTCTTCTACACATACATCCTGTGCTCATGGTCAGGGGAGCTGATTTCCTGCTCCTTGTTAATTTAATGCCCTGGCAACCTGTTAGCATACACAGCTGTAAACAGGCGCCATCACCCTCATTACACCCTGGGAACTTCCATGTCTGTGTCCCCCAGAGCACGGGAGGCCCTATACCACAGCAGGGTAGAAATCAGGGATTCGGTCTCACACTTCAAGGTCTTATCTGCTTGTTACAGGGGCATGAGTGACAATGAGCAGTGGCTACATATATTCATCTCATAAAGGTAGGTTCTTACCCAGTCTCATCTGTGCTAGAGCCCCCTTAAAAGAGAAGCAGAAGTGGGGGCCGTTTCCTCTGGCCTTGCCACCTTATCAGCCTCTGCCAGACCAAAGGCTGGGGACTATGGTAAGTCCTCACTTAGCATTTGTAGGTTCTTGGAAACTGCAACTTTAAGCAAAACCACATATAACAAAACCAATTTTATTATAGGTAGTTGGAGTAATCAAGAGTGAAGTTCCTGGCACATTTCTGGCCACAGAAATATCACCAGACTTCTAAATAAAGACCAAAACATTCCAACATTATACGTTGAAATACATGTGAGCTACACATACACTTAAGAAAGGTTAATACAAACACATGAGATCATAATTTATCCGCTTATTCTTATTTCAGTTCAGGGTAGAGGGTGGCTGGAGCCTATCCCAGCAGCTCAGGGTGCCAGGTAGGAACCCACCCTGGATAGGATGCCATCTCATCCCAGGGTGACTGCTACACGCATCCACACTCACTCACACTGGGACCACACAGACGCACCAGTTCGTGGAACATGTGCAGCTTTGGGGTGTGGGAGGAAACCGGAGTACCTGGAGAAATCCCAGGCAGACGTGGGGAGAACGTGCAGACTCCACACAGACAGAGGCCCCAGCCAGGAATCCATTTTTTTTTCTCATCAACGTTATAACAAAATGACATTGAATGGACCATTATTCGAGGGGCTGCTGAACGGTGAACATGTGCGGCTCTTTAATGAAGGGCCGGCTACGTCTCAGAAAGGTCAAAAAAAGGAGAAATGAGGGTTGTGTAGGATCCCTCGCCTGGTCATTCCCTTGTTCCAGGAAGGCCTCTGAAGACTCAGATATTAGCAGGGATGGCCCCTGCTTTTCCTTCCACCCCATAAAACTGTGGATGATCTTTCTCTGCCTGATTCTCTCTCTCTCTCTCTCTTTTATACCTTTTCACATCTCTCCGTACAAGGCATTTTCAAGCTCTTCAAAATGATGACTACAACAGGTCCTCAAGAAACTCTGATTCCTACAGGCCAAGAGAAAGGGGTTCCACCCACAACTGTTTTCCTGTGTCTCTCATAGAGCCTCCAGCTTTGGCCAGACCCTCAGCTCTCCCAGCTCAGCCATTGCAAGCCCCCAAATGGGCCTTGGGATGGGCTCAAGTCCCATGAGTGAGGGTGAAGGTGGACACTCCATTCCGCTTCCTTCTCCCCATTCAAGAGACACACGCCAAAGTTCTTACTAGGTCACCTCCCAAGCCAGCAGAGCCCACTGCAGTGAGCATCTGGCTTCTTTGGAGACAGCTCAGTGACCCCCATGTAGAGGAGGGACTATTTCTCCTATTTGTGTGGCTTTGCGGCTGCCCACTGGGAAACGACTGCCACCTCCATTCTCCACTCTTATCGTGCTAAGAAGCGTTTCTGCTCTTTCTTCTCCTGCCTGAGGCTGGAGTCTACGACCCCTCCTGATAGGGACAGACACCAGTTCATTCTGCCAGGTATGTTTTCTTGCTTTATTCTCCCTTCTATCCCGTGAGACCAATTTTGTGCATTTGAAGAATCCAGGGCTCAGAGAAGTGAAGTAACTTTTCCAAGATCACCCAGCAAGTAAGCTGGGAGCAAGATTTCCAACCAAATATGCGGATGCTGCATAAGGTAGAGCAGTAGCAATTGTTCCAATAGATAAACCTCAGAATCTCATTGGTTTGACAAAGAAAAAAGTGACCAGTATGTCATGGTCCAGGGACTCAGGCACCTTCTCTCTTGTGGCTCTGTCCTTGGCAACGCTTGATTCCTGATGTCACTCTAGGGTCATTTCCGGTCCAGCCAGCCTGAAGTGGGAAGAGCATACAGGATCACACAGGGAAGGAGTTTCGGGGAGGTTTATATGCACCCCTGACCCTTTCCCTCTAAGGCCAGACCTCTCTTCCTTCCCGAGCAGCCTTAGAACCTTTCAGTAGGCTCCAGGAAGCCTCTACAGACGAACTGAAGCTGACAGCTAAGATGCAACTTTATTGCCTTCTTGATTTGAGTGGTCTCAGTCAACACACATTTCCTGGCTAGTTTGTTTTACCACAGGGAGGGGGAGGAGCGGGGGGGCGGTGGATAGAGGACACCTTAACTGTCAGGAAACATTACGAAAGGCTTTGAAATGGGCAGAAAAAAAAGTTGCTGGGTGTCCTGTTTAGATCACCTTTCTGGATTATCTCCACATTTCCTAGTCTTTGAGCTATTTTATAACTCTGAAAATTGTAGGAAAGCAAAATGCAAACAATTCTCGTCCATGGGAATGCAAAGACATTTTGTTAGGTCAGAATGCAACTGATTGATGCCCTGTGAATAGGTTATTTTTGCATCTATTTGTAACTTCATTTCAGTTTTCTCATTTGCCTGTGTGTGTGTGTTCTTTGAATTCTTTGAATTCTCCTTTGAAGAGATAGTAACATCTTATAGTTGCCTCATTAATTAATGAGTTAAATAAAATCTTTGACACCTGTTCATTTTATATTTGTGTGCGAGTCATGATTTTACTCTTTATATGCATCTTAAAAATCCTTTAACAACTAATAATTCCTAGAGGGAGGAGGAAAACCTATAAAACATCATACTTCCCCGCTTCTCAGGAGCCTCACACCCATCCTGGAAGACAGGCAGGACAAGGACTGCTAGTTCCATTTTGCAGTTAAGGAAGCTGAGACCCAGAGAGGGGACTGCCAGATACCAAAGACAACACTGTGAGAAATGGTGGAACTGAGAATTCAGACCTGGGTGTGTTTGATTCTAAAACCTGTATTCTTAACCACGGTGTCTCATTTCCCAACCAATTCTTCCTTGAGGAAATGGCATATTAGCACAACAGATATCCATACTTTTCCCATTTGGAAAATGACGAAACTGAGGCTCAGATAAGTTAAATGACTTAGAGATAAATCTGGGTCCAGAATCTGGTCCTTGAACCACTGTTTCCTGGTGTATCCTTAGGTAATACAAGTGAGTATCTTTTTTTTTTTTTTTTTTTTGAGATGGAGTCTCCCTCTGTCACCCAGGCTGGAACGCACTGGCACAGTCTCAGCTTAATGCAACCCCTGCCTCCCAGGTTCAAGTGATTCTCCTGCCTCGGCCTCCCGAGTAGCTGGGATTACAGGGGCATCACCATACCCTACTAATTTTTGGATTTTCAGTAGAGATGGGGTGTCTCCATGTTGGTCAGGCTGGTCTCATACTCCTGACCTCAAGTGACCCGGCTGCCTTGGCCTCCCAAAGTGCTGGGATTACAGGCGTGACCCACCACGCCCAGCCTCAAGTGAGTATAATTTTCTAGCTAGTATGTTTCTTGAACATCTGGTCTAGCTTTTGTTTTGGTGTGTGTGTGTGTGTGTGTGTGTGTGTGTGTGTGTGTGTGTGTGAAGATTGCTGGGCAGTTTTGGTTCCTAAAATGCTCTCTGAGCCTTTATTCATAGACACATAAGTGAGGTGGAACCCAAGTCAAAGCAGGCAGTATCTGCCTTGTTCGTTTCAGGCTGGGCCCTGGAGATGGACAGGGGCTGTAGAGCTGGCACAGCTGCTCTTCTGTGGTCATGGGAAGGTCATGGCCTGTAGAGGTTTCCTGCTCACAGGGCTCTGCCCAGGACTTGCTAAGGCCAAGCAGGGTCAGGCCGGGGAGGTGGAGGCGTCTGGAACTGCAGAAGACTCATGGGCTTTGGGGTCAGGCCAGCCTGGGTTCAAATCCTGCCTTGGCCGCTTATGAAATGTATGTTGGACCACGTTACTACATCTTTCTGGGTCTCTGTTTCTTCATCTGTAAGGGGGAGATCATCACCCTAACCTCACAGGGGGCCACAGTCCAGCCTCCCTCCCTTTCCACCAGGCCCCATGCCTGTGGCTGCTTCTGCCCACAAGAGGTGTGTTTGCCAGCCACACTCATCATATGGGCCTGCAGCCTCCTAGGCAGTCACCAGTGGTTGGTGTGGAAAGTGTGCAGAGGTCTCAGAACCATCTTACCATCTGTGCCTCTTTCCTCTCTCTGATAAGAAAGCTCACTCACTTCTGCAAGATGGCTGAGACTTGCCATAGCCCACACATCAAGTGGCATTGGTATTTGCTCACAGAGTGATTCAGACTCAGACAGAGGAACAGAGAACGGCAGAGCCAGGCCTAAAACCCAGGCCCTCTCCCTCCCAAGTTGGGACTCCCGAGCCTGGGCTGGGATCCCTGATAAGGTCGGTCAGGTTGTGGCTCAACCATCTTATTTATTTCTATGTCGCAGAGAAAATCTACCCCTAGAAAAGTCCAGGACCTGCCCCACTATTCAAGCTGGCTATTCTGGGCGGTTGCGTCACCTCTAGACCCTTGTTTTTGACTCCTGCAGGCCCAGGTCCTGCGGGAATCCTCTGTAAACTTTACCTCTCGTCAATGGTCTCCGTTCAGGAAAATTGGCTCCTTTGACACCGTTTTAGACAAACCATAATGTGTGTGGAGCTGAAAGAGGTTCTATTTACAAGTCTGCAGGAAATAGCCCTGGGCAGAGGATGGTAATTGTAGGGTGAAGGTCACCGGGGGCTCGGAGGGGAGAGAGGACCGCTCCAGGGCAATAGCAGCCCAGCCCGAGGAGGCCTAGGAAGCCCCTTCCCTAGAGCCGGGGGCAGGTGTGGTGAGCTCCAGTTAGCGGGTAGGCATTGTGGAGTCAAGGGCATCAGCGGTGCTGTAATGGGCAAGAGAGGTTTCAAGGTCTGCCTCTGCCTGCGGGACCTGCAGAAACAGGAGAAGATTTGGAAAAGGTGGGGAGGTCTTTCCTGTTGCCTGCTTCACACTCTCTCCCCAAATGCTCTTCCCCAAGTATTTAAATGGTTCACACTCTCTCTTCATTTGGCCTAGTTGTAAAGTGACTTGGTCAAATCTCCTGGCCCCTTAAGATTACAGCTGGACTTTGAACCTAGGTTCAAATATGACCTTTCTGATGGCCATTCTCAGCCCCGCCCTCCACCCCCCAGCCCGCCATCCCGGCCACTATTCCCCTAATCTACCTTATTCTTCTTCATGACATCCATCATCTTTTAACATATTGATTAATTTATTGGTGTACTGTCTGTCACTTCCTTCTACAACGTAAGATCCACGAGGGCATGGGGCTTTGGTTTGTACATCATTGTAATCCTAGTGCCTAGAACAATGCCTTTATAAATGGTGCTCACCAAGAGATGGGGAATGAATGAACCAAACAGCAAATGAATGAATGAATGGAGGGAATTACTTAGCCTTAATATCAAGGGCCCTTCAGGTTCCCTCCCACAAGGTGTACCATCTCCCAGGGTAGAGGCGAGTCCGTCATGCAGTAAACCTTGACCTCCAGGTCATGTGACCCACGGATCCTGTTCATTCAGAGCTCACACTGGTAGAAGTCAGGGAGTCACCCAGACAGCTGTCCGCAGGGCGGTCAGGGCAGAAGTTCTGAGGCCCAGGGAGTGGGTGATGTGTCAGAGATCACCCAAGATCAAGGTGTGACTGAGGTGAGGTTCCTAGCAGCCCTCTTGCTCTTGGTCCCCTGAGCCAAGCTCCCGCATGGATTCTCACTTAGCAGATAAAAAAATAGAGCAGGGAGCACACAGCCCACTGGCGTCCTCGCTTCAGAGTCCTGACGGGAGGTGGCCTTGGGCTGTGGGATTTAGATGTGCGGAGAAGGGCCCTTGGGGTCCCCTTGCTGCAAGGGGCCTAGAGAAGTGACATCATCACACTGATTTCTTCCAAGCTGTATCCTCAGCAGGACATCACTCTGACCAGGTTGGTCTTCGCTCCACTTATGGCTGTGTGACCAGTGCTGGTCACTTAGCCCCTGGGGCCTCCCAACTAATGGTGGTCATGACTCAAATTAGCCAGAAGAAAAGGGCTCCTGGGTGCGTTTGAACCCTCAGCAGCCAGTCCCCAGGAGAGACCAAGGAACAGGCTCTGCTTACCCACGGAGGAGGCCAGGCCCGTGAGAGGGTAGAGGCCAGTTACCTCAGTCTGGCCTCAGTATTTTTAGCATCTTCCCCCCTTCCCTCCCTCCCACAAGCCACTAGCCCACTCCTTGCCCAAATAACAGTCACCAAAATAGCCCTGGCAGTTGACTGAGGGGGTACTGGGAGGGCCCCTTCCCTCCTGCCAGTCAGGCAGGCGTGAGCAGAGGCCCTGGGGCTGGGTGAGACCCAGGCGGAGGCTGTTAATTGTACCTTTGGCCCGAATTAAAAAAAAAATAGCACTCCTTGAGGCTGATGGCAGTGCTGGTTCTGAGGAGCCAGGTTCCTGCGCTTGCGAGGGATGCCTTGGAGTTTGGACTCCCCCAGAAGGCAGCGGCCAAGTGGACAGACTGATCAGAGAGTGTTACAGGGGTCCTACAGACTGGGAGCCTGAGGGTCAGAGCCTATGCTCACCAACACCTCTTCAGGGAGACCGTCACTGACCACTCTGGCTAAAACAGTGTCCGGCAACTGGCCTGTCACCTGCTTCTTTTTCCTCCATAGCACTGGTCACTGCTCGATGTGACATTACTTGTCTGTTTGCACATTTATTTCTTGTCTCTCCTGCCAGGCAGGGAGCTGGTCTATTTGATCCCAGCCTGGTCCTCAGCACCTAGACTAATGCCTGGAGCTCAGGAAATTCAACATAATTCAGTGAGGAAGAAAACCACAGTGCCCAGTAGATCTGGCCAGTCCTGAACCTAGATTCAAATATGACCTTTCTGATCACCATTCTCAGCCTCCCCTTTGCCCCCTCTGCCGCCCAGTCCACTATTCCCCTAACCCGCCTTATTCTTCTTCATGGTATCTATCACCTTTGAACACATTAATTTATTGCGGTACTGTCTGTCTCTTCTTTCCACAATATAAGGAAGGAATGTCTCCTCGGCTTCCGCCATGCAGTGGAAAGCCAGAAGCAGAGAAGGAGAAGAAAGAAACAAGGTCCCCGACAGCGCCAGACTCCCCAAACCAGCCCCCAAACACCAGGAAGAACAGCCTTTCCCATGTGCCCCTCTATCTACCGACTTTAGAGACTACCCTGTGTCCTCATGACAGCCTGGGACAGCAGGGATAGTCCCTGTTTAATAACAATGAACAAAGCACTTTCTAATGGCTTGATTTATGTAACTAACAGGTAATTCTGGTTACTATTGCCATCTTATTGATGATGAAACTGACACTCTGAGAAATAAGGTGACTTGGTCTAATACCCTGACCCCTAAAGATGAGAGCTTGGATTTGAACCTAGGCAGCCTGGCCCCAGAGGCCCTGCTCAAAGTCTGCATGAACAGCCTGTTGTCTAAGGAGAATGCTGAAGTTTAGTTGTATGGACCTTCCCTTAGCCAGATGAGAATTTCCTCCTCCCACTTCTGTTCACGTCACCAGCAGCAGTGCCCCCACATCTCTGGAAGGGTTGCTACGTATGTGCATTAGTGCATTACCCTGTCACCTCCTTTGCTTTTCCTGGTCGTACTGTGATCATCCCATCTCATCCTTATTTTTCAGAGCTAGCAACAGAGGTGCAGAGAGGCTAAGTGACTCTCCTAAGGTCATTCGGAGTAGAATCTCCTGATTTCCTCAGCTTTCACAGTGCACCCACCCCTCTTGGCCTCTCTCTCTCCCACTCCCTGCCTCTCCACTGCTGTGACACAGGCCCAGCCTGCTGGAGCCCTGGGCCCTGCCTGGGGCTGGCAGGCTGTAGCCAGGAGCCCTCCTCACCCAGCACTGGGTGGCTGTTAAATGCCTTCTTGACTTTTTATGAGTTTTGTCACCCCACCACGTGCCAAGTTGCCTTTAAGGCAGTGCTATTAAGGCGAATCATCGAGATTAATAAATACATATATAAGGGGTTGGGCAGTGGAGAGTGTTCTTCAAGAGCCCAGGCTGCAGACAGAGGACACTGTGCCTGTGAGAACTGCAACCTCAGCTCGCGGCCTGTACGGCCCACCCTGGCCTGCTGGGCTTCTCCGAGAGTCAAGGGACCTGGATTCTAGAATCCCTTCCACACCTTTGATCCTTGGCCTCCTGATCTTGCCAATGGGAACATGCATCTGTACTTCCGTGATCTTCTGCACGGGTCTGGCTAGGGTCACAAGTTCTGGGACACAGGGTTTTAAGGCTGTGTCTGCAGGAGATGCTACTTTCACCAGGGGTTTCAGACGCTCGTATCTGGGGAATCCACAGACTCCTCGGGGTCCTCACTCACCCCACTCCCACTCTGCGTCAGCAGAACAGTTTCCCTTTGATGAGTTTCACACACACGGTCTCCCCAAGATTGTGTTTGAAGACAGAATCTCAGTAAATAAAAAACAAACTTGTGGGGAAAAAAACTGTTTATATTTTATTTTTAAATAGAGCAACACAGCAGCATACTACTAGAATAGGGATTGGCAAACCTCTTCTGCAAAAGGTCAGACAGTGGATATTTTGGGCTTTGCATGCTAGACGGTCTCTGGTAACTACTCAACCTGCTGTTGTGGCACAAAGGCAACCTTAGACAATATATGAGTGGCTGTGTTCCAACCAAACACTTTTTATGGACACTTAAATTTCATGTGGTTTTCACGTGCCAGAAGTATTACTCTTCTTTTAATTTTTTCCCCAATCATTTAGGAATTTGAAATCCATTCTCAGCCCACTGGCTATAAATAAACAGACAGCAGGCAGGACTGGCCGTGGGCCCCAGTTTTCTGACCCCCGTCGTAGTCGGAAAACCTGGATTTGAGTCCTTCTTGGTGGTCAGTTCACGGAGTGACTTTGAGCTTAGCTTCTTTAGCCTCTCTGGGACTCAGTTTCCCTGTCTGAGAAAAAATAGGGCCGAGGCCAAATGATCTCTGAAATCTTATTGCACTTTAAAACCTGATGGTGGAAATTTCAGAATTTTGCAAAGTGGATGGAAGGAGACACTTTTGCCGGGAATGAAGGAGGAAGCCTTCCGTTGCCCTAAAATCCCTTACCTGGGAAGAGAAAGGGGTGCTTTCTTGGCTATGCCTGGTTTTACTGTCCCCTGTGAGAGGTTAAGTAGATCTTGCGGTCTTCAAGAGGCCTGATGACCCACAGACAAAAGGTTTTTGGCTGAAACATTGGAAGCAGTCTCCCACCCCTTCCCAACTCCCAGCTGAGGCCCCTCACCATTCATTCCGCACCCCCTCCTGCTGCCTTGCTTAACAAAGACAAAGACAGCAGTTCACACTGTAATGTTCAAAATTGCTTGTTTCAGAACATCCCAGTAAACAAGCCCGTCTTTGTTTTAATCCCAGCCTAGCTTACTGTAGTTAATTATAGGAATTTGTGGCTATTTATGTGAACCGAAGACAGGCGAAAACATTCATTTGTAGGCCGTGTAAGTGGCGGGTGGGAATGGGCTCCCAGTACCGAGAGGACCTAGGTAGCATTTGTCCTAGGAGCCGTGCAAGGTAGTGAGAAGCCCAGGTGTGTAATTATTCCCTCTGCTCCCAAAAAGAGAGAAGGCTGCCATAGAAGGTGACACCTAATGACTGTTTTCAGCCCAACATGGGTAACGGGAAAAGCCCCATGTTTAAGGCAATTGCCTGAGCTGCGGGTCTTGCACCTGCCAGGTGAGCTGGGTTATTTATTTCTGGGCCTGTCCGCCGCCTGCCCCATGTTTCTGTCCCCAGTGGGTCTGGGGAGAAGGGAGCAGGGCCAAAGGTTCCCAGGGGCTTGCAGAGAGGGAAGGGGGGGCCGCCGTGGCTGGTGGGCATGGGTACCGCCTTTTCTTCCTCTTCTCCAGCCCGGGAGGAGCCACGGTTAGTGAGGAATGTTAACAAAGAGGAGACAGCACTGGCTAAACAGAGGCCCCACGACAATTCCTGGCCCAAACAAAGCTACCCCGGCCCCCACCCGCACGAGAAAACAAGCCAGGCCTTTGTGTACACTCAATAATTATTGCTTGCAATTACCCGAGTCAGGGCGGCCCGGCTGGGCTGGGGTGGCAGGAGTGGAGAGAGGCGCTGCTGAAAACTCCGCATCTTAAGGGGCACAGTACTTGCTGCTGGGGCCAATTCTCCAGGATGTTGCTAAACTGCCAGCCACTGGCCAGAAGAACCCCAAAAGGCCTGGGCATCCTATGCTGGACTCCGCATGGCCTGGACTTCTATTCTGAGCTATGCTGCTGGGAGCCCCACTGAGGCTCGGCCCACATCTCAGCCCAAAACCCTCCAGCCCCGTGCATTAGTAAGGCCACGGCCATGGTGGTTGTGCGCAGCTCTCTGTGCAGAACTCTCAGCCCCTAACCCCTGTTGACCATCTCTGAGCCTTCATGTGTCCCTCTCTCTGCTTCCTGGCCCCCAACCTTTTGCCCACTTCTTTTCCCCTTCTATCACCCCCTCCAAATCCGCCTACATTTGCATCTGAGAAGCCAAAGAAGTCTCTCAGTCCTGCTTAGCCTGTGCTAGTGTTCAACATCCATTCCTAGCTCTCTGCCTGTGCTCTCTAATTCTTCCTCCTTTATGACCCTTTATTCAAGCCTGTGCAGCCCCATCATCCAAGCCCCAGAGCCAGACCCTACCTCCTCCAGGAAGCCTCCCAGGACTGCTCTACTCAATGCTTACCTCTCCTTGCCGGACCTTTCACAAGTGAGTGATTCACTGTCTTGTAAGTGAGAACGTATGTATGTACCTATGTGTACATGAGTGTGGCTCTACCAACTCAGCTATGAGCTTAATTATAACAATCATTATAGAAATAATAACTGAACTCAACATTTACTGAGTGCCCATTATGTACCAGGGATAGCATTAGGTGTTTTCTAGGTATATATCATTTAAATCATATGATAATCTGAAGAGGTAGGTGCTATTATTTCCCCCATTTTATGCTTGAGGAACTGCTGCACAGAGAAGTTAAGTTACTTGTCCCAGGTCACAGAGCAGCAAGCAGAAGAGCTGAAGCCACTGGGGAGCTGGAGGTGGCACTGGACGGCTTATGAGAGCTGATCGGTCAGCCATTCCCATCTTTTCCCAACTCTGAATGCAATCACATTGGTGCCTTGAAACAGGTCACACTGGTGATATTTACACCACGGGAATCAGCAAATGCCCCAGTAAGAGCTTCCTCCCCTCTCCCCAGAAAGCCGGTTGTTACACACTGACCAGCACACTAGGGCCTGGACCTGCACTGTCTGTTTATAAGCTGGTGTTCCCTGCATTATAGCTTAGGGAGTCTGGGCATCTTCCCCACTGCCCTCCACACCACAGACAGTGCTGGGTGCTTAGGAATTGAGCTTGTTCATCTGTCCACCCCAAACAACAGGGATTTATTTCTGGGCTATTAGGTGAGAGGGAGTTTGGCTGGATGGCTGTAACTTGGATGGGGATAAAACCTCACCTTCCCCTGGCCCAAGTTTCCTTTGGTGCAAGGCTGTCCCTGTTATTCTTTTGTGAGCCCAGAGCCCCGGGCAGCCACGTCTCCACGTGGATAAGCATCCCCAGGCCTGACCTTGGCCAAGGCCCCTCACCTCTGCCCCGCTGCCAGGCAGAGCCGAGAACTGCAGACAGAGATCAATTAGAGACTAACTTCATCTTTGTTTCAAAAAAGCCAAGACAAGAAAAGCTGTGGATAATGTTAGAAAGAGTAAAAATTAGCCTTTTTCCAAGAGCCCCAGCAGGGTCGGGCCCGGAACGCCTGTCTCGTGAAGTTATTTTGGTTTCTCTGCCTGGTGGCTTGGAGCAATTTGCTGGGCACCCATCGGCCAGAGAGGCCAAGAGGCTCCTGCCATTGGGAGCTGCCTTTCTACACCGGCGTAATGATGGTTTCCGGGCAAGAGAGATCAATAGGGGATAAAAATATGTTTCCGTTACATCTGGACGCCCGCTCTGGGCGTCTCGCTGACTCAGAGACGCCCTGCAAGGAGCTGGAGTAGAAACCACTCAATACAACAGGTTCAGTAAAGCACTGCATAGAAAGGCTGTCTCTGACACCTCCTCAGGGCCTCAGAACCCCCAGATCCGAATGGGGAGACCACTGAGGAGACATCAGTGCAGGGGTGGACTTGATGTTCCCCACATTCTCACCTCCTGTCCTTGAAGAAGGTCCCTCTCAGCTGTCCACGGAGTCAGAGCAGTGAGGAAATGACCAGAGGGAGCCGGACGGCACTGCCTGCCCCTGATGCTGCACATTGCAGACCCCGGGGCTAAAGACATAGATTCTTCTGCTTTTAGGGAGTGCAAGGTCTGTTGAGGAGACAGTGGGAAAAACAGACAAATACCTTACAGAAAGTGAGCCCTGCAAGGACCACCAGAGACTCAAGGGCAGGGCCCCCGAATCAGCAAAACAAACAAACATCAAACAGACAAATAAATGCATGTAGTAATTTGTTATTACTTAGGTACCAGGCACTTTTTAAAAAATCCATTGCTTTACTTTTTAAAAAAATTTCAATAGGTTTTTGGGGAACAAGTGATGTTTGGTTGCATGAATAAGTTCTTTAGTGGTGATTTCTGAGATTTTGGTGCACCCATCACCTGAGCAGTGTACGCTGTACCCAATGTGAAGTTTTTTTTCCCTCATCCCCCTCCCAGTCTTTCTCCCTAGTCCCTAAAGTCCATTATATCATTCTTTCACCTTTGCAACCTCATAGGTTAGCTCCCACTTATGAGTGAGAACATACGATGTTTCATTTCCCATTCCCGAGTTACTTCACTTAGAATAATGGTCCCTAATTCCATCCAGGTTGCTGCAAATGCCGTTATTTTCTTCCTTTTTAGGGCTGAGTAGTATTCTATGGTATTTATATATTACAATTTTTTTATCCACTTGTTGACTGATGGGCATTTAGGCTGGGTACCGGCACTTGAAATACATCATCTCACTTAATGATTAAAGCAACTCTATGAAGTAATTATTATAATGACCCCATTTTACATATGAGGAGACTGAGACACAGAGATCTGCAGTAACATGGCCAACCAAAGCCACCTTATCATAAGCCGTGGAACCAGCATCAGCCTTTCTGCCTCCCGGAGCTGCAGTCTTAACCTTTACACCCCAGACCAAGGATTGACAAACTTTTTAATAAAGGACCAGATGGTAAATATTTTAAGCTTTGCAGGCTACATGGTCTCTGCTGTTGTGGCACCAAGGCAGCCATAGACAATACGTTAATGAATAGGCATGGCTCTGTTTCAATAAAAACTTTATTTACAAAAGCAAATGGCTGGCTGGATTTGGCCTACGGGCTGTAGTTCACCAACCCCTACTCTAGTGCACTAAGATATATTTTATTATGAAGATATATTGAAGGAATTCAATTTCTGGAGCTTGGAAGTCTCTTTGGTAATTGTGCCTTATTCAAAAGCAGTACTGGCTAGTAAAAATATACATGCAAGGCACATACATAATTTAATAATTTTAGTAATTACATTAGAAAGGAAAAAAGAAACAGGTAAAATTAATTTAATTTAATTTATTTGTTTTAATTTTTTTGGAGATGGAGTCTTGCTCTGTTGCCCAGGCTGGAGTGCAGTGGTCCAATCTCAGCTCCCGGTGCAACCTCCGCCCCCTGGGTTCAAGTGATTCTCCTGCCTCAGCCTCCTGAGTAACTGGGACTACAGGCACACACCATCATGCCCGGCTAAATAATTGTAATACTGTATTTTAATAAATAATTTTACTATTGTATTTGATTTAACCAAATAGCTCAGAATTATTATGGTTTCAACAGGTAATCAATATAATACATTATTAAAGAGATTTTTTACATTGTTTTATACCAAATATTGAAAATGCCATGTATATTTCTCCTCACAATACATCTCAGTCCAGACTTGCCTTATTTCAGGTACTCAATAGCCACACATGGCTAGCAGATACCTTATTGGACAGTTCACTATTAAGTAAAAATAAGGTATTTTGCTGGAATAAGATGAAATCTCTGTATAAGATAAAATATAAGAACAACAGAAATGAGAAAGAAATTCTTGGGTGAGTCAGAGTCTCTTCTTAGGTGAGTCAGGGTCTCCAGAGAAACAGAATCAATAGGGTATATATGTACATGGAAAGATATTATTATAAGGAATTGGTCCACACAATTAGGGAGGCTGAGAAGTCTAAAGGTCTTTAATTGGCAACCTGGGGTCCCAGGAGAGCCATGGAGTAGTTTCAGTCTGAGTCCCAAGGCCTGAGAACCAGGACAGCCAGTGTTTCAGTTCAAATCCAAAGGTGGGAAAAAAAGAAGCAATGTTCTAGGTTGAAGGCAGTCAGGCAGGAGGAGTTTCCTTTTACTTTCAGGAAGGTCAGCCCTTTCGTTGTATTCAAGCCTTCACCTGATTGGATGAGGCCCATCTGTATTAGAAAGGGCACTCTGCTCTATTCAGTGAACAGATCAAATGTTAAGCTCATCCAAAAACACCTTCACAGACATACCTGAAGTAATAACGGTAATATTGATCAACTATCTGGGCACTCGATGACCCAGTCAAATTAATGCTTAATATTAACCATCACAGTCAGGGAAGGCTCCCTGGAGGAAGAGTCACCCTAATTAAAACCTGGAAGCAGAAATGTTCACCATCCAAAGAGGTGTTGATCTCACTGTGTTGCCCAGGCTGGTCTTGAACTCCTAGCCCAAGTGATCCTCCTTCCTTGGCTTCCCAAAGTGCTGGGATTACTGGAATAAGCCACTGTGTGAAGCCAAAATCTGACTTTTTCTTTTTTCTCTTTTTTTGAGACAGGGTCTCGCTCTGTTGTCCAGGCTGGAGTGCAGTGGTATAATCTCAGCTCACTGCAACCTCCGCTTCCTGTGTTCAAGTGATTCTCGTGCCTCAGCCTGTTGAGTAGCTGTAATTACAGACATGTGCCTCCACATCCGGCTAATTTTTTTGTATTTTTTGTAGAGATGGGGTCTTGCCATGTTGGCCAGGCTGGTCTTGAATTCCTGGCTTCAAGTGATCCTCCTATCTCAGCCTCCCAAAATGTTGGGATTACAGGCATGAGCCACCGTGCCTGGCCGAGAATATGCCTTTTAACAAGAATCCGAGTGTATGCACTTCGGAGTTTGTGAACCTACATGGCTTAGGTTGTGGTTCCATCAGAAGGCTCTGAGCTGACTGCTCTTTACCACCTTCTCAATCCTGCCTCATGCCACGGCACTGTTGCTCCCTGAACCACCCTCTGCTTCCTGGTTTTTCTGCCCAGAGTTCTCAGAAGATTCTTTCTGTTGCTGCCACCAATAAGGCAAATTAAACAGATGCCCCAGACCCCATTTCTCGTTCCTTTGGTATTTTAAATATTCTCTATTTGGATCTCCTAGAGCAGTTTCAAATCTGTGCTTTTCTGTCCCAGGGCAAAAAATGATAATGTTTCATGCTGCTCGGGATGGCAGGTTTTTGCAGTGAGTGCTAAACAAGTGAAGACTGAGAGCCCACTGGCTGGACTTCAGAGGCACCCACCGTGGGTCCTGCCCATGGGGTGCACAGGCGCAAATGCGGGAGGAGGCATCGTACACAAGGGAGTGAAATTTTCTTCACAGAGTAAAGCATTTGATTGGTTTCAGTCCCTGGCAAGTTCCAAGGCTGCCTGACCTGCATTTGTCATCCTGTTCATTTTATTCCTATCCAAGGTGGGCTATTAAGCGCCCCAGATTGCTTCTGGGCAGGAGAGAGTCAGCTTTTGTTGCAGAATTCGAGGAGCATCCTCAGGTTCCTGGTTCAACATAAGACAGCAGTTCCAAGCACAGACTAAGCAACTTTCCAGCACAACTCTAGCACTTGCTAAAGATTTCTAAGGTTTATGATTTAAACTTCCTTTGTTTTTGTCTTCAATATCATTGCTCCATAGTCTAGTCTGCTTATAGCAGGAGTCCCAGAAAGATACTTAAAGGATGACTGAAGAGTGATTACACCAGTGATACACACCAGTGCGTTTTCTGAGTCCTGAGGCGTTTCTGGGAATTGTATAGGGAGTACTCCCAGAGAGTCTCATTGAATGTGATAATTATCATTAATTGACTGGATTTTATTTCACTGACACCAAAATTATTTTACATCTTACTTTTCCATTTTAAGATTTATTCTCCTTCAGGATAATATTCTAGGTAAAAAGAAAGAAATTGTTACTGTGATATTCCACAGCTAGATTTCCTGTTCAGATCTAGGGAATAAGCTTTGGCTGCACAAAAGAGCCAGTTATATAATAATAATAGTAATAATATTAATAGTGCACCTTTATTGAGCACCTACAATATGGCACCACAGTAAGCACTTCACAGGTATTAACCCACATTTTCCCCAGGACAGCCTATTGGTTGATTTTCTATCACACCCATTTTACAGATGAGAAAAATGAGGCATGGCAAGGTTAAGGGATTTATCCAAAGCCATGCAATCTGACAGTGGCAAATCCAAGATTTAGATTTAGAAGCAACTGATTCTGATGACCCTGTTCTTTATGATCCTGCTGTTCAATAATTTGTACTTTTTTTTTTTTTTTGAGATGGAGTCTCACTCTATCACCCAGGCTGAAGTGCAGTGGTGTGATCTCAGCTCACTGTAGCCTCCGCCTCCTGGGTTCAAGCAATTTTCTGGCCTCAGTCTCTGGAGGAGCTGGGATTACAGGTGCATGCCACCATGCCTGGCTAATTTTTTGTATTTTTAGTAGACTCAAGATTTCACCATGTTGGCCAGGCTGGTCTCGAACTCCTGACCTCAGGCAATCCTCCTGTCTCGGCCTCCCAAAGTGCTGGGATTACAGCATGAGCCACCATGCCTGGCTGATTTGTACAATTTTACTTGATCCTCACAACTTTTTTGTTTGTGTGTTTTTTTTTTTTTTTTTTTTGAGATGAAGCCTTGCTCTGTCACCCAGGCTGGAGTGCAGTAGTACAATCTTGGCTCACTGCAGCCTTCACCTCCCAGGTTCAAGTGATTCTTCTGGCTCAGCTTCCCTAGTAGCTGAGACTATAGGTGTGCAGCAGCACACCTGGCTAATTTTATGTAGTTTTAGTAGAGACGGGGCTTCATCATGTTGGTCAGGCTGATCTCGAACTCCTGACCTCAAATGATCTGCCTGCCTTGGCCTCCCAAAGTCCTGGGATTACAGGCATGAGCCACCATGCCTGGCCACAACTACTCTTAAAAAAGACATTATTATGACTGGCATTTTACAGATGGAGTAACTGAAATTCCAAGAAGTTATATGAGCTTGGAAAGAGCAGGATTAAGTCACTGACCCAGATCTTCTAGATTCAGATCCTCTGTTCTTGCCATTTTCTCAGGGGGTAGTGAGCTCAGGGCTGGGCAGGAAACACAAACAAGTGACACGGGCTGTGGAGGGAGACTGGGGGCACACACTGTTGGAGGAAGCAGCCCCCACAATGCTCCAGCCATGGTGCAGGGCCCACTCTGAGCCTTATCTTCTGATTTTCTTTTTTTTTTTTTTTTTTTTTAGAGACAGGGTCTTGCTCTGTTGCCCAGGCTGGAGTGCAGTAGCATGATCATGGCTCATTGCATCCTTGAACTCCTGGGCTCAAGTGATCCTTCTGCCTCAGCCTTGTTAGTACCTAGGATTACAGGCATGCATCCCCACACCCAGCAATTTCTTTTTTCTTTCTTTTTTTTTTTTTTTGCAGACACAGGGTCTCACTATGTTGCCCAAGCTGGTCTTGAACTCCTGGCCTCAAACAATCCTCCACCTTGACCTCCTAAAGCGCTGGGGTTGCAGGTGTGAGCCACTTGACCTGGCTGATTTTCTAAGAGAAACTGGGAGTTCAGGTTTTTTATGTAAAATTTCCCCATTTGGAAATATTGCAACTAACTGACAGTTTTGAAAAGAAAACATTCCATGTCTCCAGCAAATCTGTTTGTGTGGATTGTAGGCAGCCCACTAACAGACCTTGTATAACCAGTGCTCTCTCCGTACCTGAAATGGCTTCTGATACAGGGAAAATTGCCTTTTCCCTGTTCTCTGAATAAAGCTGGATCCTCAAAACTCAGGAATGGGTAAACGTTTCTGTACTCAGGTATGTGCCCTGCATTGAAGTTTTTTCTCCAAAGACATTGTTAACCCTTTGCCATTATGGCTCATGTCTCGTTCTGCCATCCTAACCCAGGTCCCATTGGTTGTTAAAGTATTAAAATACATTCAACCACTTGGCAAATAGCTGCTATCTGGACCCCCTTGAGTACTTTCCCATCCTGAGGCCCCAGGCCCTCTTTAGAACCCTCAGATTTCCCACAATTGAGCATGAAAAGGGGAAAGTCTGACCCAACATGGGCCACACAGATCACGCTCCAGAAAGCCTGCCGGGGCCTGTGCAAAGCACTCACTGAATATTGGGAATATCACTCCGATCCTATCACTCAAGGACCATTTTCCCTCAGCTGGCTCCTTTCTAAGGTATTTAAGATCAGCCTTTCTCTGGTCTCCCCAGCTCACCTCCGCCACCCCACCAGCCACTTACCTGCTTTTTTCTGCAGACTGGGCCAGAGCAAGGGCCCACATCTGCCCAGCTCAGCCTGTTTTCACTGCCTCTTACCTGTGGGAGAAGTAGGAGGTGGGATTTTCATTCTGGAGGAGAGATTGTTCTCTGAGGCCTCTGTGCATTTGTTGAGATCTTTCTCTGGGCAGAAAGCTGGGGACCCCTAAGGCAAAGTGCTCATTTTCAGGGAAATGGCAGGTGTGTGGGGATAGGGGAATTGGTTTCTCCAAATCCACACAGCATAAGGCGTGGGGTGGGGAGAGCTCCTTATCAGGAGAAATCATCCCTCCTTGCAATCAGGAAGGGGCACAAAGAGCTTCAACTCTATCTTATAAGCCAGGAGTTGTTCATTTCTCTTACTCTTCCTTTTGTGTCTGAAATATTTCATCCTCATTTGGACAAATTGGAAAAAATGACGTAGATGGGAAAATCTCTCTCGGCACCTTCATTCCCTTAGGGAGATACTCTGACGCTCACACTCCCAGGAACGGGATTCAGGAAAATCAGTTTTGAAGCCATATGTTTCCTGGCATGACACAGACCAAGGGGGACGGGAGAGGGAAGGCAACTGTGTCAGGTGGCTGCAATTTATCTTCTAGCTGGGACACTCCCCGAGAATCAAGGAATCAGATGTAATTTACTTATTCATTATGCCTACTATTTATTGTCCATTGCCTCCTGGTGAAATATAGAATTCACAAGGACAAGGATGAGTATCTGTTTTGTTTACCGCAAATGCCTAGAATAGCATCAACCACATAGCAGGCATTCAACCAATATTTAAGCAAATATATCCTTAGAGCCATGTGAGTTTAGCCCATCAACTTCTTCTTTGTGCAGAAGTGGAAACTGAGGTCCGGAGAGGAGAAGGGATTTATCTGTAGCCTCACAGCCAGTTAATGACAGAGCCTAGGTCTGCAGGGTCTGTTCCCGATAGAATATCAGTGAAGGCTTTCGTTACAGCCCTCACAGCCTTTGCCATCTACCCCGTGTGCTCAAGTATTTGTTGTAACATTGGCCATCCTATTGGTATCTTCCAGGGTTCCATTTATTCTAGTTTTGTCCTGCAGGAAACTGCTGCTTCCTGGCAAAGGGAACAAGGGGATCTACTGAGGGGTTGAGGTGCTCCATGTCTTGGTCTGGAAGGTAGGTACACAGGTGTGTTCTCTTTGTGAAAATTCTTGGAGCTGTATGCTTCTGCTATGTTCCCATTTTTGTTTGTATGTTGTACCCCAATGCAAACATCTGCTATAAAAAAAAACCCAGCACATATACACGCATGCACACACAAACAGCCAAAGACATCATAGGTGCTTTGAGAGGTGGTGGTAGTAATACTGAAAATATTGCCAGGTGCAGTGGCTCATGTCTGGAATCTCATTTTGGGAGGCTGAAGTGGGAGGATCACTTGAGGCCAGGAGTATGAGACCAGCCGGGGCAACAGAGGTTATGTGACTTTTCCAAGGTCATACGTGAGGACATACAGAGTCACGGCTTGGACGCAGGCCGGCTGCCACCAGAATCTGCTTGCCCCATTCACACTGTGACGATGCTATGGTGCTTTTTACCTAAGGGCTAAAGAAAGTGAAACCATGGATGTTTCAGATCCATTACCAACAATCACAGAAGGCTTCCTGGAGGAGGAGAGATCAGCTAATTCCTGAGATAAGTGATGTGCTGAAGAAAGGAAAGGATGGACTCAGCTCTTCGTGTGCAGCTTTGATACACTCATTACTTACCCTGTGAGTAGGCACAGGGCTGGGCACTTTCCCATAGTTTATTTTAATTTTCTGTGTATGGCGCTGTGAAGTGGAGAGTGTTTATCCCCATTGCACAGATGGGGAAACTGAGGGAGCCCCAAAGCACTGACATGCCTTGCCCAAGGTTACCTGACTGGTGAGGAGCAGAGCTGAAATTCCAACCTCTGCCTGCTGACACTCAGGCAAGCCCTCGTCCACACCACATTCTTCTCTGTGGCATTTTCCCACTCTTCTGACCAACACTGGTGAAATTTCTGCAACCTCAAACAAGTAAGTGGCTGAAGTTTTGGGGGCTCAGTTCACTTCCCACTACAGTGAGTCTATTGGACCAGGTGGTCTCCTGAAGGGAAAGCCCCGCCTCTTCCAAGGACCAGATAATCCCCAAACATCCTCCTGGTCTGTCCAAGTGGCTTTCATAAACTCTGTGGGACTCACTGCCCCTTTCCTTCCACAACTGTCAGAAGCTTAGACCATGGCTCTTTTAGGAATTACCTTCCCCAGCTGGGCAACAAGCCCCGTCTTTGCCCATACAGACCCATGCCCCAAGGCGAGGAAGGGACCGCTTCTCCCAAAAGCCTTCTGCCACCCTCTGCTTGCCAAGAACCCCCTAGACCTTGACCTGCCCACCTCAGGCTCCTGGGGACTCCAAACCCTTAACTGTGTTTCTTTAAACTGATCATCAATTTCCCCTTTATGAAAATTAAGGCTGGATAGGAAATGCCTTGAAAAATACAAGGTGAGGCAAATGGCTTTTTGAGATCAATTCCAAGCACACACAGGTTTGGGGCGGACTTCATTTGATTCCCTCTCCAAACCTGGGTCAGGGAGCCAGAAAATAGCAGGAGCCGAGGATCAGGCAGGAGAGTAATCGCATCCCCCGTGGCTGCCCAGGAAGCGACATTCAGGGGTCCCCCCTGCCATCTCTCCTCATACACCCCCTTCTCCTTCCACACGACTCTCCTCAAAGGTATTTCCACTTAATTTTGTTTAGAAATTTGAAAAGCAAGTGAAAGTGCAGCATGATTATAGACTTTATTTAAAGGTTTGATTTAGGTTTCTCTCTGTTCTTATATCAAAGATAAAGTAGAAGTGGTGGTATCATGTTCAGGTAATGAGATTTTATATTAA
This sequence comes from Homo sapiens, assembly GCF_000001405.40. NCBI lineage: Eukaryota > Metazoa > Chordata > Mammalia > Primates > Hominidae > Homo > Homo sapiens. The sequence continues at coordinate 54,998,729 of NC_000016.10, forward strand.
AAAGAATAAATTAAGCTCATAAAGCCATCGGTGGAAGGGCCAGGTGGGGCTGATGCACTCACAGAGGGAACCTATGCATTTATGTAATGAGAACCCTCATCAGGTTTGGGCTGGACTTTTAAGTCAAGGGCAGCCTTTTTCCTGCCTTGTTTTTGCAATTATCCCCATAGGCCCTCAGGGATAAGATTCCAGGGTCCCAGGAGTCAGAAACCACTGTGCAAACCCTCCCTTTACCACTTATTAGCTGTGTGACTGTGGACAAGTGGCTCAACCTCTCTGATCCTATCTTTTCTCTCCTCTAAAAGGGAGGTCATATTAGTATCCACCCAGACCTATTGTAGCAATTGTAGGGGACAGTTCGTGTGATGTATATATAGTCAAGCACTCAAAGAATGTTAACCATGATAACTTTCTGAGTAACAGTTTTCTTATCTGACAAATGGGGATATTGCTATTCATTTAAGAGAGATGTCATTATGAGTAAGTGAAATAAGAATAAAGGTCTTTGTACAAAAAAGCCTATAATGATTATACCCTTACTTATATAGTAATTACTGTTAATTCCAGCCAGGCCCTGGGAAGAATCACTCTCCCCATGTTTGTCAAGAAGGGCTACATCTCCTGCCCAACACGCTGCACAGATGGAGGCTGGTGAAAATAGAAATTCCAACCTTCCTTCTGCCCTCTCCCCACTCCATGCCCTCCCCCCTTCCTTCCTTGTGAGCAATAAAACAAAATACAAAGAACAGGAATCAAATAAAGACTCTGCAACCGAGCCGTCTGTGGTCATTTTAAAACAGATCCTTTTTGAAAAGCTGGGTGACATTTTCCTTTAACGCCTGATTTTTTTTTAATGCCGGCTGCATTTTTTAAGCACCCAACCGGCTTGTAACTAGCCGAGGCAGTACAGTAGCTGCGCCGACTGTACCATTTGATCATTAATTTATCACAGTTCTAGCAGTTTGTCTGACAGGTGATAGCACTTTCATCTAATGAGCCCACAGCCAGGGTGGGGGCGCGGGTGCCCAGTCTGGCCAGCCTGCAGGGTAATGGTCACGCACATGCTCTCTACTGGACTGTTTTCATTCCAGGGACCATCCAAGGCCCAGAAAATGGCTCTCCAATGGGCTGGGGTCCTGCCACAGTAGATGAGGCCGAGAAGGCCCCCCAGTGGGCCAAGGATAAGAGAAAACTGTGGATGAAACTCCAGCCTGGGCCAGTGAGATTCACTGCATTACTCAGGATAGACTTGGTTATGCTGCAGTAATAAATCAATCCCCATCCCTGAATATCTGACGCTTCCAGAAACAAAGTTGAATTTTCCCTTACGCAGCATGTCCCGTGCTCTAGGGATGTGTCTATTTAACAGAGCTATCCTAGGGCCCTCTCACGGAGGTGCCACCTCCTCGAGGTAGAGAGGAAAGCATGGTGCACCAGGGGCTATCTCAAAATTTCTGGCACATTTCATTGGCCAAAGCTACTCACATGGCCATGCACAAGTTCAACTGGGCAAAGCAGCGTCATCCCACCATGTGCCCCTAAACAAGAAAACCTATGTCTGTCAACAGCCCGGATGGCTATCGTTGTCATAAATTCTGCTCATGGATCAGAATCCTGGATCACTGGATCAATCCACTTTTCTCCATTCTCTGCCTTTACTGTCATCCAAGCTGCCATCACCTTACCCTGATGACCTGTTCTCCCTACCAGGGCCACTCTTAGACCTGTTCTGGGACCTGGGCAATAGTGGACCTTGTGCTTTTGAGTTACTTTCTTGACAATTTCTTAGTCTAAGTCCTCTTAGTGCCTGGGACCAGCAAGGGCCAGTAGTGGCCCAGGACATCCTGAATCCAGATAGGAACTTGGATACCTATCTCCATTTCTCTCCCTTGAGGTGCTCTCTAACTCTGCCCTTGCCCATCGCTCACTGGGGTAGAACAGATGCCCCACAGAACTTCAAGACTCATGCCTATGGGGTCGTGCTAGGGCTCATGGTGTGGCAACAGTTCCAAGAGGGTGGCTTGGCAAACAGATCACTCATGCTGGCCACTGCGGTATTTCTTTCACAGGAGCCTGTGAGTTTGGGCTGCTTGAAAGGTGCTGACTCATCGATTTGGAGTGACTCAAATTGTTTATCTAGACAGGGGCCCTGAAAGAATATTTGCTTAGGATCCCATGTACCTAGGGGTGACCCTGCTTCTTTTTTCTGCTTTTGCCCTATTTAGATCTATTCTCCACCCAGCAGCAGAAAAAACTTCAAAACTCCTCCTGTGGATTCTCAACACGCTGGGAAGAAACTTCTAACACCTCACGATGGTCTATGAGGCTGTTTCACACTGATCCTCACCCCAGTGCTCTATAGGGTCAATTGGGGACCTTTTGATACATGCTATAGTCTGGGTCCCACCCTAGACCAATTACATCAGAATCTCCAGGGATGGGACTGGAATGAGCAGGTGATTCTAACACATGGTACAGGGTGAGAACTGTGGCCTCTGTAACCCGGCTTCTATTTATCTCTCATCTGATAACCATCGCTGCCTCATTTCTCATCCTTTTCTGCCCTTCCTCCATTTCCTCCAAAGTGCCAAGTTCTCCCCAATGCCGGAGGACACTTGCACTTTCCGTTCCCTCTGCCTGGAATATTGTCCTCTCCCAGATGTTGCCAAAAAGTTTTCCTGCTGTTCAGCTCTCGGCTCAAATGTTAATTTCATGAAAATGCTTTCTTGACCTTCTGATATAGCCTCGCCCCTCCCCACCCCATCCCATCATTTTCAAAGATGGACTTAATATCTCATCTTTTATTTATTACTTGGCGTTGTTTATTCTATCTTGCATGTTTTCCTCCACTAGAATACATTTCATGAGGGCAGGTGCTTTGTTAGCTTTGTTCATCCCATATTTTCATTTTCAATGCCTGACATCTTGCTCAATAAATAGTTACTAAGTGAGTCAATGTCAAAACTAATATTTATAGTGAATTCTTCTGAGGTTTGGTACCTTTGTTGATTATTTTCAGAGTTTAATTTTGGGCAAAGTTGGTCTCTCTTGAATAACTGGTAAGAGTGAATTTTCTTTGAACAGGTAATTGTCCAGATTGTGTAACTCCGGAATAATAAATTTAGCTCTGAGCTTCCTGGGATCCAAGGCAAAAAGGGTCAAATTAACCACAGAAACTATGTTAGTCCATGTGGCTGGTATATTTGCCTCTTCCTTCTCCTTCCTCATGGTCTTTGATTTTCCATGTCTATTTTCACAGCATCTGATTACAAGCTGTCTCAAATCCTTTTTGGGAGCAGGCAGAGTATAAATAGCTAGAAACACAAACAACGGATTCATGTGTGTAATGCCTATTTTACAGACATGCAATACAAGTCCTGGGTCACACAGCCTGGGCAAGAACCCATGTCCCTTGAATTCCTCTGATTCATAGCAGAATCAGCTCATTTTCCTCTGATTCATAGCAGAAGGGCCATACTCTGTGTTTTGGTTTTGCTCCTGAAAGTCCTAACAGAGTATTAGGGAATCTTATATTATTAGTGCTTCTTTAAGAAAACTGAGACTCAAAGGGATTAAGTACCAGCCAAGGAAGTTAGGGACTGAAATACACTACCGTCGTTGCAGCATTTGACAAGGCTCTCATAAAGAGTAGCTGAGAACCTCTCGGTATTGATTAGGAGGAATTATCATTGTCTCAGCAATGAGCTTGATTGTATCCTGATAACTTACTATGCTCAGGGATGAGAGAGTAGCTGCAACATTTGCATAGCTGGAAGAGTAACAGGGAGCCATTCTCTAATGATCTGCTCAGTGGCCATAATTGCTTTCTATGAAAATTGTCACCGGATAGGTAAATGGCAAGGAGAGAGCAGGAAGTGACATCATTCTCTCGACTCACTCAACGTACTGATCTGACAGACGCACATCCTAGTGCACAGGACTTTTTACTGAAAGGAGTAATTATGAGCTGAAAGCATCCCCCAGCTCCTCCAGGGCTGAAGAGTGAGCGGAAACAACACAATTAGAAGGTAGAAGAATTAGAAGCCAGGGACATGATGTTGTCAATAACATAAAAATAACTCCTGCCAATTATCAAATGTCTGCTATGTTCCAGGCATTATACACAACACATCGGATATGTTTTCTTATTTATAAATCTTCCCTCTTCAGAAGGCATTATTGTTTCTACCTTACATCATGGGAAACTGAGGTTCAGAGAGCTTCCAATGACTTGCTGGAAGCTACATTGCAACAAGAATGATTGACATGGTGCTTCCTGAGTGCCAGGGAGTATTCTAGTGTTTTCCATATGTAAACTTACTTACTCCTCACAGGATCCTGTGGGATAGGGTCTGTCATCAGCCTCATTAACAGGTGAAGAATCTGAGGTGTGAAGAGGTGAAGTGACCTCTGCAAAGTCCCAGAGTGGCCGTGCCTGGTTTTAAAGTCTGTGCCCTTAAGCCTTGGGTCTTCCCTTGGCTTAATAAAGGCCCCCTGCAGGGTTTAACTCTGTCCTTCCCAGCTCCAAAGTCTCTACTCCTCTGTCCTGGGTCTCCCGGAAGAGAGTGCCCTTCCTCTCTCAACGACTTTCTAAGTAGTGGTTTATTCTAACCGGGGACCATTTTCCAGCCCATCCAATTGGTTCCTGAAGTGAGTGTGAACCTCTTCATACAGTCCCCAGCTGGCAATGCTCAGTGGACCTGGTGTCTGTTGTATGACAAACACCTGAGGGGATATTATCATCAGAGGGTGGTGGCCCAGCCCTGGGCCTCTGGCTCTGGATGCTCAGTGGCACAGGGATCTGAGGAAGGGAGGGACAGGCTGCCCTTCTGCACAGAACAGACCAAGCTGGGCCTCATGGCAGACCTGGGACCTGCTGCAGCTAAACTTGGTAATTCATTTGAGCAGCTGTATAGATTTCTTAATGCTGAAAACACAGCCCAGAAATGGGAATAGCTTGGCTCCTCTGAGAACACTACTCCTCTTCACTTAACGCATATGCTGAGGCCAGGTGGGTCCCTGGAAGATGGATTGATGGAAGTTAAGAGGGCTGCCTTTGCCCCTCTCACCCAAGCCAACACCCTCGATGCTGGGGCCAGGCAATACAGCAGGCAGAAGCGATTTCACATTTCTCTGCAGCCCGCCCTGGAGACAGCCCTATTCCTGAGGTGCGGTTGCCTCTGTTACGGGTATGGAAATGGACGTCCTTCTTTAAAAAGCTTCCAAAATATAGGCTTATTCACACACAGAGCAACAGAGGCTGTGGGCGAAGACCCACTTTAATGAGCAATGAAGAATAACTCATAATAGTTGATAATTAGCACATCGCTGCACAAGTTGCCCGCCAAGCTTCTGGAAAACTGGTTTTGTTCTGAAGGCCGAATCTGCCCCCTGCAGTCTTGTGTACAGGCTTTGACCAACATGTCCATGTTCAAAGCCAGCACAAGAGGCAACTTCAGCGAAGTCCTTCCCCCCGGGACCCGCACGTTGCTCTTTCAGTTCTTTCTCCAGACATTCCTGACCTCGTAATCCCAAGTTGGCATTAGCTCAAATGCGTACGGTTTTACTGTCCCCTGACCATCCAGTCTAAATAGCAACGATGGTCAAGTGTAAATGGTGCTCTCGCCACAACACTGGTTTTCAACCAGGGGAGGATTCTGCACCACCACCCCCAGGGGACATGTGCAATGTTAGGAGACATTTTTGGTTGTCACAACTGGGGGAAGGTGCTGCTGGCATTAACGGGGAGAGGCCAGGGATGCTGCTGGACCTTCTATAATGAAGAGGGCAGCCGTGCACAGCAAAGAATGATCTGGTGCAAAAAGTCACTAGCGCCCAAGTGGAGAAACCTTGGGCGACGCTGATTTGACAAGGTTTTTGTGTGTGTGTGTGTGTGTTGTTTGTTTGCTGGTTGTTAAAGCCATTCTACTTTTATGCAAGTCCTTTGTGCTCACGAAGAGGTTTGTAAATTCACAGGATCATGTTTGAATTCCAAATGAAACTTCCCTGTCCTGATCTTCATATACAGATGTTACCACTCAGTGCTGTCTAAAGCAGCTAATGATGACTTTGATCGCTGGGCCTGTAAACGTAGACATTAACCATTGTTTGCTAATTGTTCTTCCTATTTCCTGACACTAGCTGCTCTTGGGGGCTTCAGCCTACAAAACAAAGTCTCCTCATAAGCCCCTGGCCTGTTTGGATAGATCACAGGGAGGGGCAGTATTTTTTTTAATCTTTATTTCTTTAAAGCTGTTTCAAAGACACAGCAAAATACAGAGAGATCTCATCTCTTGCCTACCTTTCCCCATACACAGCCTCCCCCATTATGGATACCTCCCACCAGCGTGGTGACATTTGTTACAATGGGTGAACCTACATTGACACATCATTGTTGCTCAAAGTCCAGAGTTTGAGAGACTTTTGAAATAGTGGCTTATTCTGACTGGTGACAATTTTCCAGCCCATGCAATTGGTTCCTGAAGTAAATGTGAACCTCAGCTCATACAGTCCCTGGTTGGCAATGCTGAGGGTGTTCACTCCTGGTGTTGTACGTTCTATGGGACTGGACAAATGTGTAATGACATGTGACTACCATTATAGTATCACACGGAGTAGTTTCACTGCCCTACAACCTCCCCATGCTGCCTCTATTCATCCCTCTTTTCCCCCAAATCCCTGGAAACCACTGATCTTTTCATTGTCTCTATAGTTTAGTTTTCTTCAGATGTCATAGAGTTGGAATCGCACTGTACGTAGCAGACGCAAATTTTTAACTTCTGCTACATACGGTACAATGTACAGAATAGTAAAGTGCCTGTGTTTTTATGTTGACTAGTTTAACTTAAGATGCAGGCAGGTATTTCTTAAAATATTAAAAATAGAATAACTATATGATCCAGAAATTTCACTTCTGGATGTATATTCAATGGAATTGAAAGTGAGGACTCAAAGAGATCTTTGTACACCCATGCTCATAGCAGTGTTATTCACAGTAGCCAAGAGGTGGAAGCAACACAAGTGACCATTGCCAGGTGAATGGATAAGCAAAACATGGTCTATCCATACAATGGAATATTATTCAGCCTTCTAAAGGAAGGAAATCTTGACATATGCTAGAGCATGGATGAACAGTGAAGACGATATGCTAAGTGAAATAAGCCAGTCACAAAAAGACAAATACTGTCTGATTCCAATTATATCAGGTGTTTAGAGTAATCAAATTCATAGAGACAGACAGTGGAATGGGGGTTACCAGGGCCTGGGGAAAGGGGAGATGGTGTGTTGTTGTTTAAGCTGTAGTTCCAGCTACTTGGGAGGCTGAGGCAGGAGAATGGCGTGAACCCAGGAGAAGGAGCTTGCAGTGAGCTGAGATAGTGCCACTGCACTCCAGCCTGGGTGACAGAGCAAGGCTCCATCTCAAAAAAATAATAATGATAATAATATGAAAAAATTCCGGAGATTGGTAGTGCAACATTGTGAAAACACTTAATACTACAGAATTGCACACTTAGAAATTGTTTACATGGTAAATTTTATGTTATATATATTTGTTAGGTTGGTACAAAAGTAATTGCAGTTTTTGCCGTTATTTTTAATGCCATTATTATTTTTAATGATGGCAAAAACAGATATTTATGATGGGGGAGGCTGTGTATGGGGAAAGGTAGGCAAGAGATGAGATCTGTCTGCATTTTGCTGTGTCCTTGAAACAGCTTTAAACAAATAAAGATTTTTTAAAAATCTGCCCCTCCCTGTGGTCTATCCAAACAGGTCAGGGGCTTATGAGGAGACTTCGTTTTGTAGGCCAAAGCCCCCAAGAGTAGCTAGTGTCAGGAAATAGGAAGTACAATTAGCAAACATTGTTTTTAATGGCAAAAACCGCAATTACCTTTGCACGGACCTAACTGAAATGGCTAAAATGGTAAATTTCATGTGATGTATATTTTACTACAATTAAAATGAAAAGATGCTGGCAAGTAGGATCCAGGCAGTGACAAGGAGGGACGCAGCAGGTTAGCAGAGGATCCTGGAGCCACAGGAAGGGAATGGGGTTCCTGGAAGTGGGGCTGAGGGTAGCCCATTGGCTCAGAGCATCTTCAGCTGCCTAGGGAGAGTTCAGTCAATTTCAGGGGCAGTACCTTCAATCTGAAGAGATATTTGGAGGCCGGCATTGCTTGAACTGAGGAGGAGAAGCAGAGGAAGTGGGAAAAGAATCCAACTCTTTTGAAAGCCCCCAGCCATCTTCATGGGGTGTTGCCTTTCTCGTAGAATCTAAGCTCCATTAAGGCCAGGACATTGTGAGTCTGCTTACCATTCAATCACCGGATGTTGGAACAGTGCCTCAATCATAGTAGGTGCTCAGTAAATATTTGTGCGATGGCTACATAAAGTCTTACTGCAGCCCAAGTTATTTTCCAAAAAATCATCTCTGAATGTGTCAGTCTCCTGTTCCCGAATATTCTACGGCTCCTGTCACGGAAGGAAGAATGAAATCTAGATGCCTTCGTGGAGCATTCGAGGCTTTTGACATACTGAGCCTTTGGTACCAGCCGCATTTCATATTATATCCCCCTCCAGACTTTGCTATTTCCCAAAAACGCCCTGGGCTTTCTCACCCACGTGACTTTATTTTTTTTTTTTCCACAAAGTTTTCAGCATCTGTAAAATGCTAAAAGTCTTTGCCTCCTTCTAGGTGCAGTAGATTTGAGGCAGGGATAGAGTGGTATTTATGGGGGAAAAGACACATTCTCCCAAAGCTTGCCCAATACTGCTTGACTCCGTGTACCTGCTGAGGAGGGGGCAGTGGCGTGTGGTGGGAGTGACTGGCTTCTCAGACTAAGGACAGGCTGCCAGAGTCCAACCCTTGCTGGGACCCATGGGGCAGAGAAGGGGATTGAAAGGGGCTGGCGAAGGGGGTATTGATGGGAATCAGAATCATGGCAGCCTTCCCAGAACTTCCCTCCTCGCCCTCTGCCAGCACCTTCACCCTCTGCCAGCACTGTGGTGCACAGACCCCAAGATGGGCATGGAGGGAAGTGAATGGAACCATGGGTCATCCAGGCCCTCACGCAGGGCCCAGCTTTATTCACGGTGGAAGCCCCATGGCATCAAGCTAGTATGGGGGCTCCTTAACAGACAGTGCGCTGCTAATCAGAGCAGCAAGGCACAGCCGTCAATAACATGGGCTTAGATATGAATCACAGCCCATTTCAAATCTGGGTTGCTCCATCCTCCGTGCTCGTGGATGAGTTCTACGCCTCACAATCAGTAGCATCTTTGCCGGATTCTTCATCTCTAACAATATTGTTGCAGTATCAATTCCCCAAACAGCCGTGCCACTCCACCTAAAACTTGTGGCCCTCAGCGTGACTATCTAGGCTTTTCACTAGCAATAGAACTTAGCCTTATACCTAACAACCTTAAACTTAAGCACCCATCACAAACATTAAATTTCTCAAACATATTAGGATTTTACCCAGTCACAATAAACCGTGTAATCCCGCATTCAAATCTACATGCAAGTCAAAATCTAGCCTCCCTTCTACTAGAACTAATTTCCTCAATCTGTCTGTACCTCAGCTTCCCCATCTGTAAAGTGGGGATGACAGTTGTACCCAGCGAATTGATATGAGGATTCAAGTAGACAGTGTAAGGAAAGGTGTGGGTTTTTTGTTTTTTTTTTTCACAGAGCTGGACGTGTCTTATGAGATGTTGGATGTGCTTACTAATATTAATTTTCATGATTGATGTAATAACAAAATAAATATTTGCATGGCGTTTCAGGGAAAACAAAGAACATGCACACTGGTTGCTAAATTAAGGAACTGAGTGGGTTGGTGTCATTCTCCCATTCTACACAGGATGTTGGATGCGGGGCTAGCCCTGATTGGGCACCAACACGCCAGGTGGACCGTGGTGATGCATCCTGTTTGGATCCTCTCAGCCACAACGGCTGGGTGATACAAAAATGTCCATTTTGCAGATACAAAAACTGAGGTTCAGGGAGGCATGGGACTTACACTCAGCCCATAAGTGGCAGAGTTGGGATAGAACTCCAGATGTGTCCCCCTTGAGCTGCTATCTGTGCCATGAGGGTCACAGGCAGAGAGGGAGGCCTGAGAAAGTGAAAAGATGCCTTACGTTGGGGGAGGAGAAGTGGATTCTCATCTTCTCTCCTCCTCCTCCCCTCCAGCAGGTGGGCCTGGCAGCTGAGGCAGGGAGGCTACTGTGGCTGCAAGCGGGGGAGTGGGCTGAAGTTTCTCCCCCTAAGTGGGGGTGGCCTAGGCCCCCATCCTTCTAGGGAGTCGAGAGGCCGGGCCATGATGGGCCTTTTGTGCCCTACACCCTCTTCTCCAGAGACCAAGAGGGCACTTGATCCCAATTACAGAAAGTGGCTGGGTCAGCCGTCACCTCGCATGATCCGAGTACCTCAGATGGCAATTGATTAAAACCCAGACAGCACTTGCCCGCGCTCGGCCTTGCATCTGGGAGCCGGGGCCCTCCTGTGCCTCGGAGTAGAGGCTGGCTGGGCACAGTCACCTCTCCTTAGCCCCAGCACTGCAAACAGAGGGATCGCTTGGTGGGCCCAGGGCTCATGATCATGGGCAGAGGCAGAAAGTCATGGTCAAGTCTACAGGACTGGGGAAAGGCCCAGCACCCTGGCATCGAGGGGCAGCTTTGCCAAGTGACATGTCTTTCCAGGCACTGAGCCGGGCTGGGGGTGTGGCAGTCACAGGGAGCCTGGGATGTGGTGGCCCTGTCCTCAGCTTGGTCAGCCTGTCTTCTTTTTTAGGGTCCCCAAGTCTGCTTTCTGTCCTCTCACCTGGGCCAGCTCCCAGACAGCGAGGACCAAGCCTCAGCCTTCTCAGACTCCTCCATTGCAGCTGGGCCTGGGAGAAGGAAATCCATGTGGATGGGCTGCCAATCCCTTCACTCTATGAAGAGTGTGCCTCGCCTCTCCATCCCCGTGTCTCATCCTCGAGATGGGCTGTGCAAGTGGGCAGCCCTGCAGGGCTTATGTGGATTGGGAAGGTCTGGGGGCAAAGCGGAGGGTGGCTGAGTATGCAAGGCCAGAGGACCAGAGCCAGCTGAGTAATCTAGTGGGCCCTCGGGGGCAGATGACACCTGCCACGCCCTGGATCGTGCATGGCAGTCAGCCACGACTCCCCTCTGTGGCCCAGCATATGTGGTCATGTCCACCTCCCCGCTGGGAGAATCAGCAGGGCCCTGGGAGTATCACGCCCATTTGACAGATGCAAAAACCAAAGCTTAGGAAGAGAAAGAAACTTGTCTGGAGCTACACAGCGAGCTGGTGGTAGAGTGGCTCCCGGACCATGAAGCTGCCAAGCCCAGGCGGGGAGACAGTCCCTCTGCCTCTGGCTTTGTCTCTGCTTCCATGCACACCAGAGTGCCCCTTGCTCCCAGCTCCTGTACCCTTGGCTACCTTTGGTTCCAAGGTCACGATTAATGCTCATGTTCTCTCTGACCTCTGGCCTCAGGCTGTGCCAATTTCATGAACAGGCACAACATTAGGGTCTTTTGTTTGGGTATGAAGAAAAGGTGGGTGGAGTCATTTTGGGAGTGAGTGCTCAGTAGGGGGGGAATGCCAGGGCACCCAGGTAGCCTGGACAGCGCCTTTGTGCAGATTAATTGAGATACACCTTTCTCAGGGCAGCTCATACCAGGCATCACACTAGAAGAGTGGGGTGGAGGCTGAATTTATTCCCCCATTATGGCTGTTAGGAATGCTCTGGTGTAGTGAACAACCTGTACAGCTGTGCACAGTTGCCCAGAGGATCACAGTGCTCCAGAGCTGGGAAAGCTTAGCTTTGTCACCCACTGTCTCCTTAGATCTCTACTATCTCGACTCCAAGGTTCCTAGGTACGACACTGTCAAGGGGTGCCTGGATTAGAGCAGATTTTCTGCAATTGGAGAGGCTGAAATCACCTACTCATGGCCGAGGCAGGGCACTGGGGCCCAGAGAGAGCCACGGTCTACCCACGGCCACCCAGGGCTTGCACTCTGCAGCGTCACCAACCATATGCAGGCCTAGCCTCGCACTTCCCTTTCCAGGAAAGCTTGGATGAAGAAATAACAGGAGGGGGCTCTTTCCTTTTGTGCCCTGCAAAATCAGGTTTTGATTACGGTTTATTGCAAGGCTGCATTCCATTCAGAGCTTTTCAGAAGAACATTTCCAATTCTTTGGTTAAAAATAGGCGCCAGCTGAGGTCTCCTTCGTTCCCCCCACCCACATGGTGGAAGGAGCACTCATCTCTGCCACGTCTCACAGTTTGTGAACTTGGACAAGTTACGTAGCCTTCCAGAGGCACAGCTGGAGCAGCTGCAGGATGGGGATGCGGATGTGCCGCCCTTCTTTGGATTTGAGAGGGTGACATGAGACCATGGAGATAAGTAAGTTTATATGGCTGGGACACAGAAGCGGCTGCAGGGCTTCAGTGTGCGCCGTGACTTTGACTCCAAAGGTGATGGTCTAGCAATTTGTCCCAATGTCTTTAAAAAAATTTTTTTTCTAAGTTTTTGAAGTTTTAATTATTATGAGTAAGTCCTTGGTGTCGATATTTATGGGGTACTTGTGAGGCTTTGATACAGGCATACAGTGCATAATATTCAAATCAGGGTAATTGGGGTGTCTATCACCTGAAGCATTTATCTTTTTTCTGTGTGAGGAACATTCCAACTCTACTCTTTTAGTTATTCTAAAATGTACAATAAATTACTGTTAACTGTAGCCATCCTGTTGTGCTACCAAATACTAGATCTTGGCTGAGCGTGGTGGCGCACACCTGTAATCCCAGCACTTTGGGAGGCCGAGGTGGGCAGATCACTTGAGGTCAGGAGTTCAAGACCAGCCTGGCTAACACAGCGAAACTCCATCTCTACTAAAAATACAAAAATTAGCCTGGTGTGGTGGTGCACGCCTGTAATCCCAGCTACTCAGGAGGCTGAGGCATGAGAATTGCTTGAATCTGGGAAGCGGATGTTGCAGTGAGCTGAGATAGCACCACTGCACTCCAGCCCGGGTGACAGAGCAAGACTCGGTCTAAAAAAAAACAAAAAAAACTAGATCTCATTCATTCAATCTAATTGTACTTTATACATCCCCACTTTATCCCCGTCTCCCCATTACCCTTCCCAGCCTCTGGTAACCATCATTCTACTCCCTGACTCCATGAGTCTAATTGTTTCAATTTCAATATCTTTATCATCTTGAAAAAATAAAAGTGGACTGAGCATCATGGATTTAAGAAGACATTTTTGGATCATTTCCTCCTCCAGGAGGACCTCCAAGATTAGCACGATAAGTTCGCCATCCACTGTTACGCTCTGCCTGGCAGAGTGCCTTTTCTTTGTTCTAATACAGCACTATCCAATAGAAATGTAAATGTGAGCCATTTATATAATTTTAAATTCTCTACTAGCCACATTTTTAAAAAAGTAAAGTGAAACCTGGTAAAATTAATTTAATAATAAATTTTATTTAACTCATTATGTCCAGAATATTATTTCAACATGCAAACAACATAAAAATGTTAATGTGATATTTTACATTCTTCTTTTTCATATTGTCTTCCAAACTCAGTGTGTATTTTACAATTATACATTTTCATTTGGACCAACTGCATTTCAAGTGCTCAGTAGCCACATGTGGCTAGCAGCTACCCTGGACATTACAGTTCTAACCCATCCCCTTCTTTCTCTTGCTGGAGAAACCTGTATAAGGGGATTGGACTAGATTAAGGAGAGCAGATCTTTGGCACACTCACTGCTCCCCACTCTTTCTGCGCCTGTGGCAGACATCAATAATGGATAGCCAATCGCTCAGGTTAGTCTTTCTGAGTCTGGACCTGCCTCTGCATCTCCTTATCCCAACAGATATTAGCATATGATGGGAGTAGGAAACCAACTGGACTCTCTTTGCCACACTGAATCTTGATGTTCTCATGGGCTTGTGGCTTTCTGACATCTGAAGACCCAGACTCTGGGTTTTTGCCACTCTGTCTCTTTCATGTCTACAAACCTGCCTCCTGTCTCCTCTCAGTTTTTGTTTAATTCAGACCACAGAGGCCTACCTTCTATTTATTCTCACCAATTTCCAGTGCTTTTTTTTTCAGCTCACTCTTGTCCTACTGAGTCTCAGGGCCAGAGCTGCGCACCAGGCTGAGAGGTGAAGTCAGTTGTGAGCTGCAGCCCATCACCCTGTAGGCATCTTCTTCCACTGGGCCCGGGCCGTGCTAGGGCTCTCAGGCCTTGGGGATGGGCACAGAACACGGATCTCTAATTACAGGTGAAGCTCGAGGATGGCAGTGAGTGGAGACCAGCACCCACAGAAAAATCTGCTACAACCTGCCGTGCCTCAATTACCCAGAATCATGGGGCAGCAACATTTATCCATGTATTTAAATATTTTAGGTAATTGAAAGTTGCCCTTTCTGTATGCAACTTTTTCTTATTTAAATGTCTTAAGATAAAAATTTCCTGACTAGATCATCTATGTCCATGTTTTCTTAGAGAACTCTGAACATTATTTAACCTTCCATGGAGGCCTTAAAATATGAATATTCATTAGTATTCTGTGCTATGATACATTCAGAATGTGTTCAAGACCCACCGAAGTATGGAGGATTGTTTGTCCTTGTGCCAAATGTCCCCAGGGGCTCTGCTTTTTCAAGTATCCTGTCTGCATTGTGAATGTTTCTCTCTCATTTTCCTGCCAGGATGAGGGCTGTCACTTCTGTTTCCTGATGTACATGCTTCTCAAGCATCACCTCGCTCCCCATTCTAATTTGATGCTTCCGTAGGTTTCAAAACCGCATCACTGCAATTGTTAGTATTGTTTGTCAAGTAAGAGTAATTAAGCCCTAAGTAGGATCCCATGGGGGCTCATCTATAAGTAAAAATGTCTGGATAAGGCAACAATTCTTTAGAGTTGTACTTTGAATCGCTGAGGTTACCAAATAATTAAATTTTGAATAACTCACTCTTAGTACTACACAGTTTAACATTTAGATGTTTCTTAAGTGTTCCAATGTATTTTTAAAAATACCCTTTTTTGGCCAGGTACAGTGGCTCACGCCTGTAATCCCAGCACTTTGAGAGGCCAAGGTGGGTGGATCGCCTGAGGTCAGGAGTTCGAGACCAGTCTAGCCAACATAGTGAAACCCCGTCTCTACTAAAAATACAAAAAATTAGCTGGGCCTGGTGGCGGGCACTTGTAATCCCAGCTACTTGGGAGGCTGAGGCAGGAGAATCGCTTGAACCCAGGAGGCGGCGGTTGCAGTGAGCCGAGATTGCACCATTGCACTCCAGCCTGGGCAAAACTCCGTCTCAAAACAAAACAAAACAAAACCCTTTTTTAAGCCACTAGCGTGTAGTAGGTGCACAATAAGTATCCCTGTGGATACACATGGCTAGTTGTAGCTAACTTAGAAGCAGCAGAGGAAGGAGTAGAAGATTGGGCTGGGTTAGTCAGGGAAGGCTTCCTGGAGGAGGCAAGATGAACTATGCTTGGAAGCATAAAAACAAGTGGGATAAGGCAGGCATTCCAGGCAGACCCCATGGCAGAAGGAGGACATGCAGATGATCATATTTCATCAGCTAAGGAGTGAAGAGAAGCAGAATGTGGGAATCTTTTTCCTCCTCCATTAAAGATGTTCAATTTTCCCTTACCTGCTACCTTCTAATGTTCCTGGGTAGAGAGTCCTTCCTAGGAGGGCTTTGGAGACTCTTGGTTATTTCCTGGGATGAACCTTGCTTTTCTCATCTTTAAAGTGTGACTCTCTGGGCTCTGTTGACTTACAGACTGTGGGTGCAAAATGTTTTGGAAACTTTCAAGTGCTCTGAGGATGAAAAGGTAGGAAGCACAGATGAACTTCAATTGAGCATCTGCTCAGTTAAAATCTAGATGAACTCAGTGACTCTGGAGGGGGAAGTGGAGGGATTGTTTGAGGCCAGACATTTGAGACCAGACTGGGCAACACAATGAGACCCTATCTCTACAAAAATAAAAAAATACATAACCGGGTGTGTTGGCACATACCTGTAGTCCCAGCTTCTAGGAAGGCTGAGGTGGGAGGATGTTTTGAGCCCAGGAGTTAGAAGCTGCAGTGAGGAGCTTCTTCCAATGCACTCCAGCCTGGGTGACAGAACAAAACCTTGACTCTGAAATAATAATAATAATAATAATAATAAAAAAATTTAGAGGACATTTTAACTACACAAGGAACACATGACTACATGCAGATATATATAGATATACATGTTACAGCTTAGAATTAAGTTCTTTGTGACCACTATCCCCTAGTCCTGGTGCCATACTTCATTCCCTGGAGACAATTATTGTGAATTCTTTCAGACATGCTTCTGCATATTTACACACGTGTATATGTATTTGTGGAAATATATGGCATTGTTTTGATTTGATTTGATGTAAACAGACTCAAAGTACTCACGTTTCTTTCCCCCCCAACAACGTGTCTTCATGCTTGTCCCTTGTGAGAACCCGTAGAAACAACATGATTCTTTTTATTGGCTGCACAACGTTCCATGGAATGGCTATGCTGTGGTTTAATTAGACATTCCCCATCTGACGAACATTTAGGTTGTTCTCATTTTGTCAACTTTGGTAAATCACATGGTGTGACCGTCTGGGCACATACCTCTTTAGACACGGTGGTGAGTGTTTCCTGGGGTAGCCACGAAGAGGTGTAATTGCTGGGTCACTGGATCTCTGTGTGTTTTAAGTTTCAGGAGCCACTGCCAAGTTGCCTTCCAAAATAGCCATACTGTCTTCTACTTCTACCAGTCCTGGCTGATGGGAACCATTTATCTTCATCCTCACCAGCTCCTGACTTTAGTACTGCACCTAGACCTGGGCAAGAGGGGTCGCTGCTCCGAGCCTGCACCTCAGAAGGCCTGGCTCTGTCCACCCTGAGCCACTCCCCACCCCAGGGGGTGAGGAAGCTTTGCAGCCAAGGGTTGAGGTGTCTGTGGGGTCAAGTGGAGGTGACCCATTTCTAGATGATACTCCAGGTACCTGGGGCTTCTGAATTCTTTGCTCAAATGGCCCTTCCAGGGCCTGTATGGCTGACTTCTGTGAGTCTGTCCCCCAAAAGGTGAGCTATACACCTGGTGAAGGCACCCTTGATCCCAGGGGTGGCCAACAGGCAGCTGTTATGGAGGGAGAAGTGTGTGGAAAGAGCTGGAGGGTGCGCTGCAGAGTCCACACACAACTCTGAGGGGTCCCCTTCCACGAGGGGCAGAGTCAGGAGAGAGAGACATCAGGAAGTGGAGGCTTCTTGTCCTTTGTGCCACAGATGTTTGGGGTGGTTGTGATATTATCAGCCTTTGCAGTTTGGGTCCAGCATTTTCCAGCACATTTAATCCTGTCAGCTCGTGTGTGTGTTTGTGTGCGTGTGTGTGTGTATTTGTTGTGGGGGGGTGTTGGGAAAAGGGGCTCAGCTTTTCCTTTTTACAGAGAGGGTAAGAAATGTGCCCCAGAATGTGACAACACATGATCCAAGCCCAGGCCTGTCTTTACTGCGAAGCCCTGCTCGGTCCTCACCCCGAGGTTGGACTTATCCTCATCTTTTCTCCTCCACCCTAATTTTTAACCGATGTGATCCTCTCTTTAGAAAGGGCTTCCCTTCCTCTCCATCCCCAGGAAAGGGGGAGCATAGTGTCTCGGGTGGTGGTGCCTACTGGGACTCATTTTGAGCCAACATGGAGCACTTCAAACGCGCTCCTTCCCAAGAAGCACACTGTTCATGGAAATTAAACACTCTGAGCAGGTGTCTGTCCATGCCTGCCCCTCTCAGGAGAGAGGGGCAGGGACTGCATGGGAGCTGAAATAAATGGTGGCAAATAAACCTCGGCACCCGTTAGCGACAGCTCCCAGAATTTAAAGGGACACGTAATCACTCCTAATACACATCCGGGGCAGAGAGCCAGATGTCGCTGATGGCGAAGAGCATTGTTGGCAGGGAGAGGAGCGTGCAGCCCCCAGCTCCCACTGACAGAGCTTGGGCCCGCTTCCCAAAGCATCTGTGTACTAACCCCAGCATCTTCCTCTTCCTCACTGTTATCATCACCAAGATGCCTACTTTGTCCAGACTCAGATCTGTGCCCCTGGCTCCATGCAAGGAGTCTTCATGGACCAGCTCATTTAAGCCTCTCAATAACCCAATCCAGTGGGAGCTGTCATCCCCATTTTGCAGATGAAGAAACTGAGGCTCAGAGAGGAGGAAAACTTGCCCAAAATTGTACACTAATTTGGGGAAGAGATGGAAAGCTTGGTGTATGCAGGCTTGGGCTGCTCATTGTCCCAGGGCACATTGTCCTGGGAGGGTGAGCACATGGGAGCAGGGGCTGGTCACCCTAAGCTGCCCCCTCAGCCTCAGTATAACTTGCTTAAGGAGGGTGGGGCTGGGACATGCCAACCCCTGGGTCCTGTCTCTCCTGCAGCACAGTGTTGCTGGGACAGACCGGGTAGGAAGCCCTAGAGAATCATATTCACCTGGGCCTATTAGGGGACATGGTTGTTAGCTCTGACCTGTGACTTGAGGGGCTCTGGGAAGGGGCTTCTGCTTCTGGATATCTTTCCTGAGGGATCCCAAGGGGGCACCAATGCCAAGTTGCTCTACTGGGTTAATCATCGCTTCTCTTGGCTCCTCTTTGAAAAAGCAATGAGTCTGGAGACACGGTTAGTCTCTGCCACCTTGCAGTGAGTTAATTTGCATTGACAGAAGCCTGAGGGCAGCATGGAAGCTCCTGGGCCCCTGGTAAAAACGAGGATGTGTGCCAAGAGGAAGGGAACAGACCTTCCCTGCATGTCTGGAAAGAAGGCTCTCAAGTTTGCCTTGGGGGCCGAAGCCCAAGCAGTAACAGTCACAAAAGACCACCTATTATATGATCCCATTAACAGGAAATGACCAGAAGAGGCAAAGCCACAGACACGGAAGTAGATTCGTGGTCGCCAGGGCCTGGGGAAAGTGGAATGAGGGGAGGAGTACGGGGGCAGAGATGAGGGGGGCATGGCTAAGGGGAATGGAGTTTCTTTTTGGGGTAATAAAAATCTAAAATTGATTGTCGTGATATGAATATACCAAAAACCTTTAAATTGTATACTTTAAATGGGTGAATCGCATAGCATGTGAATTACATCTTAATAAAGCTGTCATATTTAAACAGCCCTAACCCTCTCCTCTTCCGTCTATACACACACACACACACACACACACACACACACACACACACACACACACACAAACACACACACATAGAGCCCACAGGGCTAGGCCTGGGTAGTCTCAGGCGATTAGATCAGCTCAGGATGAACCCTGTTTTATGCAGATATTAGGACCAGTGGCTGAAGCAGTACTCAAAATAGGTCTAGAAGGACAAGAAGAACAGCTCAGAGAAATTAGGTTCAGGAAGCAGGAGTGGCTCACCCAAAGCTACGCAGCACATATGGACTTGAACTTGGACCCCATCTATGTACCCGCAGCTCTTCCTGTGACCCCAGGTGGGCCTGCCTCACCTGGACCTCAACCAAGACCTCATTAGATTTCCCACCAGGTACTTAAGCCTAAAAGAGCCAAGGGTGTCACGCCAGTAAGCCCAGCACATTGGAAGGCCAAGGTGGGCGGATCACTTGAGGTCAGGAGTTCGAAACCAGCTTGGCCAATGTGGGGAAACCCCATCTTTACTAAAAATACAAAAATTGGCCGATTGTGGTGGCAGGAGCCTGTAATTCCAGCTACTTGGGAGGCTGAGGAAAAGAGTTGCTCGAACCTGGGAGACGAAGGTTGCAGTGAGCCGAGATCGCGCCACTGCACTCCAGCCTGGGAGATAAGAGTGAAACTCTGTCAAAAAAAAAAAAAAATGCCATGGGTAGGGAGAGGGGTCCATTCCAGCATTCCAGGCCTTGCTTCTTAGGAACGGGGTCAGTACAATGCCGATCTCCATCTTGCCAATGGAAAGAAAGGCAGCTTCGAGGAGTGAAAAGTTCCCACTCTGGCAGGGGCAGAGGTAGAATTTGGCAGGGGCAGAGGTAGAATTTGAACCCAGGTCCCTCGGCCTCTAAATGTCATGCAGCAGAGTTTCCTCTCTGGCCAAGAGGTTGCAGGCAGTGGCCTGCGTCACGCCCTCCCTTCCCCGGGCACTGCACCCACTCCGGGCCCTTTTGAAGGTGGCTATAAGTGGCTCCCGTTGGCGTGTGGGCCTGTCTGGGTGGGTAAGTAAGTGGCTTTGGTGACGAACGGGATGTCGGCCCTTCCCCCGTGCTATGTTTAGAAAGGTGTCAGCCCCAAAGTGGCCCGTCTCGGCGGTCACCCAGAAGGTAATCACGAGTGTCTCTAAAACCCCATCTGTGACCTTTCTGCACTCAGACACGGGGGCCGCCAGCATCACCGGGCAGTGTGCGATGCGGCATGGCCCGCTGGCTTGTCCGGGAATGTGGCGTCCCCCAGACTGGGCAGAGGAGGAACCCAGGCAGAGGGCAGAGGCTCGGGAAAATGGGGCGTTCCCTCCCATTCCTTCTCCAAGTACTCCTGAGGTCCTATGAGAGAACTCATGTGGAGAAGCCTCGGTGATCTTGTGTGCTGGCACACACACTCATGCACACAGACTCACACACACATTCACCGCCCAACACACATAAACCATACTCTCATACTTACACACACCACACACACACACACACTCATACACTCATCACACACCCACACACACACCACTCACATGCTCATACACACGCTCACACACACCACGCTCACACATACACATATTCACACATACCACACTCACATACACACTCGTATTCATACACACTCATGCGCACACAACACAATGCACTCACACACACCATATACACACACACACCACACATACGCATGCACACATGCTTATACACTCACCACACATACACCACACACACACCAAACTCACACACCGCACTCACATACATACGACACACAGTCACACATCACACACACCAGTCACATACTCACACCCCACACACACTCACACCCCACACACACACCAAACACACATACACACACCACACACACTCACCACACTCACACATACACATACACACACCACAGTCTCACACTGACCAAACTCACACCACACTCACATACACGCACACCACACACCCACACACACTCGCACCACACACCCACATACCACACATACACCCCACACACACCCATACATTCACACACACCACACATTCACTCACACATCACACACTCATACACTCACAAACACCACACACCACACACACACATCACAACACTCTCACACACACATACACACACCACACTGCCACTTATGACACACTTACACACACACCTGTATGCTCACACATGTTCCCAGGCACACTCTCATACACTCTCACCCATACACTCACACCCATGTGCTCACACACATGCGCACACACACACCCCCACACAGTCTTTAGGCATCAGTTTCCTCATAGAGTGGGGAAAGGAGGAGTTTAAAGTACATTTTACACAGCCCTTAGTATCTCAAATGCTTGATTAAAATTTCTTCTTTTTATATGGTTGGAAGTATTTAAGAAACTATAATAAAAACAAAATTTTTATTTACAAAAAATAAAAACAAGCAAAAGGTATGTTAAGGTATGTTTCCCAATTTAAACCTACTGGAGATCATTGAGGCATTATTATGTGCTGCCAAATAACTTTTTTTGGGGTGTGTGTGGGGGTGCAGGCTTTAAAATAATATTTCTCCATGTCTTTGTTTAATTGATGTATATACTGAGATTACAAATTGAATTGTTAATAGAAGAATAAAACTGTTATCACTTGAAACTATTTTTCAGTGTGAATCAGAATGTGCTTCTGAATGAAGTGCAGGAAAAACAAATACTGAAGGGAATTACATATTGAGGCTGGCAAGACCCTGAATGAGGCCTTTGAAATTCCTAGTTTCAAATTTTGGCATTCATCCAGGGGTGTTATTCAAAATACTATAGCACTAGAAATGTCAAATTAGAATGGATTATGGCCTCCATGCTGCAGCTGGGTCCCAGGGTCCCTATCCTGTGCCAGGCATGAACCATTGAGATGCTGGGTTGTAGAGATGAGGGTTGATGGGGGAAGAAGTGAGGGTTTAAAATAGATGGGGCACTGGGGGCTAGTTACGAATCAGGTATGGAAGTATTTAAATATTTTAGCAACTAGCAAGCTGTATCAGCACACACGAGGTGAATGTCCAGCCTGCATTCATTCAAGTGACTTTTCTTTTCTTAGTGATCTTTATCCTTATGAGTAATCTCTGCCTTTTAATTAGAGTGTTTAGTCCATCAACGTTTAATGAAAGTATTGGATATAGTTCGATTGAGTTCTACCACTTTATTATTTGTTTTCTCTGACCCTTGGGTTTTGTTTTCCTGTCCCTCTTTTTGCCTTCTTTTGTGTTATTCAAATATATTTTTAGAATTCAATTTTAACTTATCTATTGTCTTTTTAGCTATATATACCTTTTAGAATCACATTTTTAAGTGGTTGCTCTAAGCATTTCAACATAATCCTTGCTATTGTGTAAATGTTTCTGCCGCCTCAAAATCCATATGTTGATATCCCAATCCCCCAAAAGATGGTATTAGGAGGTGGGGCTTTGAGAGGTAATTAGATCATGAGGGTTCTGCCCTCATGATCAGGATTAGTGTCCTTATAAAAAAGACCTCTGAGGAAGATCACTTGAGCCTA
Source organism: Homo sapiens (assembly GCF_000001405.40). Lineage (NCBI taxonomy): Eukaryota > Metazoa > Chordata > Mammalia > Primates > Hominidae > Homo > Homo sapiens. The sequence goes on from NC_000016.10 coordinate 55,021,487, forward strand.
GGAGGTTGAGGCTGCAGTGAGCTGTGTTCATGCCACTGCACTCTAGCCTGGGAAACAGAGCCAGATCCTGTCTCAAAAAAAAAAAAATTATTGAATGTTTTTGCTCACCATTATGTAGGCATAGCTACTGCCCAACACATGGTAGGACTACAGGCTGTGTGGGAGCCGGGTGAAGCCTGTGACTGCCGGCTTTCCCCTACTTTTCTTGTGTCCTGTATGACTCAGCAGGGCAACCATAATCTCCCTGGAAATATAACCACATTGGACTTGAAACCACACCCCCAATCCCCACAACAGCTGCAGCAAGCCCCGCCCAAGGAGAGACAGAGCTCAGACATACTTATCCCTGCCCCCAGCTGGTGGTCTTTCTCTACCCACCCTGGTAGCCAAAGACAAAGGTCATAATCTCTTGGGAGCTCTATGGCCCTGCCGACCAGCTAAGAAACCTGAATAAGAAACTTGACCAGGTGTCCCTAGGGCAAGTTTGCATCCTCCCTATAGGACCACAGCTGATGGGCTTTTGAAAGCGCCACCTCCTGGCTGCAGGCTACTCAATACCAAACCAGTGCTCTAAACAAAAACACAACCAAGGACCCTTACAGAGTCCACTTCACCCCCCTGTTAACTCCAGGGGAGCAGGTGCTGGTATCCACGGATTAATTAGACCTCAATCTAACTATATTCAATACTTTTATCCACAGATACCAGCACCTGCTCCAGTGGAGGTAGCAGGGGAGTGCAAGACCCGAAGACCGATCACATCACAGGACTCTTTGCCGACACTCCCCAGTACCAGCCTGGAGACTGGTAGCTCCGCTGGGTGGGATTCAGAAAAGCAAAAACAATCACTACAGTTTGGTTCTCAGGAAGCCCCATTCCTAGGGGAAGGGGGAGAACACAACATCAATGGAGCACCTCGTGGGACTAAAGAATCTGAACAGCAGCCCTTGAATCCCAGATATTCTCTCTGACATGTCTACCAAAATGAGAAGGAATCAGAAAAACAATTCTGGTAATATGACAAAACAAGGTTCTTTAACACCCCCAAAAGACCAGCTAACCAGTAATGGATCCAAACCAAGAAGAAATCTGTGAATTGCCAGAAAAGGAATTCAGGAGGTCAATTATTAAGCTAATCAAGAAGGCACCAGAGAAAGGTGAAGTCCAAATTAAAGAAATAAAAAATAATACAGAATATGAATGGGAAACTCTTCAGTGAAATAGCATAAATGAAAAAACATTCACAGCTTCTGGAAATCAAGGACATATTTAGGGAAATGGAAAATGCACTGGAAAGTCTCAGGAATAGTATCAAACAAGCAGAAGAAAGAACTTCAGAGCTCAAAGACAAGGCTTTTGTATTAATCCAATCCATCAAAGACAAAGAAAAATGAATTTTAAAAAATGAACAAAGCCTCCAATAAGTTTGGGACTATGTTAAACATCCAAACCTAAGAATAATTGCTGTTCCTGAGGAAGAAGAGAAATCTAACAGTTTGGAAAAAAAAAATATATATATATATTTTATATATATTATATATAATACGTATTATATATATATTTTATATAATACGTATTATATATAATATATATATATATATATATATAGACGAAGTCTCACTCTGTTGCCCAAGCTGGAATGCAGTGGTGCGATCTCGGTTCACTGCAACCTCCACCTCCTGGATTCAAGTAATTCTCCTGCCTTAGCCTCCCAAGCAGCTGGGACTACAGACACACGCCACCATGCCCGGCTAATTTTTGTATTTTTAGTGGAGATAGGGTTTCACTATGTTGGCCAGGCTGGTCTTGAACTCCTGACCTCATGATCCACCCACCTTGGCCTCTCAAAGTGCTGGGATTACAGGCATGAGCCACCAATAGCAGCCTGGAAAACATGTTTGAGGGAGTAATTGAGGAAAACTTCCCTGGCCCTGCTAGAGAGCTAGACATCCAAATATAAGAAGCTCAAAGAACATTGGGGAATTCATTGCAAAAAGATCTTCATCTAGACAAATAGTCATCAGGTTATCTAAAGTCAAGATGAAGGAAAGAATCTTAAGAGCCATGAGGCAAAAGCATCAGGTAACCTATAAAGAAAACCTGTAAGATTAACAGCAGATTTCTCAGCAGAAACCGTACATGCTGAAGGGATTGTGGTCCTATTTTTAGCCTCCTTAAACAAATCAATTGTCAGCCACGAATTTCGTATCCACTGAAACTAAGCTTTATAAATGAAGGAAAGATACAATCTTGTCCAGACAAACAAATGCTGAGAGAATTTGCCACTACCAAGCCAGCACTACAAGAACTGCTACAAGGCACTCTAAATCTTGAAACAAATCCCCAAAATACACCAAAATAGAACCACTTTAAGGCATAAATATCACCGGACCTATAGAACAATAACACATTTTTTAAAAAGGGTATTTGGGCAACAAATAGCATGATAAATAGAATAGTACCTCACACCTCAATATTAACATTGAATTTTAAATGGCCTAAATGCTCTACTTAAAAGATACAGAAAGGCAGAATGGATAAGAATTCACCAGCCAAATTTCTGCTGTCTTCAGAAGACTCAACAACACATAAGGACTCACATAAACTTAAGGTAAAGGGGTGGAAAAAGCTATTCCATGAAAATGGACATCAAAAGCAAGCAGGTGTAGCTATTCTTATATCAGACAAAACAAACTTTAAAGCAACAGCAGTTAAAAAAAACAAAAAGGGACATGATATAATGATAAAAGGTCTAGTCCAACAGGACAATATCACAATTCTAAATATATATGCACCTAACACTGGAGCTCCCTAATTTATAAAACAAGTACTACTAGACCTAAGAAATGATATAGATGGCAATGCAATAATAGTAGGGGGCTTTAATACTCTACTGACAACGCTAGACAGGTCATCAAGACAGAAAGTCAACAGAGAAACAATGGACTTTATACCCTACAACAAATGGGCTTAACAGATATTTACAGAACATTCTATCCAACAACTGCAGGATATATATTCTATTCATCAGCACATGGAACATTCTCCAAGATAGACCATATAATACCAAAACAATGCTCAGTAAATTTAAGAAATTATATCAAGTACTCTTTAAGACCACAGTAGAATAAAATTGGAAATCAGCTCCAAAAGGAGCCAAGACCATGCAATACCTGGAAATTAAATAACCTGCTCCTGAATGATTGTTGAGTCAACAATGAAATCAAGATGAAAATTAAAAGTTTATTTGAACTGAATGATAATAGTGACACAACCTATCAAAACCTCTGGGGTACAGCAAAAGTGGTGCTAAGAGGAAAGTTCATAGCATCAAATGCCTATATCAAAAAGTCTGAAAGAGCACAAATAGAGAATCTAAGGTCACACTTCATGGAACTGGAGGAACAAAAACAATCCTAATCCAAACCAGCAGAAGAAAACAAATAACGAAGATTAGAGCAGAAATAAATGAAATTGAAAAAAATACAAAAGATGAATGAAACAAAAAGCTAGTTCTTTGAAAAGATAAATAAAATTGATAGACCATTAGCAAGATTAACCAAGAAAAGAAGGGAGGAAATTCAAATAAGCTCAATTAGAAACAAAACAGGAGATATTACAACTGATACCACAGAAATACAAAAGATTATTCAAGGCTACAGTGAACACCTTTACATAAACTCTAAAACCTATGAGATTAATAAATTCCAGGAAATATGCAACCATCCTAGATTAAACCCGGAAGATATAGAATCTCTGAACAGACCAATAACAAGCAGTGAGATTGAGATGGCAATAAAAAAATTGCCAACAAAAAAAAGTCCAGGACAAGACAGATTCACAGCTGAATTCTACCAGACATTCAAAGAAGATTTAGTACCAATCCTATTGACACTATTCCAAAAGATAGAGAAAGAGGGAATCTTCCCTAAAACATTGTGTGAAGCCAGTATCACCCTGATACCAAAACCAGGGAAGAAAATAACAAAAAAAAGGAAACTACAGACCAATATCCCTAATGAACATAGATGTAAAAATCCTCAACAAAATACTAGCAAACCAAATCCAACAGCGTGTCAAAAAGAGAATCCACCATGATCAAGTGGGTTTCATTACCATGGATGCAGGGGTGGTTTAACATACCTAAGTCAATAAATGTGATACACCACATAAACAGAATTATTAATAAAAACAAAAATTACATGATCATTTCCATAGATACAGAAAAAGCATTTGACAAAATCTAGCATCTGTTTATCATTAAAACCCTCAGCAGAATCAGCATAGAAGGGACATACCTTAAGGTAATAAAAGTCATCTACAACAAACCCACAGTCAACATTGTATTGAACAGGGAAAAGTTGAAAGCATTCTCCCTGAGAACTGGAACAAGACAAGGATGCTAACTTTCACCACTTTTATTCAACATTGTACTGGAAATCCTAGTCAGAGCAATCAGAGAAGAGAAAGAAATAAATGGCATCCAAATCAATAAAGAGGAAGTCAAACTGTTGCTGTTTGCGGATGATATAATCATATACCTAGAAAACCCTAAAGACTCATTCAAAAAGCTTCTAGAACTGGTAAGTGAATTCAGCAATGTTTCAGAATACAAAATTAATGTACATAAATCAGTAGCTCCGCTATATACCAACAGCAACCAGGCTGAGAATAAAATCAGAACTCAGCCCCTTTCACAATAGCTGCAAAAAATAAAATAAAATACTTAGGAATATACCTAACCAAGGAAGTGAAAGCCCTCTACAAGGAAAAGTACAAAACACTGATAAAAGAAATCATAGAGGACACAAACAAATGGAAACACACCCCATGCTCATGGATGGATAGAATCAATATTGTGAAAATGACCATAGTGCCAAAAACAATCTACAAATTCAATGCAATTCCCATCAAAATACCACCATCATTCTTCACAGAACTAGAAAAAACAATCCTAAAATTCATATGGAATCACAAAAGAGCCCGCACAGCCAAAGCAAGACTAAGGAAAAAATAAAAAATAAAAACCCAAAGAAACAAATCTGGAGGCATCACATTACCTGACTTCAAACTATACTATAAGGCCATAGTCACCAAAACAGCATGGTACTGGTATAAAAATAGGCACATAGACCAATGGAACAGAATAGAAAACCCAGAAATAAAGCCAAATACTTAGAGCCAACTCATCTTCAACAAAGCAAGCAAAAACATAAAATGGGGAAAGGACACCGTATTCAACAAATGATGTTGGAATAATTGGCAAGCCACATGTAGAAGAATAAAACTGGATCCTCATCTCTCACCTTATACAAAAATCAACTCGAGGCCAGGTGCAGTCGCTCATGCCTGTAATCCCAGCAATTTGGGAGGCTGAGGTGGTTGGATTACCTGAGGTCAGGAGTTCGAGACTAGCCTGGCCAACATGGCAAAACCCCATTTCTACTAAAAATAAAGAAAAAAAATTAGCCAGGCATGGTGGCATGTGCCTGTAATCCTAACTACTCAGGAGGCTGAGGCAGGAGAATAGCTTGAACCCAGGAGGCAGAGATTTCAGTGAGCTGAGATCATGCCACTACACTCCAGCCTGGGCAACAGAGCAAAACTCTTCTCAAAAAAAAAAAAAATCAACTAAAGATGGGTCAAAGACTTAAATCTAAGACCTGAAACCATAAAGATTCTAGAAGTTAACATGGGAAAAACCCTTCTAGACATTGGCTTAGGCAAAGACTTCATGACCAAGAGCCTAAAAGCAAATGCAACAAAAATGGAGATAAATAGATGAGACTTAATTAAAGTAAAAAGCTCTGCACAGCAAAAGAAATAATCAGCAGAGTTAACAGACAACCCACAGGGTGGGAGAAAATCTTCACAATCTATACATCCCACAAAGGACTAATATCCAGAATCTATAAAGAACTCAAACAAATCAGCAAGAAAAAAAAATCCCATCAAAGAGTGGACTAAGGACATGAATAGACAATTCTCAAAAGAAGATATACAAATGTCCAAGAAGCATATGGGAAAATGCACAACATTACTAATTATCAGGAAAATGCAAATCAAACCACAATGTGATACCACCTCACTCCTGCAAGAGTGGCCATAATAATAATAATAAAAAATAGATGTTGGCATGGATGTGATGAAAAGAGAACACTTTTACACTGCTGGTGGGAATGTAAAGTAGTACAACCATTACAGAAAACAACGTGGAGATTCTGACACTTGGTCTTAGCCAAAAGGCTGATAAGTGATGGAGATTCTTTAAAGAACTAAAAGTAAGTCTACCATTTGATCCAGCAATCCCACTACTGGGTATCTACCCAGAGGAACATAAATCATTATGCAAAAAAGATACTTGCATATGCATGTTTATAGCAGCACAATTTGCAATTGCAAAAATATGGAACCAGTCAGAATGCCCATCAATTAACAAGTGGATGAAGAAAATGTGGTGTATATATATATATACACACACCGTGGAATACTACTCATCCATTAAAAAGAATGAAATAATGCCATTCGCAGCAATTTGGATGGAATTGGAGACTATTATTCTAAGTGAAGTAATTTAGGAATGGAAAAACAAACGTCATATGTTCACAGTCATGTGTGGAAGCTAAGCTATGAGGACTCAAAGACATAAGAATAATACATGGGACTTTGGGGACTCAGGGGAAAACGGTGGGAGATGGCAAGGGATAAAAGACTACACATTGGGTACAGTGTACACTGTTCAGGTGATGGGTGCACAAAAATCTCAGAAATTACCACTAAATAACTTATTTGTGTAACAAAACATCACGTTTCCCAAAGATCTATTGAAATAAAAAATAAAAAATTTAAAAAATAAAAATGAATAAAAGCATTTTAATTAAAGAAAAAAAAAGAGACCCCCAAGAGCTAGTTAGCTCCTTCCACTGGGAGGACATGGGGAGAAGGCACAATCTATGAACCAGGAAACAGGCTGTTACCAGAATCTGGTGGTGCCTTGATCTTGGATTTCCCAGCCTCTAGAACTGTGTGAAATAAATATTTGCTGTTTATAAGCCACCAGTTTATGATATTTTGTTATGGCATTCTTAAAGAACTTAGATAATCCTTACACCTCCACATGCAATGAGTATTAATATGTACCACTTGATATGAGACATAAAAACTTTGCAATCATATAAATCCATTTACTGCCCCTCCACCACTGTATCCAGCCATCCTGTATGCTATTCTTATATTATATTTACATTTATAAACTCTACACTACAATATCATATTTTTTGCTTTAAAGTACTTTATGTATGTTAAATAAATTAAGAGAAAAAAATAGCCTTGTATATTTACCCAGATATTTACCATTTACTATGCTCTTCATTTGCCTTTGGCCTGAAGAGTTCCTTTTCACATTTTTTTGTAGTACAGATCTGATGAGGACACATTCTCTTAATTTTCTTTTATCTGAAATGTCTCTATTTCACCTTCATTATTAAAAGATGTTTTCACTGGATATAGAATTCCGAGTTATTTTTTATCTTCCAGTACTTTGAAGACACAATCTTTTGGTCTTTATATCTCTGACAAGAAGTTAGTGAAATTTCAAATGATGTCCCTGTATGTAATGTTATTTTTTTTTCTAGCTTGGTGCATGATTTTCTTTCTATTTTTTAATTTTCAAGAGTTTGGCTATGATGTGCCCAGGTGTGGGTTTCTTGGTACTTATCCTGCTTGGTATTCACGGAGGTTCTTAAATCTGTAAATTTATATCTTTCATTAAATTTGGGAAAACTTCAGCCATCATTTCTTCAAAACATTTTTTTCTGCTTTATTATCTCTCTCCTTTACTTCTGGGACTCCAATTACATGTACTATAGGCTTTCCCTTAGGATCCACATTATTTTTTTAATCTTTGTTCTTTCTGTTGTTCAGAGACAAACTTCTGCTGCTAAGCCTAATAGATTAATTTTTATTCCAGACACTGTATTTTTCAGCTCCAGAATTTCTATCATTTTTTAAAAATAGTTGTATTTCTCTGCTAAGATTTCATTCACTGTGAAGCTATTTTTCTTTTGGTCCGTGAGCATAGTTATAATAGTGGCTTTTACATTTCTGTTATTAATTCTAACAGCTGAGTCATGTCAGCATTGGTCTCCATTGATTATCTTTTTGCTCAAGAATGGGTCACAAAATTCTTGTTCTCTCTTTTATGTTGAATGATTGTGGGTTGTACTGGGGAAGTTATGAATGCTATGTTGTGAAGATTCTGGACTCTGTTATATTTCTCTGAAGATTATTGATTTTGATTTGCTTGTTTTGGCAAGCAATTACCTTGGTTAGACTTAAACCACAAACTCTATCTTTTGGGAAGCAAGTCAATTCTCAGTTTAGTTATTTTATCATTAGCTGGATTTATTCCCATGCATGCATATTTTAGGGGTCAAGCCAAGATTTAGGCAGAGTTAATATGCAGAGTTTGGGGGCTCTCTCCTTAGCTCACTCCTTTCCAAGGAAGGTTCTCCTTTGCCTTCCAGTAACTCTGCTTGTTTCAAACATTGTTATTTGATTCTTCAGGCCAGAAAGGCTCTGGGTTTTCTATCAAAGTTTTAGCTATATCTTGTGAGGTTGATTTCAGCCTGCTGCCTGGCTAAAAGCTATAGAAGTGGGTAACTCACCCTGTGTCATTCTCTTCTCTTAAGGGTTGGCTCTCTAAGATCTGCCTTATTTATTCACTCTCTGATCCCTTCAGGTCAATGGTGTTTTTGTATTTTGTGCAGTTTATAGCTGTTGTCTGCAGGAGGGTCAGGCCTGGTAAGAACTTACTTGGTTATGCTGAAAGTGGAACTAACATTCAGTGTAGTGATTAACTTAATAATTAAATGTATGAATTTAGGTTGGGGGTGATAGCTCATGCCTGTAATCTTAGCAGTTTGGGAGGCTGAGGCAGGCAGATCGCTTGAGCTCAGGAGTTCAAGATCAGCATGGGCAACATGGTGAAACCCTGTCTCTACAAAAAAGTACTAAAATGAGCCAGGTGTGGTGGTGTGCACCTGTAGTCCCAGCTACTTGGGAGGCTGAGGTGAGAGGATCACTTAAGCCCAGGAGGTTGAGGCTGCAGTGAGCTGTCATTGTGCTATTGCACTCCAGCTTGGGTGACAGAGTAAGACCCTGTCTGAAAAAAAAGTACGAATTACAATTTATAAGGTTGCCTATTAAACAGCCTCATCTATTTTTTTATGTTGAACTTCTCCCACAGATTATTTTTCAATTAAAAAATAAGATTTTATTGTTTACCAAGTTGAGGTTTCTAGGCAATTATGTTTCCTGGGGTTCTCACCATTCCCAGCCTTGACTCTAGCATGCTGAGATTGGTGTACTTGGTACAGTACCAGACCCTGGGAACCAGAGAGCCAGTTTTGTTCTTTCATAGCAACCCTTGTCATCTGCAGAGGCATTGTTAATTTTCCCAAAGTCCCCACATCTATAGTTGCATCTCAGCTTCATGATAGCGTCAGAAGTCTAGGCGGGCAGATGGTATGTCCTTTTGACAGATAAGGAGATTGAGGACAATGGTGAGAATTAACTTCCCTAAGAAGGCTGAAACCCGGGACTCCCAGCTTCAGCCTATTGTCTTTCTCCCAGACCTCACTGGGCAGAATGACAGAGAGGTTTGGGTTATCTCCCATTCATGATGAGATGCCAGGGGCAATGCCTGGATCCCATTCATGGCAAGGAAGTCCTCCAGGCTATCCTTCAAACTCCGCCTCTCTTGTCACTTGACAGTGCGGGTGGGGCAGGCTGTTTCACCTCTCCAAGTGTTATTACCTCCCCTGCAGAAGAATGAATTAAGTTGTAAGATTTCTGTGTTTCTTTTAGTATTTTAACAGTTTCTATTTTCTAATATTATATGCTTAATTTTATCTGGCTAACTAGACTGCATTCTTTTTGATGTCTCTGCCTCTTTCATTCATTCATTCAGCCATTTAACAGAAATTTTCTGAGCACCTAGCGTGGTAGGAACTGCCCTATAAGCCAGGACATGGGCCTGAACAGTTGCAGTCCCTGCCTTGTTAGAGGCCCCAGTGTAACGGGAGAGACAGATAACAGGTGGCTTATGAACCCATTCAGCAAGTGCTATGACAGAGTAATACAGGGGGCTATGGGAGCAGCAAGAAGGGAGCCCAACCCAGGTTTTGGGCTGAGAGTGTATGCAGTGACGAGAGAAGACATCTGGACACGGTGACACCAGGTGAGCAGTAATAATAACAACAGTAATAATAACTCACATTTATTGACATCTCCCATTAGCATGGCCAACCACCTCCGTTTGCCCTGGACTGATTTGTTTCCTGGGATATGGGACTTTCAGCGCTAAAATCTAGAAAGTCCCATGTGTCAGACACAGTTGTAAGCACATTACATATATTAACCCATTTCATCCACACAATAACTCTACTCGATGGTGTTATTATTATCCCCATTTTACGTAGGAGGAACCCAAGGCAGAACGAGGTTTGTAACCTGACTAGGACATCCAGCCAGAGCTAGGCAGAGCCACGATCTGAACCCAGAGTGCGTGCTTTTGAACGTGACCACACGTTGAGTGGGTACTAGCTGCATGGAGGCAAGAGAAGACAGGGGTTAAGGGCACTGGCTTCGGTGATTATGGCTCAGGAGCTGCATGAGTGAGACACCCTTTCTCATTTTCCCCATCTGTGAAACGGGGATCCTCCCAGCACCTACTTTACAGGTTGTTGGGTTTACTTAATAAGCTATGGTGTGCTATGCACTTAGTATAGGGCTTGACTCATTGGACATGGTTGTAAGTGATCATTCTTGTCATTATTACAGGGAAGGGGATGGGAGATTTTGAGGATGAGGGAACAGCCTGTAGGGAAGCTCAGAAGTGAGAGAGAAATGGGGAAATGAGAAAGTTCTCTCCGTCTGGGCACAGAAGACTGGGGAGACAGAGGCAAGAGCTGGGGTCAGACATGACTTTAATTTTCCAAACCTGGTTTGGCAGGGCTGGGACTAGGGTGAAGCAAGTGAGGTGGCAGCCTTGGGTGGAAAATTTAAGAGCATGTTAGAACGCTCAGTAATTAAAATAAGTACTATTTTAATGTAATATCTTAAAAAATCAAAATTGATGCAAAAAAAAAAATCCATGATGAACAGAATATCAACATTTTAAAGACAAGATCTGTCCCTGAGCTTGCACAACTTGCATGACTTGGCTTTGCTGTCCTTACTCTAATCCCAACCCTGTCTGATCCTCCTTTATTTAAAATGCCCATATTCTGGCTAGGCATGGTGGCTCATGCCTGTAACCCCAGCACTTTGGGAGGCTGAGGCAGGCGGATCTCTTGAGCTCAGGAGTTTGAGACCAGCCTGGCCAACATGGTGAAACCACGTGTCTACTAAAAATACAAAAATTAGTTGGGTGTGGTGGCACATGCCTGTAGTCCCAGCTACTCAGGAGAGTGAAGCAGGAGAATTGCTGGAGCCCGGGAGGCGGAGAGGTTGCAGTGAGCCGAGATTACACCACTGCACTTCAGCCTAGGCAACAGAGCTAGACTCTGTCTCAAAAAAAAAAAAAAAAAAAGCTCATACTCTGTTCTTCGTGGGTTTTTTTTTTTGCATTAATATTATTTTAAAAAATAATGCATTAAAATATTATTTGATCACTCAGTATCTTGGAGCCCCTGGAATTTTGCATCTGAGGCAAACGCTTCACTTGTTTCCTGCTAGTTTTGGCTGGTGTCTGCTGTCCTGGAGAAACTATTAATAGTGTCACCTTTTACTCTCAGGAGTGTCCCAGATTATGTGTTGGATTCCACGGGCACCTCACCACACTAACACAGGCCCGGGCACCTAAGGGTGCGCAGTAAACATTGCCACCCACAGGTGAGATGAGGGCATCCCTTTCTTCTCAGGCATCCAGAACCCCAGGCTATGGGTCTTCTTCCAACCCTCTCCTGTCCCTGGTTCCAGCGCTCCCGCCCTGGAACGTGGGGGTGTTCAGGGGAGAGGTATCCCCAGGCATGGTGCTGCTATTTCAGGGCAGACAATGGCTTCCTTCTCTAGCCCAAATGAAACCTTTCCTCTCCCAAATTCCTCAGCCCTCTCATTAGCGGTTGTGTTTGTGGATAATAGCTATAATGAGGAGGCAATAAAAAAATCCAGAATGTGCCGCCCGGCCTCTCCTTAACCCTTCCACGGGGAGCGCCTGCCGGCTCCGGCTGAGGTCTTAATGACTCCGACGCAAACCCAGGGGCCGGGAGTGGGCATTTGTATTACAGCTGGATTATTTAATCCCCATTAGTTAAAAATGCCGGGCCACAGGCCAGGAGCCCAGGAAAATAAGTGGCGACAGGTGAGAGAAAAATAGCCTCCCAGAGGCCTCGGCGGCCACTTCAAAGGCCATGGCCCAGCCAGGTAATTGAGGCCCTAATGGACGCCATGTCCGGGAAACAGCTTGGCCAGAGATGCCCCTCCGTACAGGAAAGTGGACGGGCAGAGGGGTGGGGAGAGGCAGCGCTAGCCAGGCCAGGCCCAGAATGGCCCCTGTAATTAGGCCAGAATGGAGCAAATACCTTTTTTGTCAGGCGCTGTGTGGCGTTCTCATGACTTCCATTTTGGGAGGTGAGAGGAGTGTCTTGAACTAGACGTGAACAGGGCTCGGGAAAAACTGGTCTCTGCACTGCACCAGCCGCCACCCAGATTGGTACTTCAAGGGACGAAGCAATTGTGTGACTGTGTGTTCATGTATGTGTGTTTTCACATGCATGTTTGTGTGTATATTTATGTGTGCTTGTGTGTATGAGTGTGTTTGCACATTATATGTGCTCGTGTGTATGTGTATATTTGTGTGTATGTGCATCTTTGTGGATATATGTGTGTGTGTGTGTAGGGATGCCTTCCTCTCTGTCTCCCTATTTCTTTCTTCTCACATTTGGAATCTCACTGCAAGAAGTTATGGCAGCATCCTGTATCCACTTGCTTCCTTAGAACAGTCTCCCCATCCTTTAGACTGTCCAGTTGAGTTTCTAGAATTCCAGCTCAGGGCTGAAGGCTGGGGTGGTTATTGAGATGGCAGCTTCAATCAGCAGGGTGCCAGGAAGGAGCTCCTCTGCCCTGCAATAGCGATGGGCCGGTCTGGGCCCCAACTGCCCCTCTTGGCAGAATTCACTTATCAGCTGCCCCAGTGCTCACACTCCCAACAAAGGGGCCCCAAGGATCAAGTTGCCCAGGTCCAGAGAAGCAGTAAAGCAAAATGCAGCCATTCCCATGTGCAGGTCCCTGGAGGACCTCCTTCACTTTTGTGCCTCATATTCACAGGCTACTTTGACCATGACTCGTTACATTATTTTTCATTAAGCCAACTCATTTCCTAACTGAAATTTATTTTAAAAAGAAACGTTTCATTGCTACCAGAAATGGAAAAATCAATATCACTTGACATAAATAGCAGATAGTGATAAAAATGAACACAATGAAAATAGCAGGAGATTTTAAATTCCAGCTAGCTACTCTGGTCAGTTCAAGGTTCCACGTTCGAGGCTGGGCTTTCCTTTTGTTGAAAAGAAGCATTAGCAAATGTTAGGGAAGTGTTAAGAAAGTCTAGCACCAATGGCTTTCTTTCTGATGTCATCCAGAAATGAAAGCGCATAAATGTTCACTGCATGGTGATGGTTGGAGTGAATGTCACTCCCAGGTGCTACCCAAATATTCGCTAAGCCCACAGGTGGCGCCAGTGAGCGGTTAAATGACTGGGCTTTGAAATCCCCGCTGCCCAGCACCCCTGGGAAAGCTGGCTGGTTTCTCAAGCTTGGTTTCCTCCTCTCTAAAATGGAGGTAAAACAGGACGTATGTAGGGAGAGTTGAAGGGAATGGAAGGAAAGTTCTGTGCAAAGATGCCACACACGGTGAGCTCTCCATTGGCTCCAAGTTACTTGTGCAGAAGGAGGGCTTTGAGTGCATTCTAATAGTTGAAGTTTCCCAGGCTTGACCGAGAACTCAGTACCAAGTCGAGCTGAGCTGGGTGGGAGTCATGAGACCTTCCCTTGCCTTGAGCCAGGGAGAGAGATGGATGTTGAAAGCAGATAACAGGACCCTGCAGGCTCTTCCTCTCACACACTCACTGATTGCTAAGGTGAGGGGACGACCCCTTTTATAAGGGAGAGAGTTCCAGGGACTGGTGAGGGGTCTCCCCAAGGTCCCTTAGAGATGGGGGTGAGGCGGCTTCCTGCTCAGACCTAAGGCATAACCACTTACATAAGCCAGGCACTCTTTGGAGCATTTATGCAAACATGAACTCACTTAGTCCCAGTGACACTTAGGGACTGTGATAGATAAATACTAGGAGTTAAGTGCTCTTGGTAGCCCCATTTTACAGGTCAGGCTGAAGAACTTGCCCAAGTTCACACAGCTCATTCATTAAGTGTTGGAGCTGGGATTTGAACCCAGCCAGGCTCTGAGCTCTTAACCACTAGGCCAGAGCTGCCTCTCTTCAGATGTACACACATGTGGCCATGGTGTATGTGGTGTGGGTGTGAGAGTGTTGTGTGTGCGTCGGTGCCTGTGTGAGTCAGATTGGGGTGTCTGCAGCTTGGGTCACCTCCAGGCAGCTGGGACCAAAGGAGTTTATTTTACAAAACCAAACCCTGCTCATTTCAGTCTGTTAACATGAAAGCTGCCTCTAATTCCATCTACAAATACCACATTCTCTGAGCTACGATTGGCAGGGGTGACCAGAATCACCCCATTTTGCGTTCCTTTGAGTCACCAAGTGGAGCAGTGGGAGTGTGGCCATAATTCAGGATTCAGCACTCAGATTTCATGAGACAACATCAGGAATGCCACTGTAACCAGCCTGACTCCTCCATGGCACAGGGAGGGGGCCAAGGGTGCAACCCAAGCTGCACGCTGCTGCCCGGTTCCTGCCCGGGACAGGGGGCCAAGGGTGCAACCCAAGCTGCACGCTGCTACCCGGTTCCTGCCCGGGACAGGGGCCCAAGTTGGCGGCCCTCCTTCGGCCCAGACAAGCATTGGCTCTGTCAGAGCTGAGGCTTAGGGCTGACTGCCCACCCGGGAACTGCCTTGCTGCCCTCCACAAAGACAGGGAGTTTGGTTTATAAATATGCACCCAGCTGGCCTCTCACCTTCTCACTGGGATTGGGCATTTCTGTGGCTATAGGACAGGAACCCAGCTGGCTGAATGCTGCCTTTGATGCGAGCCAGAACTGCCTTCGTGCTGGGGGAAGGCAGGCCGGATGCAGGCTCTGAGGCCACGCGCTTGGGGCCCCACTGGGCACTGTGGCCCTGTAGGCTCCTGAAGGACAAGGGTGGAGGAAGCAGGGCCGGGAGTTTAGCAAAATGTATTGTTCTTTTCACTACCTGCAGCCCTGCCTCCGTCAAAGGCCCATATGGTCTCTGTCCTGGACCATCACACCCTTCCCTCCTCCATTCAATCCTCTGAGCATCCCCAGGGCTGTTGTCCTGAAGCCCACCTCTGATCTTGACCCACTTCTAATCTTGAAGCTCCAGAAGCCCATCAGTGCCCCCACCCCAAATCTTTCCTTGCACACAAGATTAAGTAAAAAATTTCTGATCATGGTTATGAAGAGCTCTCCCAGTGCAACTCCAAACTTTATCTCGTAGGTAACTTAGACACTAAGTTGGCCCTCCTAGATGCCCTTGGCTGGGCAGCTGCACCCACTGCCAGCTGCTGTGAATATTGTCCACTAAGGCTCACAGCTGCTGCTCTCTTCAGACATTGCCTTGTGCTGAAATGCCAGGGAAGTTAACCCCTTCTGCCATAAATCACTGCAGGGGAATCCCTGTCTTCGTTCTGCTTTCAGGATACCTAGCCTAAGACAGGAAAAAAGAGAAAGCAAATCCAGGCAGCGGAAATGGGCACACGAAAAGTTTGCTAATTCTGTTTTTTCAAATGGAACAGAATTTGTCTTTTAATTTAATATAGTAAGCATTTATTAAGCATACTGTCATTCACCAGGATATACATGCCCAAATCACTCATCGTATATTTACAGGCATAACATCATATATAGGCATATACATTTACACACACAATCATACGTCATGCACATTTTCACACACAGGTGTTCATACCATGTATACATTTACCTGTAAAGCTTAGCTCATGATCCCATACCCTATATTCGCCAGGTATCTTACTCCATATTCTATATACACTCACACACAAACATATCTTATATACATTTATGCACACACAGAACAACATGACATGTATGCACATACAATCATACACCATAGACATTTTCACACACATGATCATGCCCCGGATACTTTTATATATTCACAGTTCTACTCCATATATATTTACATATCTATAGCCACACGTCATATTAATTTATATGCACATTTATTCATTTTATCCATAAAGTGTGTATTTACTCTGGTTTCTGGGTAAGGTGGTGGCTTATTTCCTTAAAAAGAAACACACAGTTGATTAATTTTTTTCCCCTTGAATTTCTTCCTTGTCAAATGGGAGGAAAAAGTTGTTGTGTTTGTGTATCAGGCCCATTAGCCTAGATAAACCGTTGGCCTCCCATAATGATTAATGATAGAATAGTGCGGTTGTTGCAAAAATAAGTCATGCGGTGAGGAGAGAACTGAAGATTATATCTAACGCCAGGCGATGGCTTATTAATCTCACTTCTGGAGGAATTCCTGAGTAAATCAGTCTCCTTTATTAATGATATTTCACTCTGCTCTGTGAGACATCTTTTATCCAGCCAGAAGGGCAATTATCTATTTAGGCCAGGAAACAATATTAGTTACTGCCTCTGCTCCAGGGCAAGGAGAGGAGCAAGAGAAGAAGGGAAAGAGAAACACACAGAGGGCTCCTGTCCCCAGACTGATGGGTGCCAGAGTCCCTTAAACCTACAGGCAGTTTCCTTCCCCATGCTAAAGGGGCTCAAGTGGTGTGAGTGTGTGTGTGTGTGTGTGTGCATGCAAGAGAGAAAGAGAGAGAGAGATTTGGGCAACGAGGGCCTGGGGACAGTTGTGCCACTTCCTTGCTTGAAATAGCCAATGCTGGTTCATTTATTTAATGAGCATCTATGAGCATCTACTATGTGCAAGGCCTTTGCCAGGGCACTGAGGGTCTCCCGGAATGAACAATGCATGGTACTTATCCTCTGTCCTGGAGTCCTTTCTGCTTTGCAATTCTGTTTTCATCTAATCCGTCTTCGACTGCAGTTTGGGGGAGAACAGGGGATTAGATAGCAGGCCATCACAGAAAAACAAGGTATTTTCTAGATTTAAACTATCATGTTTCTGTTTATCACATGGCAGCTATTGTATAGATCCAGCAAGAAGACTGGGGGAACTTATTTAGCTGGATCACCGGGAAAAGTAACCAAATCACTTACCCTCTCAAAGGATATTTGCTAAATTTGTCCATCTTCTTGTCTTCATCATTCACTCATTCCACAGGCATTTAGGGGGCACTCACTAAATGGCATCACCTGTATCAGGTTCAGGGAATCTGCGATATGTAAGATCTGATTCTTGCCTGTTAGGAATTTATAGCTAATGGGAGAATTTGGGCATGAAAACAATATAACAACCCCATAAGGTAATAAGGGACAATGAGTTCTATGTGCCCAGCTCAGTGGCAGGCACAAAATATGTGTGTGTGTGTGTGTGTGTGTGCATGCTTGTGCATGTGTGTGTGTGCATCTGTACATGTGTAATGGATGGGAGAAATCAAAGGATGCATGCTGCGGGGCGTTTGCCACGTGTTTACGTGGATTTGACAGCCGTTTTGCCTGACTTCCAATCCTGGCTTAGGTGTTTTATCAGCTCTGGGACCTTGCGAGTATCTCTCCATCTCTCTGAGCTTCAGTTTTCTTATCCATAAAATTGGGCTAATGATTGCAATTTCTTGGGAATTTTTGTGCCAACACTTTATTATCCCAGTGAGTTTTTTTTAAGAAGATCAAGTATGCAGAGATGGTGCACAATCAAGAAATTTCTGTAGATGCCCCGGAAGCCAAATCTCTGTCCTGAAGGCCAATCCAATATAATGACAATTTCAGTTGTTGATTTTTGAGCACTTAGTTACAATCCAGGCGCTATTCTAGGTGCTTTACATAGGTCATCTCTCTGGATGAGTCAAATCCTGGGAATCCGGGGACAGGTTAGGAATTGTTTTGGACTGAGCACCCCATGAGTGACTCAGACAGGAAAGTGCTCTTCACTTTTAGGGGAAGGCCTCGGAGAGAGCCCGAGGGGTTGTCTATGGCTTCAGTACCTCAACGCAAGAGGACACTGCTGACCAGCTGCATTGGAGTCACCTGGAAGCTTGTTAGAAATGCATAATTTCACCCCCTCTACATCTGTGGAATCAGAATCTACATTTTAAGAAGTCCTGCATATTATGTTTGAGAAGCACTATTCCAGTACATTCTCCGTTGCAGCCCAGGACCCCCTTTCTTTCACCCCTCTTGCCTCTGTCCAGCCATGGGCACTTCCTATCTGTGACTTCCACCCCACCACGGGTAGCTCTTCCCATGGGTCCTGCTTGTTTTCAAGTCTACATTGCAGGACCAGGGTAGGTGTGGAAGCCTTGGGGCTAGGGGGCTATCAGGAGGTCAGCAGCACAGCAACTCCCCCCACAGCCTGGAGGGAACGGCACTGGGCCTGGGGTCCATCCAAGGGTAGGCCTTACTCTGTTCGGGATGCAAGGCATGGTGCTACATCCTCGCCTGGCAATGGATGCCTTTAACCTCCTCATTCCCACCCCGGGAAGTAGGCACTGCTTTGTTCTCACTTTACAGATGAGAAGACGAAAGCGCTAAGAAGTTACATTCTTGCCCACGGGGACTCAGCAGCAGAGCCTAATTCAAGCCCAGGTCACACTGTTACAAGCACTAATCATTAGGCAGCATAGCCCCATCTCCCACCCATCTCCCACCCAGCTTCTCTTCCAATGTCCAGGACTAAACTGCAGGAAGCAGCCCCTCCCACCTTTCCTAGCTTTGGCCTTTTTTGGGCAGGAGTTCCATGCAAATGGTCCTTCCTCTGCCAGAGACTGGTGGACTGAGCCTCGTTCAGGGTGCGGGCAGTGCCTGGCATGCGCTGGTGGGCAGCGGCAAAAGCTGAAGCCCAGCCCCCTCCGTCAGCACTTTTGCTGTCCCCCCAGCCCTCCCCATCCCAGTAATTAAGTAAGTCTCTGGAAGAGGAGCCTGTACAGTATGTCATAAAATCTCTCTGAACTACCTATATTTACCCCTGAAAGTGAATTCTTTATAAGACCCAGGATATCAAAGCGGCCGGGGATCAAAGTCGTTTTAATAAGCCAGCCGAGTGTGCCTGCCCAGCCTGGCCTCCTCCCGCTGCCCTCCTTGGAAGGCACTTAGGACGCCCCTTGGGCCGCATTGTCACTCTGATTCCTCACTGCACACGCCTTTAGGGGAACAAAAACGCCCGCCCCTCTCATTCCCAGGGCCCTGCCCACCCTGTCATGCACAGGCTGTGTGTGTTCCGCATTGGTGTGTTTGCAGTGCCTGGAAGTAACATCAATAACAAGGCACGGGTCACGATGTGCTGGGAGGGTCGGAGCCAGGTGTTGCAAACTGGCCCACCATTGCCTCTAGTCCACACAGAGCCAAAAAAGAGTGAATTAGGTGCAGCTTTAAAAATTGGAACAAAGTCAGGAAAAATGGTTCCCTTGGGGTTGGTTCCTGGAAAGGGGTTGAGGAAGGCTTTTGGTGTGCTGGTCACCTCCTGTTGTTGATTTGGGTGTTAGTTACATGAGTGTGTTCGGTTTAAGAAAATTCATCAAGCTGGATAATTAAGATGTGTGTACTTTTCTGTATGTGTGTTATATTTCAGAAAAAATATTTTAAAAGCCTGAACATTTCAAATACAATTCCGCTTGTCCAGATTCTAAGGAGATCTGGTCACCCTGGACTGAATTCCCACATGACCGAAATCAGTGGGAGCTAAGTCATGGCTGCTGCCCAGAGTGGGAGAGGTGGGCTTCTCCCAGTCCCTGCCCAAACCACCTCACACATCTATACCACCTGCCTGCCCTTGGAGGAATTTCAGTTTGAGATCCCTGGTCTAGTTCAACCCTTTCATTGTACTAATGGGGAAACTGAGACCCAAAGGGAGAGAGACAGTAAGTTGATACCAGACCCAATGTTTAGCTGTTGATTTAGACTTGTTGTCACACATCAGGTGTTGGCAAACGATGGCCTGCTGCTTGTTTTGTAAATAAAGTTTTATTGGAATCTGTGATGTCCATTCATGGATGTATTGTCTATGGCTGCTTCTGTGCTATCATGGCTGAGCTGAGTGGTTAAGACTGAGACTGTATGTGGCCAACAAAGCCCAAAATACTGACCTTTTGGACCTTTACAGAAGAAATTGAACTCTGCCTTACATGATAATGCTTCCTATATCATGGACCAGCAGCAAGTAAAATGAAACCCAGTTCCCCATTCAATCAAGACGTCTATTCAATGACTCCTGTCTTCAGTGCCATGCTGAACTTAGGATGGGCCTGCCTCTCTAGATGGGAGCTAAGATATGTATGGTAGGGTGGTCAGGGACCTGGGTTCTCTGCCACTAAGGAGCAGTGTGGCTTTGGGAAGGGGTCTTAACTTCTCTGGACCTCAGTGCAGCCCACGTGCTGCCCCTGTAGTGTTGTTGAGAAAATCCTGAGAGCTGATGGGACTGAAAGTGCTTTGGAGGTTCTAAGGTTAAAGGGGTGGTGATGATTCCAATGGTAATAACACTATTATCTAATAGTTCCATGAACTGGGCTTAGCGTTTCTGACGGACTATCTTATTTCATACTCACAACAAATCTTTGAGGTAGGTTACTATTATTGTGCCCATTTTACAGATAAGGAAACTGATTCATTTAAGACTTCAAGAGGTTCAGTCAGTCCACAAAAATTTATTGAGCGCCTTTTAGATTCCACCCTCTGCCACTATGTTTTTGGCTCTAGGAATAGAACAGTGAACAAAACAGAGACGCATGAAGCCCTTCTAATAAATCAACTTGCCCAAGGTCACACAGTTAGAGAGCGTGGCGCTGATATTTGAACTTAGCTTTGTCTCTGTGAGTAGACTCGACTCTCTTGTTGAAGGGCAACGATCATGTCTGAGAAGGAGCAAGGAGAAATGAAGGCCAGAGACCTGGGACCTTGGCCCTGGGCCACCTCTCCAGGCTACTCCCAGTTCAAACCCGATGACCTGTATCTAGAGCTCACACCTGGATGCTGCCTTCAGGAGGCCCCTGGAGAGCTCCCAGGAGCTGAGCAGCTCTGTTCAGTCATCTTGTTGCTTGGGGACCTGGAAACATGTCAAGTGGACTGCTCTCGAGGCTGAGTCCAGCCACAGGCCGCACAGTTGGGAAGCTGTTTGAGGCCTTCTCAAGGTGAAGAATCATCCCCTACTTGCTTCCCAGTGACCCAAGAGAGCCTGCAGGGAGGCTCTGGGCCTTGGTACTTCTTGGGGACTTGAGCTGTGTGGGGTGTCCACAAATCGAGTGATAGAGAATCTTGACACTGGGGCCTTGAACATGGCTTCTCCACTGTGAAGAGTAGGAAGGATGGAACTTGAGCCCAGGGGCTGGGGATGAGCAGGTCCCACACCCCAAGACCTTGTTCAAAGGCCCCCACTTGGGGAGAAGCTGCCCCCAGTGCTGTTGCCTCTGCGCCGACTCTTGCACCTACCACGAGGCTCCCGGCTCACCCCAGGGCATCACCAGAGGGGGCTCGGAGTCTCCTTCCCTCTGAGACTGTCAGTTCCTGGGACACAGGGATAGGGCTGAAGGCACTTTGGGTCCCCCATGCCAGCACACAGCCTGGCCCAGTGAGGGGCAGATGTGCTGAGTAAACAAAGCTTGTTTTTTTGTTTTTTGTTTTTTTTCTGGGTCTCCAGCCAACTCTTGGCTTTGGGAAAGGAGGAGTGGGGGCTTGTGCAGTGGGGTGGCTGGTGGGAGTAGCTTGTTCATGGCTGGGAACACTTTCTGTCTCAGGCTCCTCTGCCTGCCCTGAGGTTTGTAGGGAGCCCCAGAAACCTCCCCAAAGTCATCCCACCCACTTCCTGGGCCTAGGAAGGGAGAGAGTTGGGTACAGCCCCTTTCACAATACCCTGAGGGGTCAAGCAAAGGGGCTTGGAGAAGCCCAGGGGGACAGCAGTAGCTCCTCCTTGTGGCAAGAAGAGAGGAGAGAAAAGGAAGGACTGAGGGCTCCGGAGGAGGCCCTCACCAAGGAGACCCAGGTGTTAGTGACAGCTGGCCCATGCTGGGTCCTCACCACGTAGCAGGCACTATCTTAGGCACTTTACCTCCACTCAGGTATTTAAACCTCACTGCAAACCTGCAAAGAAAGGGTTAATAATATCTCTTTCTCACGGATGAAGAAACTGAGGATCAGAGATGTTATGTAGCTTGCCCAAGCCACACAGCTACAAATTGGGAGGTCCAGGATCTGGCTTCAGAGCCTGGTAGTCCCCCTCCCCAAACACACACACACACACACACAATCCCAGCCAGTAGCTGATCAGATCTTCACAAAACTCAAGGACCTGATCAAATCAACATTTTTCTTCAGAGCCAAGGCTAAGGAGTTTTGTTGAAGGGCAATGACGGCATGAGAGGAGGAGAGAAGAGGAACGAAGGCCAGAGACCTGGGACGTTGGTCCCTGCCACCTCTCCTGGCTTCTCCCAGCTCAATCCCAATGACCCACATCTAGAGCTTGCACCTGGAGGCCCCTGGAGAGCTCCTAGGAGCTGAGCAGCTCTGTTGGGTCATCTTGTTGGTAGGGCATCTGGAAATAAGGCGAGAAACTGAAGGAGGCGCTCACTCTCAGTGGCTGCCTCTGCACTTGCATAAGCACCCGAGTGAGAGCTGCCTTAAATTTTCTAAGTGACTGTGCTTCCATTGCCCCACCCTCATCCCAGCCCTTTCATAAGTGAGGAAACCAAGGCTTTGACGGAGGATGTGACGTGCTCAGGAGCACAAAAGCCTGACACTGGCATTGCCGGGAAGCAGGGGGGTGCCTAGGTCCCCACCAGCGTCTTGACCACAGTGATTGACAGATGCTTAAACAGGTCTCTCCCAAGCCATCTCTCCTGGGATTCCAGCCTCCACCCCTCCATCTAGGGTATATCCCTCCCTCTCCTGCAGAGCCAGTGCAGGTTCTGGCCCTGTCTCCTTTCAGTCTCCTCTTGCCAGATTCCAGCTGCAGGGACTGTTCTCAGGCTTAAAGTAGGGAGCACAGCTGGTTGAGGTTAGACTCAAAGCATGAAGTCCTCAACCCGAATTTCTCCCTCCACCCGCCTCTCCACCCTTTTTCCCAGTTCCCAGACAAACGCCTGGAGAGGGCACTGGCAATGAGCCAAGGAGACCAAGGAGGCAGGAACTCCAGACAGCACATCCTTTTCTCAGAGCTCAGTGGACCCTCTCAGATTCTTGAAGACCAACGTCATCTAGGGATCAGTATGCCCATTTAACAGATAAGGTCATCGAGGCTTCCACAGAGACAGTGCACCACCCAGGGACACCAGCATGATGGTGTTTCAGCATGAGCTGGGATCCAGCCCGCCTGATCCATCCTTTTTCTTGGGAAACGAGGGAGAGTGGAAAATACTTCCTCATGCCTCCGTGATAAGTGTGTGTGGATCTCATTTGAACCCCTTCTAGATCAAAGTGCGAGTTTTCCCTGGTTAAGCTTTAAAAAATGACTTTTGGGTTTTCAAAAGAAAATGCTCTGCTGACTTATACATCAATAGCTCACTTAAATCTTAGGGAATTGCACTATTAACATTTTTTTCCCTCCTTTTTACTGGTCCTCCTCCAATTCTTACTACTCTGGATCCCAGGGGGCAGAGCCCAGGTACCTCCAGGCCCTCTGCTCTCCATGTTGGAAAGGGGCCGGAGGAATAGTGCAATGCTCTATGGGGGAAGACGCTCTTCCCAGGGGGTTCCCCTGGGATCTTCACCGGGGCTGTGGCATGGGGCCTGTTGTTCTGGGGAAGCCAAAGCTAGTGTCTGCTCAGAAAAGGGAGCATGATGGTCCCACAGGGTAGCTGATGGAACCTCCTGCTGTAGGTTTGCAAGGGCTGGATGAAGATTGGGAAACAGTTCCCTAACAGGGACCATAATGAGACTGCAAGATACAGAGGGAGTCCCACAGCATAAATAGGCCAACACATTTGTTCATTTCTCCTTCTTGAAATTTCCTTTGCAATATCCGCCCCCACCCCTCAAAATGGGAAAAATTGTAAAAAATGATAAATTGGGGTTTTGTGTGTGTGTCTTGTTTTAAACCAATATGATCTCAATTCTTTTGTGGGCTTTGAAAGTCCGTGCGGGAATTCCCCCCTCGCTGTAAATACCCAGCGTCCGGGCCTTATGGCATGTGATCTGTAATAAACTTCAAAAGAACACCTTTGACATTTTAGATAACTTGCAAATGATGATGCAGAGAGATCTTTTGCCACTACAAAGAAAGAACAAAAGAACCGACATGAAAGAGAAATCAATAAACATATGGCAATTAATAAAACATTTTCTATGAATACCCTACAAAGAGTTTTACAACAGTATAAAAACCCAACAGTTGTTTCAATGTGGATTTAAGAAGTCTCAGCTGGCGTATTAAGGCATCCGTGCTGAGCAGCACACGGGAAGGCCCAGAAAAACTGGGGCCAAGTCTGGGCTTGTAAATCCATCAGAGGGAGAGGTATAGATCAGATGGATAGTTGGACTGGAAAGGGGCCGGAGGAATGGAGCAATGTATTCCTGTTTCAGGGACTAAAAATGCAAGGTGGGAACCACTGGTGAACACACCCGTTTGGAAGTTGGGCTGGGTCCCTGCAACCTCATCAGCTAAGCCAAGGTACAGTCACATTCTCAGAGATGGGCTCTGTAGCATGCCCAGAGACTTCCAGCTTCTCCATGTCCAATCTCTGCCAGCTTTCAATTGTGTCCAGCCTGGGGCCACAGTGAGATTCAGTACGTGGAGGTTTTTAATAATCAGTAAGGTGTGGGCACTGCCCGATCAGAAAGGAACCAGCTATACATACCCACAGATTGATTGTGAGCCCTGCTGAATTCTCAGCTGCAGCTTCTATGATGTTTCTTTCTTACCCCGGGTCCCGAGTTCGATTCCTGCCTCTGCCACTTCCAGCTCACTGAGTGGATTCTTTGGATCCCTTTGGCCTCTGTTTCCCCTTCCGTACAATAGGGCCAATGCTGTCTGCCCATTCCCTCTCCAAGGCTTATTCGGTGTTAATAGACATTAGTGTGACCCTCAGAGCTGTGTGCTTTTGGAAGTGGGTGAAGAGAAAAAGGCCCACTTTCAGCCTGGCTGTGTTGGGGCCATGCAATTTATCTGCACCTCCTCCCTACCTCATCCTCCTCCTTAGGTGGTCTTCATGGATTCATCTGTGTTTAGAAAATACCAGAGTCTTCTAGCCCTTTGTGCATTTTGAAGTTTCTGCTTGACATCCCCTGCAAATCAAATGGGGTGAAAGACTCCTTTGAGGCTGGAGCTGGTGGCATCTCCAGCGTATCTCCCTGGAAATTGTAAAGCTTAGGCTGGTGGGTGGGGCTTCTTTGGAAAACTTGGAGGAGAGTTAGAACTAGGCAGCCTGTGGTAGTTTGACACAGAGATAGCGCAACAAACAGACCGGAGGACACGAGGAGGGCAGAGGAAAAATGAGGCAGATGCTCAGAGGCATTCCTCTCTGTGAGTGTGTTCTTGTGCAGGGAATTGTGTGTTTGACTGCATGCATGTGTGTGTGTGTGTGTGTGTGTGTGTGTTGTCTCAAAAGAAGCAGCCTGGTTGAGCAGAAAGGCAGAAAGTATTTGACCACTGGGTTAAAATCTTTTGTGACCTTGGCTGAGATTTTTTTTAACATCTCTGGGATTTTGTCTCCCCGTCTGTAAAATGGATGCTAGATTACAAACATCACAGCTTTTCATAACAATTAATGATCTAAAGGGTCCAAGATAGACTTCACTGTGCTGCCGCTATGAGTGATGGTGATGTCATCAATGATGGCGGGCTGATGGGCTGCCCTTCCTTTGTATGGGAAGGTGGTCTGGCCTGGATCTGCCCTCCCATGTTCCTTTGACTTCTTTGTCCCAGCGCATTAACTTTTGCTCACATATGGCAGTATAGAATCCCCAAGTCAGAGGTTGTAGCACTCCATCTGCCTCCCAATAGCAGCCTCTACCCCTCTCCGCCCACCAGTGCCCCTCACATCTCCCATAACTGGGAATAGCCTTCTAGTTTTGACCTTCATGCTTCTAAATCGGTGTGCTCACTACTTTCCGAGGTAGGCTTCCCTGTTCTGGACAGCTTTAAATGGTAGAAAGCTCTTCCTTATGCTGGGCTGAAATCTTTCTCCTTTGTCTTGGTGGTTCTCAGTCCCAGCTGCACCTTAGAATCAGCTGAGATGAACCAGAAATGCTGAATCAGAACCTCTTGGGAGGGGTCCCGGAATGGGTCTTTTTAAAGCCTCCCGGGTGATTGTTGTATGCAGCCAGATGGAGAGCCATTGCTACAACCACTGGCTCACTGGATAGGATGACCAGGGGTCCTCTTGGAAGTCTCCACTGGGGTAGGGAGGAGTCCCCTCGGGGAAGGGTCCCCAGCAGACTCAGGATCTAGACTGGAATCCATCGCTGCTCCTGAACACAGCTGGGCAAATCTTATGGAAGGGGCACTACTGCAGGGCAATTGCTTTGCACAGTGTGCCCACTGGCCCTCAGCTTTCATGTCACGGGAGACATGTGTTGGAAACACACATCCCCAGGCCGCACCCGAGCCCCAGTAAATCAGAATCAGTGGTGGTAGGGCCGCAGAAAGTGGCATTTTTAATCTGGCTTTTCCCCACAAAGGGATTCTTTGCACATTAAAATCCAAGAAACCATTCTCTGGGTTAAAAGCAATGGCTTTGGGATCAAAGGGATCTTTGAATCTCAGCTTCACCACTTTTCATCACTTTGGGAGAATCACTGAACAATTCTAGGCCTTAGTGTCTTCATCTGTAAAGTGGGGTTAATTGTATCTACCTTACAGGGTTAATCCAAAGATTAGAGGAACTGATGAATATAAAATACACAGCCCTGACATGATTCATAGTAAGTGCTCAATATAAGGGAGAAAATAATAATTGTTATTACTATGAATAATAATGATGGTGGCTGTTGTCAGGCTTTTCTCTTTCCTTGCTTTACTTCAGAGCACCTAGAGTCCCTCGGGGAAGCTCGAGGTGGTGGAAGCTATGCAGAATTTGAGGACAGGAACAAGAAACCAAGGGTTTCCTTTGCTCCTTTTGGATCCGGACAGAGAAACTGACTGCTTTTTGCTGGATTGGGGACTCAGCTGCAGTTCTGGCCCCTAAGCAGCTTTCTCTACAGCCCCCTTGAGGTAGTGACGGTACTGGCCAGAGAAACTCTAGCCTCAGCTTGTGGAGCCCCCTGAGATGGCCTGTCCTTCCCTGAGGGCTTTACCCCTACCCCCATGACTTCTAGCAGGAGGCCTGGCCTCAAGCCAACCAAATAAGGAGGTGGCATTGGGACAGTAGTGACAGTCCCCAGAGCCCATCAGATTCATACCAAACTTCAGACTTGGCCACAGCGTTTTCCATTTTCAGAATTCAGCAGAAGCTCTCCTAACCAAGCTTTTTCTAACTTGTCAGATTAGCCAGTATCATTCATTCTTTCTGCAGGTAGCCTGGTTACTGCTCACTGAAGGCCCAATGCTCACCTGGCCCATCACTTCTGAGTGCACACGCACACCTGTGTTCCATGGTGGAGCTGGCGAATCCATCCCAAGGGGGTTAAGCTTTTATGCCAGTTGTGCTTGTTATTGTGATGACATAAATGCATTAAATATTACATGAACCAATGAAATGGGAGTGCAAGACCAAGGAGGTGAATGCTTTGGAAGTCTCAGTATAGGGAATATTCTAAAGAAAAGGTACCGTCATATTAGAATGGAGCAAAATAACTACAAAAGACCATGAAAATGGTCAATATCTGGGTATATTCAGCATTCACACTGCTTTGCACATGCACGGAAGTTCTCACTCACATGGAAGAGAAGTAGAAATTGTAAGTGAGATGTTATGAGTTTCATTCATGTAAGAATGATTACCAGCTGGGCGCAGTGGCTCACGCCTGTAATCCCAGTACTTTGGGAGGCCGAGGTGGGAGGATCACAAGGTCAGGAGATCGAGACCATCCTGGCCAACATGATGAAACCCCATCTCTACTAAAAATACAAAAAAAAAAAAAAATCAGCTGGGCATGGTGGCGTGTGCCTGTAATCCCAGCTACTCGGGAGGCTGAGGCAGGAGAATCGCTTGAACCAGGGAGTCGGAGGCTGCAGTGAGCAAGATCGTGCCACTGCACTCCAGCCTGGCGACAGAGTGAGACTCCGTCTAAAAAAAAGAAAAAAAAGAAGAATGATTACCTGGAACTCCAGTTGGAGAGGTCATTCTCGAATTGCCCTGGTCCTATGTGAAAAAAAGTCAGTGAATGCTCATTCATTTATCATATTTAAGTTAAAATAAAACGCCTAGAGCAGATAAGTACATATTGTTTCTAGTGAGTTTATACTTTAACTTTCAGTTTTGATTACTTGAATTCCTACCTGGCTGGTCGTTTAAGATGCATCTCCTGTTTCTCTTCAGATCAGCTGGATTTAGTTTGCTAACCTATCTTACAGAGGAGAACATAGAAGCTAAGCAACACAAAATAGCTTGCCCACAGTCTCAGAGCTGGTCCATGTTTAGCTGGATCCTGCTCCTTTGCTCACATGGTATGGGGAAGTCTAAGATGATCCCCAAGATACCTGTCTCCAGTGTACCTGCCCCAGGGAGTAGGGGAAGAGCCTGGGGTTTCACTCCTATACTGAGATTACTAATCAGCTGACTTTGAGTTAACCAAAGGGTGATTATCCTGGTGGGCCTGACCTAATCAAGAATAAAGGTCAGCAAGATATTTCTCCTGCTGGCTTCAGAGAACATGAACACTACCGAGTTCTACAGCTTCAAGAAAGTGTATTCTGCCAGCAATCTGAATGAGCTTAGAACGGTGGCCTGAGAATCAAATGAGGCCTACCCTGGCCAACACCTTGGTAGAGATCTTGTAAAACCAGAGCAGAGGGATCCAGTTGATCCATGCTCAGACACCTGATTCATGAAAACTATGATAATTTGTGTTATTTTAAGATGCTGTCCTTACAAAGTGATCTGTTACAAAGCAATACAAAATGACTACGGCCCCCAAGACCCCAAATACAATGCACTTTACCCCCAGCCTGCCCACCGGATAGAACTTTCTGGCTTTGGAGGACAGCGGTGGGCTGTCCCCATAAGGATAGCCCCATCCAAGGTGACTTCTTACTTCTGGAGTGATGTCTTGCTTTTATTCCAGGCAAATTAATTTCCCATATGAAATTCAGTTTAAGTAAATTATTAGAAAGAAAAGTGCCCTCCTCCTTCCCACTCCAAGGGAAGGGCACTTGCATTAGCTCCTGTTTTTGAATTAAACATCAATAAAATGTCTTGTCATTAGTGTTATTTCGGATAGAGCTTTTGTAAATTTCATACTCTGTAAGATCTTCTTCCGCCTAATAAGTTTACTTTTTCCAAGGTGTTCAGATTCCTTGCACCCCCACCCCCGTCTCTCAAATACAGAAACTCGGCCTCTAATTGCCAGTCCCAGCTCAGCCCCTGGGCCCTGCTTTTAAAAATGAAAGTGCCTGAAAAGGAACCACTTGAAACCATTTATTAGCTGCTTTGGGTGTCTTTTTCCCCCTTTGGGGAGAAGGGAGGTCTCTGCTGTTTCTACCAGACTGAAGAGCTAAGGGCAGAGACAAGCTTTTATTTATTTTGCTACTCCTGGTTTCTAGCATAAGGCCTGACAAGTCAGAGATGAACAGAAAATGTTTGCAGAAGGAAGACAGGGAGGAGGGGAAGAAGGAAAAAAGAAAAATGAAGAAAGGAGGGAAGGAAGTGGGGAGGGAAGGCGGGGAGGAGGGAAGGCAGATAACGGCTCCTCATGGTGACATGCACACAGCACTCACAGCATCTGTACCAGGTGCTCCATCCACATCCCCAGCCCACCCAAAAGTCACTGCAGACCATCCTGGCCGATCTTTGAGCTAAGTGAAGCTTTCTGCTTGAGGGCAATTTCCTGGCTGCGGGAGTGTTCTCAGACCACATTCAGGGCAGCTGCAAGTGCCAAGGAGTTAATGCCAGAGGAGCAGCTCTCCATGAATGAGCGATGGGAATCAGTGGCTACATACACCTGCCCCCAGGTGGGGTGATTCCGAGTTATGTGATACAGTCTCCAGAAGCTCCCCAGAAAGAATGAGCCCCCAGTGCCTTGTGGTAACCCTCTCGGTACTGCCCCTTCATTGGATTTCCACCTTCCCTGTCTCACTCCCCAGCTCACTCACTGGACTTCCTGGCATCACCTACCAAATAAACTCCTTGCACCCATCTTGTCTCAGCCCCCTCTTGGGGGAGGCCAAACAAAAACCACCTTTATTGCCCTACCCATGCCTGTGGCAGACATCACTAATCAATCACATTGCTTGTTCCTTTTAGACTCAGACGAGGCTTCAGAATCCTTCCCTACACAATGACCTGTGCAGTCACGATTAATCATCCCATGGAACAATGGACTCTACTATAAAAATTCCATCCCTAGATCTTTTCTCATGGGGTTAGTGGTAACCACTGTCCAGAAACAGTGCTACAACAGACTCTCAACCTGCTGAGGGAAATATAACACATAGCCACATTTTATGATAAATGACCCTTTATCTAAGGTATTTAGTGTGGAAAAATAAAGTAATAATGACGACACACATAGGCATTGAGGATTTACTCTGCACCAGCCACTGTTCTAGGTACTTCACATGGAATAATATATTTAAATCTTATGATAATCTTTGAAATATATATTTTCATCATCTTTTGATAAATTGGAAAACTGAGGCACAGAGAGGTCAAGTCACTTGTCAAAGGTCACACAGCATGTCAATAGTGGAGCCTGGATTCAAAGTCAAGTTGTCACTAAATACCACCTCCAACAGTTAACCTCCATTCATCAAAGTGATAGAGAATTTCAACGTATCCTAAATTATGAGACAACACTGCCAGTTGAAGCACTGCACAGCCTGGGAGGTCCTGGACTACAGAGTGCACATGCTTTGACTGAGTTGGGGACAGCTCAGAGGGTCCGGACCACACAGTGTACCCTCTAACCACTGGGCCTCTCTGTATCCAGCTGGAGCTATGGTGCCCTCACTCTCCTCCCAGGCCCTGCCGCCCATCCGAAGAGCATCACATCTGGATGGCACATAGAGGCCAGAGGCCTAGGGATTAGGAGCCTTCCCTGGCTGGAAATGAGTCATTTCTATGCATAGCGGCAAAGCCTGGAGGCCTTCCTCCAGAAAGAAGACCGTGTGGTCACTCCCTACTTTATCTGTAAGAGGGCGGGAGAAAATGTGTTTCTGGCCTTCAGACCTCTCCACTGTCTCTCTCCAAAGCTGCTTAAAGGGAGCTCATCACCGCTTGAGACAGAGAAGGGTTGATAATGCCCTCACCAGGGCTTGGCAAGTGGTTGAACTAATTAAATGCATGTCAACTGCAGACCTCTGGCTACCTCTGAGGATAGAGCACTGGGGCCCCGCCCCAGGGTCTGAGCTGCGGGCATCAGGGCCTGGAGTTCTTGCAGACCCAGGGGCTGGCGTCAGAAAGAATGGAAGGCTGGGCTCTCACTGTAGGCCTGCAGCAACGAGGGACTTCCAGAGATAATCCCAGGCCCCAATCTAGTCCCCAAACTAGAATTACAGCTACACTTACTGAGTATTTACCTGTGCCAGGTAGTGTGCTAGGAGCTGTCCACATATCCTCTACCTAAGAGAGGCAGTTTGCACAGCGATTAGCACATGCTTGGGTTCAGATTCCAGCCCCTTAGTCGTTGTGACTTTGAGTCAGTTACTTAACCTCTCCGAGCCTCAGATTTCTTATTCCTAAAATGGGGCTCCTAATAGTTCTCGCTTCAAAGCATTCTTGTTAAAGGAGTTAATGCATATGAAGCAATTGGAATGGTTCACACACGATTGTAGCTATTTTATTGTCACTTTATTTAAATCTTCGAGGTGATTCTGGGAAGAGCTATTATTGTCCCCATTTCACAGAGGCAGAAACTGAGGGATGGAGAAGTTTGATCATTTGCTCCAAATCACACAAAGGTGGCCGGGCTTGAATAATAGTGTTGCCTGAGTCTACGAAGATAGGAAAGTCTTTCTTCCTACAGAGCCTAAGACATCTTGGGATGGAGGGGCTGGGCAGAACTCCCAGCTGGGGGCTGGTCTGAGCTGGCCTCTAGGTCCCTAAAGCCTGGGGTTCACTCTTTTTCTTTCTGGGCCTCTGAGGCCTCATTGGTGCAATGAGCAGGTCGACGGATGGGGTGTTGGACTAGATACTAGCTATGAATTGGTGCTGTTCAAGCACCATTTAGTGGAAGAGGACTGCTTAGCCCCTGGGAGCCTAGGCATGCACTAAATCACCTTGGTGACTTTGTTCAGTGTACCTCAATACCCAGCACCAACACCAGTCCATATGGTATCTTTGTGTGAACTTGATAATGGTTCCCTATCTTCAAGTAGGATTTTAGGATAAATTTCAGCTCCCACTTGCCTCCTTGGCCAGGAGCTTTTTGGCAGTGCACACACTACACAACTGCATATGGCAGCCTGGCAGATGCCTGATATTCTATGCTTAGTCTTCTTGGGGGTTAGCATGGCAGGCCCCTGGAGTATCTATAAGAAAGCAGCCATCCTGGTGGGAAGGTTGACCCAAATAGACTGAACTCTACACCATGTGGGGCTTTATTATAATGAGGTGGGGCCTAGGCAGGGGCTGAGGCAGGACGTGGCAATGTCCTGCCTCAGAGAATACTTCTGCCCTCTGTGGGCCTGTTCTGCATCTGTGCCCCAACTGTGAAGTTGCAACCAGGAGGCCTTCATTCATAGGAAAGTTCTCTATGCCTTTCTCTTGCAAGACCAGGGTGGAGCTGAGCTGGATGTTGAGGGATCCCCTCCTGGATCAGGGTCCCAGCCTCACCAGGCTTGGTCTCTCCCCCACTGTGGGACCCACACACACATCTCTCAAGCCCATTCTAAATCAGAGCTGTTGGAGTCAGAGCATGAGCCGTGAGAGGTAGTGGAGTGGACAGGAAATCTGGCTTTGAAAGCCACCATCCCACTATTCACAGGCTGCTCTTTCAGGGCTTTCTCTTGGCTTTCAATGCAGGTCTGCAGTTCCTTTGACCAACGGCAAAGCATAGAGTCAGGGTAGGAAAATGGCTGGATAAAACTTATGGGACCCAGAACACTTGCCACTTTGAGGGTCTACAGAACTGGCTCTAAGGGGCAGAGGTCAGGAGCTTTCTGTTCCAGTGGGTGGGCAGATGCCTCCCTAAGCCACTGTGGACCCCTCTTCAAGGCCCTTCTGTGAGACTCAAGTCAGGAAGGCCAGTCTGGACTTCTCATTGCTCCCACAATGACCACCTTTTCCCCACCCTGTCATTATCTTCCTAAGACGGATACAATATCAGTTGAGAATGTGTCTCCTCATTTGGGGAGAAGGTGAACGTGTTTTTATTTCTATGAATAAAGCACAGATTTAGGCAGAAATGCAGAGTTGTTTTGTTAGGGTATGAAAGTTCAATTATGTATAAAGGCTGAGGACCATTGCTGAGTAGCCAGGGGTGGACTGTGACAATTAAATATTTGTCTCAACTCCAAACCTGTTCTAGGTCAGCTTTGGGCTGCCAGGGCTGGGATCCTGCAACTCTGCAAATCCTGTTTCTGGCTCCTTGTTAAGATCTGCCAATAGGGTCACTAGAGGGAGACTTTGAGGTTGGAGGAGCAAGAAGGGTCTTGCCCCTTCCTCTTTACTTCCTGTCTGCTGTGGTTCCTGCAAGCATCATCCCCGTGATGCTTCACCTCGGCAGCAGCAGTTCTCTTCTGAGGCAATGGCTGAACCTGGTTTTTAACTTTTCCATTTCTTGTAGAACAAGCCTCATTGTGCTCCCTCAGAGAAATCAATATCGGCCAACAGTGCCCCCTTCCCAGGAGTCTTCATTCTTGACTTATGGGGTGGGATCCCTCCACCAACCCCAGAGTCACCAGCACCAGCCAACTAGTGGCTCCTCCTCAGAGGTCTGGATCCCTGGCCCATGGGGCTCCATCTCTAAGCTTGCAAATTTTAGTAATCCCAACCTCCTCCCTTTATTTATTTCCACACACCTATGCATGCATGCATAACTATCCACATGCATACATGCACACATATACTGTATATGCACAACACAAACCTTTAAAACTTCACAAAGCATGTATGCATACAAACATGCATCATGTACACACACAAATGCACTATGCACACACACACGCATAATCACACAGATTCACATACACTTACATGCATCATGTTTGCATAACCATGCACTTCATATGCCCACCACACACACTGCATATGCACACCCATATACCATGTATATATGCACAAACACACCACATATGCATGCCTGTGTGTGCATAACCCCACATATGCAGGTATGAGCACACACAAACACGTATTCTGCATATACCCTCATACATGTCTGCCTATAAAGATTTAACCACACATAATTGCTTTTGCACCCCATATACACTACATGTAAACATACATGCACTGCGCAGGCATGCCCACACGAATGTGTAACCTCATACATACCCATACATGCACCATGTAAGCATATACAAACGCACCACATATGAAAGCACAGGCATGTGTGGGATTAAGCAAGCATAATCATATTTGCACAATCATACACACATAACCACACTTGTTCACATATACACACATGCCACATGTGCACACAAGCATACCTACCACAGCATATACACACAAATGCACTATGTGTATACATACAAACGGACCCCATACACATGTGAAAGCACACACATGCATGCACCACATATGCCCATGCACACACGAATGCATTGCATACGCACTCACACATGCACACCTCGCCACCCAGAGCATGCATGCCAGCAGGCGTGCACAACACACAGGCCTGCGCTCTCAGGCTCTCGCTGCCAGCCCTGCCGGGCCTGGCTGTAATTGCTCCCAGCCCCGGAGTCTGGCAAAACGCTCTTGTGGGGCGTCGGCTGCGGCCCCAGATTAATCCCATCTTTTCCCGCGCCCCAAGCGCCGAAGCCCCAGAACTGCCGCCGGCCGGGCCCATCCCCAGCCCAGGCTCGTAATCAAAAGGCAGATTTCCGCGCCGGGCACCTGTTTGCAGGGCTGCGCCTCCTTCCGCTGCGGTGTTTTATCTCGGCGCGGCGGTGAATAATTCATGGCCCCGGGTCTGCTTTGCAGTCAAACGCGCTGCGTTCTGTCCGGCGCCGCCGCCGCCGCCCGCCGGCCGCTGTGATTTATTATTTACCAACGCGCGGCCGCGCCGTGTAAGGTGAGCATTGTGGCTGCTCGCAGAACTGTTACAATCTGGCCTCGTTAGTGGCCTTTCTTGCTGCATCTCCAAACAGCGGCCCCGCTTATTGATTTTCCCGCGGAACCTCTGCCAAGAAATCCCACCGCTGCTGCTCTCAAAGCTGTTGCTATAAAGTCAGACTTGGCCCTTCTTCTCGAGAACAAGAACTCGTGTTTGGATGCGCTTTCTTCTTTTATCCATTGTGTCTTCTCCTCTGCCGAGGCGTCTCCCATTAGTGCCTCCCCCTCTGCTCCCTCCTTTCCTGGCGACGACGCTCATCTCAGCAGAGGAGATGAGGGTTTTTTAAGACAGCAGCGGGCCCGTGGGGGGAAGGTGTAGGGGCTTTCATGGTGGCAGCTGCGACAGAACCGGCCTGGGGAAAAAAGTTTTCCTGCCTTGGAAGTTTTCAAACGCGGAGAGGCTGATCTGGGTAGAGGGTGGGCTGGCTTTTCTGGCTACTCTCCCTGCTTCAGGGAAGACGTGGTCTCCCAGGACTCAGAGGAGAAGCCAGAGAAGAAAGGGCGGCTTGGGAGTGCCTACTGTGTGCCCGTCACTTGCTGGGAGGTTCAGGTTTATTTAGTCTTCAAAACAATCCCGGAGAAAAGGCCTGACACTCAGTTTACGAACAAGGAGAGGTCACAGAGCTAGCAAGAGGAGGCTCTGGGATTTGCACCCAAGGGCCTCTGCCCCCAAAATATGCTTTCTCCCAAGCCATTCTGCACCTCCCTGGGTAACATGAGGGGCAAACTGGTGTGGGCTGAGGGTGGATCCAGCATCCCAGGTCCCCAAAATGAGCATCCATTTCTTAAAGCCTAGCAAAGCCGCTCTGTGGTTGGGAGAGCCATCCCAGACATAGCCCCGTTCGCTTGGCTGCCAGGCCTGAAGTCCACCATGACAGCCACCCTTCTGAACCGAGCAGTCAAGGTTCTAAAAGGGCTTATGGTTCCATGCAGGGAAAACCTGGGATGTCCTATTTGGGTGGATCTGTGGGGGGCTCAGAGCAGATCTTCAGTTTCCTTAAAGAAGCATTTTGTATCTGGCAGTCTGACTGAGAATGTTCTCTGGGCAGGGCACCCAGAGTGGAGCAGGAGACCCTGAAGAATGCCCCCCTGGGATCCGGAGCAAATTCCACTTACTGGGCTCCACTCCCTCCTTTGCCAAGACAAAGAAACGATGCTTGCACTTTTCCTTCCTTCCCCTTAACCTGCTTTCTGCAACATGGTGGCAAAGATGAGTTTCTAGAAGTCTCCCTTGAAACTGGGGTTGGGTGGAGATAAGGAATGAACAGTGGCAGGGCTGGCTAGTAGCAAGATGAATTCCTGGGTTGACTTGGGCAGTTCTAAAATCCCTTGCAAAGGTGGAGTGCGGCAGCCATGACCAGGATGGTCCTTCATAGATGTGCGTGCTACCCTCCCGCTTGCAGACTTCTGTCAGATCACTGGGCTTCGCTTCATTTCCCTTACAATCATTTATGGGGCTCCTACCAGCACCCAGGCAATGTTCAAGCTACTTGAGAACTTGGTAATAATCAGAAGAGATATGATCTCTGTCCTCATGGATCTTCCACATTGAGTGGGAAAACAGATAATTTAAAAATCTTAAACTAATGTGTGGGTTATTGGCCACCCCCGCCCCTGCCCCTGCATCTACTGTCTGCCATTCTTCACCTTGCTCTGTGCCCAGGGAGGCTAAATTCCATGCACCACGACTCTCACGCTCACCTGGGCTCTGGCTGCTGGTGGGTTTGGCCAGTTGGAGGCTTTGGCTTGAGATTGGAGACAGGGGAGAGGATGTCCAGCTGCTTCTTCCCCAGCTTGTTCCTGCTTTGATACTGTGGTTCTGGCCCCTGGCAGGAGGGCCCTCTATCCCACCCCGGCTCTCTTTGGGATCTGGCACCACTACTCCCTGCCCTGCCTCTTTTAGGCCTAGGGAGGGTAGCAGCTTCCCATGGTCACCCATCTGTTGTATCTCAACATCCCTTACTAGTCCCCTCATTAAATTCCCTTCAAAATCCCAGCCAAGTGTGCCTTCTGTTTCCTCCCAAGACCTTGTCAGATAACAAATAAATATGTAAGATGAAATACAAATCCA
The DNA here is from genome assembly GCF_000001405.40 of Homo sapiens. Classification (NCBI taxonomy): domain Eukaryota; kingdom Metazoa; phylum Chordata; class Mammalia; order Primates; family Hominidae; genus Homo; species Homo sapiens. The sequence continues at coordinate 55,059,154 of NC_000016.10, forward strand.
GGTAAGGGGATAGATTGATGGGGATGTGGCTTTGGATAGGGTGATCAGGGACAGTTTCTCTGAAGGGAACATTTGAATGAAGACATGAAGAAAATGAGAGGTTAGCCATGGCAGTGTCTAGGAAACAGCAGCCAAAGCAGAACAGCCAGTGCAAGGGCACTGGGGTAGCAGAGCAGCCTGTGCAAGGGCCCTGGGGTAGCACAGCAGCCAGTGCAAGGGCCCTGGGGTAGCACAGCAGCCTGTGCAACGTCCCTGAGATAAGAAATGCTTGGCATGTTTAAGAAACATCAAGAAGCCTAGTGTGGTTGGTGGGGAAGAGAAGGGGCATGCAGATCATCTAATTTAAACAATGCCCTGCAAGCAAGGCGGGAGTTAACTATTCCTCTTTTTTGGATCTAGAAACTGAGGCTTGGGGAAAGACAGGAGGTGGGCTGAGGTCACACAGGGACTGGTCTCATGAATTCACCCATGGGCCCTCTCCCCAGCACGTGTAGTGTTCTGAGGGGTCTTGCAGTTGTCCTGGCCACTGGGCTGGGCCTCTGGGTCCCTCCCCAGCTCAGACACTGAGGACTGTGGTCTGTTCCCCACTTGGCTCTTGGTAGGCTCAAGAGTGGCCCCCCTAAGATCTGCCCATCTTAATCCCAAGACCCTATGAATGTTACCTTACATAGCAGAAGAGACTGCAGATGTGATTAAATTAGGGGCCTTGAAGTGGGAGAGTAACCCAGATGATCCAGGAGGGCCCAATGGTAGAATCACGTTTCCTCATACGAGGGAGGCAGAAGGAGGTACAATTACAGCACAGGAAGAAGGTGACATGGATGTGAGGAAGGAGGCACAAGCCAAGGAATGCAGTTGGCTTCCCAAAGCTGGAAAAAAAAAAAAAAAAGTAAGAAAATACTTCTCTTATTGCCTCCAGAGGGATCTAGCCCCGTGATACCTGGCCTTTTCAACTGATTTTGGCCTTCTGGCCTCCAGAACTGTAAGAGAACGCATCTGTATAAATTTAGGCTGTTAAGTATGTGACACGCTGTTTCAGCAGCAGAGCTTAGACCAGCTCTGGGTGAATTTTCACTTTCCCCAATTATAATCATGACACTGTATTATGACTGGCCATTATCTCCAGTGGCTCCTAGGCTGAACTGTAAGCCCCATGAGGGCTGGAATCTTGAGTGTCTAGCCCAGTGGTTCTCAACAGGGGTAATTTTCTAATCACGCCACTCCTCTGCTCAAAACCCTTCCGTGGCTCCCAAACAACAATGTCAAAGCTGGGGCATCCCCAAGGCCCAGTGTGGCAAGTTTCTGTTCCCTCCTGGCCTCATCTCCTGTCTCCTGCTGCCTGCCTCACCCACTCTGCTCCAGCCACATGGGTCTCCTTGCTGTCCTCAAGCACACCAGGCACATTCCACATTAGGGCTTTTGTACCAGCTGTTCCCTCTGCCTGGATACTCTTCCCCATAATGTCCACTGATCACATGTCGCCATCTCAACAAGCCTTGCCCTGTCCACACCACTTAAACCCCTTCCTGCCCTACTCAGTCCTGCTGCCCTGTGCCTGCTTTGTTTTTTTGTTTTTCCATTTTTCCTTTGTATCATAATGTGCATCACCTTCCAGAAGCTACTTACTGGTTTTTGTTTATTGTCTATTCCTACTCTGCCCTCCCGCCACTGGAATGTGAGCTCCATTGAAGGCAGAGATCTTGTCTGTCTGATTCAGTGCTGTATTCCTGCTACCTAGGCCTTGCACATAGTAGTTGCTCAATACATATTTGTTGACTACATGGTTGAATGAATTTCTCCCTCCTGCACTGTCAGATCCTGTCAGCTGCCCTCTGGAGAGTCTAGCTGGGGGTGAGACTCTGTGACTCTCCCCTCCACCCACCCATGGGCCATCCGTTAACCACTTTTGGCTCTTACTGGTCCCACAGCACAAGCAGGTCTGACAACTGTCCCACGGTACAGAGAGAAAACTGGAGTCTTGGATCATTCCACTGATAAGGGAACATTAGTGCCAAAGATCAAGGCAGGACTGAAGTTCCAGCATAGCCCCTGTCTGGCCAGGATGGGTCAGAAGCCCAAGGAGGGGAGGGCCAGGTCAGGCCAGGAGCCCACTCACTGTGCTCTGGGGCAAGGGATCCTCCCCTAAGTCATGTTGGGCAGCTGGCCCTGGGTAGGCGTGGGTTGCTGTGGGCTCCATACCAGCTCCTGGGGGACAGTCTGGCAATCAAAGTCCCTGCCAAGCATCATTGTTTACCCCCCCATGTACAAATACCCTCTCAGGTGCTGGACCCTGTGCTGAGTGCTGGGTTGGAGTGATAGGCCAGACCAGGGCTTCTAAAGCACAACACTATTAACATTTTGCCCCAAATAATTCCTTGTTGTGGGGGTCTGTGGTGAACTTTGTAGGATGCTCAGCAGCATCCCTTGCCTCTACCCACTAGATGCTAGAAGCATCTCCTTCCAGTTGTGACCACCAAAAATGTCTCCAGTCACTGCCAAGTGTCCCCTGTCCCCTGGGGGAAAAATGTCCCAGTTGAGTGTCTAGTTGGGCTAGACTCTCAAAGTTCCAGCCCTCACGGGTCTTACAGTTCAGTCCAGAAGCCAGTGAACATAATGGCCAATGACAATACAGTGTCACGATTGTAACTGGGGAAAGTGAAAATTCACCCAGGGTTGGTCTAAGCTCTGCTTACACACCTCCAACCTTGCAGAGGACTCTGCAAGTAGGGAGTTCCCCATTGTTGGAGGTGTGTAAGCACCTTTTATCAATCTATCATCATCTTGGTCTGAAATCTTCTCCTTGAGGTTCTCATCCATTATGACCTTGTCTGTCCCCTCTTGGATACAAAGGACCACTTTGGTCTTAGCCGGATTAAGGCAGGAAACGGGGACATTTCTTAGGTCCCCAGTGTCTTCATGGCCACCCCATTCCTGGATGACCTTAAGGCAATCTAGAGGAGACATTTGCCCTCAGCTGCCTCATGCCCATGCCACAGATAATAAGTGGTGGCCTTAGAAGAGAAGGGACTTGCTCAAGGTCACACAGAACATTAGCAACACAGGCAGAACTAGAATCCAGAGTCCTGTTTTGCGTTCTGGCTTCTTACCTTCTCTATCTACTTCAATTCACACGTTTTTCTTATTTCTCAGAATAGGCCAGAGACATGTGAGGTGTGTACAGAAGGCCAGCGGCTGTGTGTCAAAGCCAGAGCCCCTGCCCCACCCCTCTGCTATGTTAGGGAAACAAAAAGGGTCTCAGCCCACATACGGCAATTGCTGCAGTAACCTCCTTCCTCCAGACACTGTTGACTTTCATGTTATTTGAGTATGAAACTTCAGATTAAAAGAACTAACCATTAGACAAGAAAGCAAACCTTTTTAAAAAAGGCAAATAATTAACTCTATGGAAAACTAAAAGATGTAAAAGAAAGTAAACCATTCCCAGTATACCATATGACTCAGCTGTGAGCAATAGTTTCAAAGTCATATGAAAATTTAATGTTATTATAACCAAATCTATTTTGAGAAGATGATGGGGAGGGAAAGGATGTGGAGATGGAAGGGGAAAGGATCATTTGTAAGAAGTCTGAGCCATTAACTTTCTTTTTTTATTTGAGACAAGGTCTCACTCTGTTGTCCAGGCAGGAGTGCAGTGGCACAATCTCGGCTCACTGCAGCCTCCGCCTCCTGGGTTCCAGTGATTCTCCTTCATCGGCCTCCTGAGTAGCTGGGATTACAGGCACACGCCACCACACTTAGCTAATTTTTGTATTTTTTCAGTAGAGACGGGGTTTCTGCCAAGTTGGCCAGGCTGGTCTTGAACTCCTGACCTCAAGTAATCCACCTGCCTCAGTGTCGTGTCCCAAAGTGCTGGGATTACAGGCATGAGCCACTGTGCCTGGCCTAAAGCATTAACTTTCATAGCCCCAGGTCAACACAGATACCTAAAACTGAATAAAGCACAAAAATAAAGACTCCCAGTTCTAATGGGAACCAGATTTATGTTCCACCAGAGACAATAAAACTGGACAAAATAGATGAAGCAATGGTTTAGATGCTGTATATGAGATGACGAAGGACACTGATCACCGAGAGATGGGAATCAAATGTGCTCAGCCCTATGATTGCTCTGCTTAGTGTCTTGAGAGAGTTTCCAGGCTGTGGCACAGGGAGAGGGAACCCAGGCAGAGCCTGGCAAATTGCCCAAGCTGGGGAGATGGCAGGAAGAGTCCAGGGAGACCACGTAGGAACAGTGTCAGAGAGTAGAGAGAGCTGCACTTAGATCTGCAGAAGGTTCCCTTAATTATTCAGCAGGGTCCCAACCAGCAGAGGCATGTGAAGAAACTTCCCGAGGTGGGGAAGGAACCACCCAAAAGGATTAAAGGTAATAGTATCTGGAGCTCACACAGGGTCCAGAATGATTGCTGTTCCCACCAGGCAGAGTGGAAAACGCTGAGAATTCATGGAGCATTGAGTGAAATATTCAGAAGGGTCTTGCCTTTATGTCAGGGAATAATTAGCCCTGGACGAAATGCAGCAGTCGTCCAGCCAGAGAAAAAGAAGTTCATTTCAGAATGATAACAAGGTCAGTTTATCAAGATAATATAGTAATCCTAAACATTTATGCACTTAACAACAGAGCTTCAAAATATATGAAGCAAAAACTGATTGAACTGCAAGGAGAAATAGACAAATCCACAATTATAGTTAGAAATATCAATTCCTCTCTCAATAATTGATAGAAGAAGTGGACAGGATATCAGTAAGGCTATATAAGATCTCTACAGCCATATCAATCAACTTGACATGATGGACATTTATAGAACACTCCACCCAACAACAGCAGAACACACATTTTTCACAAGTGCACACAGAGCATTTACCAAGATAGATCATCTTCTGGCCATCAAACAAGTCCCAGTACATTTAAAAAGAATCAAAGTATGTTTTCTGATCCCATGGAATTGCATTAAAACTCAATAGCAGAAAAATATCTGGAAACCCCCCAAATATTTGAAACCTAAACTAAATAATACACTGCTCAATAAAGCATGTATCAAAGGAAAATTAGAAAAATTTCTTGAAATGAATGTAAATGAAAAGACCAAATATAAAAATGTGTGTGATACAGCTAAAATAGTATACAGGGAAATTTCTAGTATGAAAGAATCAATGGTCTCAAATCGATGCCTCAGCTTCCATCTTCAGAATCTAGAAAAAAAATTAAAAGAACAGATTAAACTCAAAGTTAGCAGAAAAAAACAGAACAATAAAGATCAAAGTGAAAATGAATAAAATACAAAGTAGAAAAACAATAGAGAAAAAGTTGATACTTTGAGATCAATAAAATTAATAAACCTTTAACCAGGCTAATCAGAAAAAAAAGATATAAATTACCAATATCAGAATTGAGAGAAGTGCAATCACTGTATATAATCCTATATTAAAATACTAATAGGGAAATATTATGAACAACTTTAGGCCACCAAATTTAATAATGTTCACGAGATAGACAAATCCCTTGAAAAACACAAACTATCAAAGCTCACTTGAAAGGAAGTGGATATTCTGAATAGCATCATTATTAAGTAAATAGATTCTGTAGTTAAGAAATCCTCTCATAAAGAAAACTTCTGGCCAAAAAATATTCACTGATGAATTCTGCCAAATATTTGATAAAGAAACAATACAGCTTCTTCAAAAACTTTTCCAGAAAATTGAAGAGGAGGGAATTTTCTCCAGCTCTTGTCGGCCAGCATTATGCTGATACTAAAACCAGACCGAGACATTACTTGAAAAGAAAGCTATAGACCATTATTGCTCATGAATATAGAGGCAAAACATCTTAACAAAGCTTTAGCAATTCGAATCCAGCAATGCATAAAAAGAATAGTACACAATGACTAAGTGGGGCTTATCCCAGGAATTCAAGGTTAGTTTAACATTTGAGAATCAGTTAATATAATTCGTTATATTAACCAAGAAGATGAGTATTCAAATGGATACATGCAAAACATTTTAAAAAACTTAAACATTGATTTCTGATTAAAAAAACTTGCAGTATATTATGAGCAAATTTCTTCACAATGGCCTATATGAAAACCTACAGCTAGCATCATACTTTAAAATGACATACTGATTGCTGATCCTTAAGATGAAGAACAAGGGATGTCAATTCTCCCCATTTCTATTTGATATTGTTCTAGAGGGTCTAGCCAGTGTGATAAGGCAAGTAAAGCAACTAAAAAGCATCCAGATTGGAAAGGAAGAAACAAAACAATATTTATTCACAGATGACATGATTGTATAGAAAATTGATGACCTCTATAAAATCACTACCACAATTAATAAATGAGTGTAATAAGGTTGTAGCATTCAAGATCAATATACCAAAATCAATTGTATTTTATACACTATCAATGAGTAATTGAAAATTGAAATAAGATATGCCATGCACCAGAAAATATAAAATACTTAGGAATAAGTCTGACAAAAGATGTGCAAGATCTGTGCCCATCACAAAATATCAATCAAAGGTGTTAAATAACACCTAAATAAATGTAGAAATATATCATAGTCATAAATCAATATTGTTAAAATGTCATTTCTCCCAAATTGATCTATCAATTCATTGCAAACTCTAATCAAAAAGCAGGTTTCTTTGTAGAAATTGACAAGCCGATATTAAAATTCATATAGAAATACAAGGGAGCTGCAATAGGCAAAAACTCTTTTGAAAATGAAGATCAAAGTTGGAAGACTAAATTAGCTTATACTGATGAATGAATACAGTATTCAATATAGTAATCAATACAGTGTGGTATTGATATGGAGACAGACAAATAGATCAATGAAACAGAAGAGAGAGTTGATAAATAGACCCATATATACATGGACAACCAATTTTCAACAAAGATGCAAAGAGAATTCAATGAAGAAAGGACTTTTTTTGGATAAATGATGACAGCATAATTAGATATCCATATGCAAACAAATAACCTTTGATCTTGTTACCTCTCCCCATATATAACAATTAATCATAGACCTCAAAATGGATCATAGACCTAAAACACAACACCTAAAACTAAAATTCTAAGAGAAAATAAAGGCGAAAAAAATTGTATGACCTTGGGCTAGCCATAGTTAGAAACACCAAAAGCATACTTCATAAAAGATAAAATTGATAAATTGAACATCATCAAAATTAAGGACTTCTCTTTAAAAGACAACCTTTTAGAGAATGAAAATACAAGACATAAACTGTGAGAAAATATTTGCAAATAACATATATGATAAAGCATCTGTATATAGAATATATGAAGAACTCTGAAAACTTAAGAAAACAAACAACCCAATTAAAAAATGGGTCAAGGATTTGAACAGACACTTCCGCATAGAAGATATACAGGTTGCAAATAAACACACGAAAACATGCTCAACATCATTAGTCATTAGGTAAATGCAAATTAAGACCACAGCAAGACACCACTATACATTTAAGTAGAAGGGCTAAAAGTAAAAAGATTGACCACACCAAATGTTGGCGGAGGTGTGGAACAGCTTGAACTCTAATACAGCGCTGGTTGGAAAGTAAAATGGTATTACCACTTGGAAAACCATTTGGTAGTTTCTTTAAAAAGTTATACATACATCTGTCATATGATTGAATTGCTCTAATTCTGTGTATTTACCCAAGAAGAACGAAAGCATCTGTCTATACCAAGATTGTACATGAATGTTCAGTGACTTTATTTCTAGTAGCTGAAAACTGGAAAGAGTTTAAATGTCCATTGAGTTAATAGATACACAAATGGTGGTATATCCCTAGAATGGTATATCCCTCAGCAATAAAACCAACTGAGCTTGTTAATGTAATAAAACAAACAAGTCTCTAATTATGCTAAGTGGAAGGAGCCAAAAAAGGAGAGTACATGTTGTGTGATTGTATTTGTATAAAATTTTAGAAAATGCAAACAACTTGACAGTGATGGAAAGAAGGTCATTGGTTTCTTGAGGGATAGATGGGAGTCACAAAAGGAACAGGAGGGAGGGATTATGAAGGAGCTGGCTATGTTCATCATCTTGACTGTAGTGATGTGATTTCATGGGGACATGTATATATTAAAATGTATTAAATTACAGCAGGTCCTCAAATAACGTTTCCATTAAGGTCATTTTATTAGAATGTTGTTGAGAAAAAGACATCAATCCCTGCTGAGGCCCCTGTCTGTGTGGAATCTGCATATTCTCCCCATGTCCATGTGAATTTTCTCTGGGTCCTCAGCTTTCCTCTGACATCCTAAAGCTGGGCATGTGAGGTTCATCGGTGTGTCTACATGGTCCCAGGATGATTGAGTGAGGGGGGTGAGTTCGTCCTGCGATGGGATGGAGTCCTGTCGAGGGTGGGTTCCCACCTGCTGTGGGGATGGGCTCTGACCGGGATGGGCTTTGGCCACCTTCTACTCTGAACTAAAATAATTGGGGTAAAAAATTACCTTATTTGTTTTTATTAATCTTTCTCAAACCTATGTATAGCTCCCATTTATTTCATTGTTTAATATTAGAGGTGTTTGGGGTCTTCATTTAGAAGTCCAATGATGTTTTTATAACCAGAAATATGCCTAGAAACTTCACTCTTGTTAGTATCAACTGGCCTATGGTCAAATTGCCCTCATTACATCGTTTCACCTAAAATCACAGTTTCCAAGAACCTACAGACATTGTTAAGTGATGACCTACTTATATACTTTAACATGTACGGTTTATTTTATATCAATTTTACCTCGATAAAACTGTTTAAACATAGCTGGATATTATATAAAAATGTGGTAAATAGTAGAAGAAAGAGCTTTAAGAGTTGAAAGTGGTTGCTGTTAGGGAGTGGGAATGCCAGGTGAGGACCGGTGAGAAGACTGCTGTTCTCCGTGAAGTCTTGTAAACTAATCTGACTTTTAAAACCACCTGCATGTTTGGGCACAGTAGTGCATGCTGTAATCCCAGCACTTTGGTAAGCCGAGGCAGGCAGATCAAAAGGTCAAGAGATCGAGACCATCCTGGCCAACATGGTGAAACCTCGTCTCTACTAAAAACACAAAAATTAGCTGGGCATGATGGCACGCAACTGTAGTTCCAGCTACTTGGGAGGCTGAGGTGGGAGAATCACTTGAACCCGGAGGTGGAGGTTGCAGTGATCCGAGATAGCGCCACTGCACTCCAGCCTGGTAACAGAGCAAGACTCCATCTAAAAACAAAACAAAATAAAAACAAAAAAAAAGAACCAAAAAAACCCACTTCATTTATTACTTTTTTAAAATTAAAAACATAAAGTCAACCCCCCCTGCCCCCCCCCCCCCACACAGATACCTTCCTTTCTGAAGTAGGCCAGCCCAAACAAGAAGTTAAACTTAAGGTATTTCTCTTCTGGGCTTTTTACAGTTGTGTATGTGTGTGTTTGTCTCTGAATGGAACATTATACATCCAGGTGCTGTCTACCAGTCTCTGGTCAGGAAACCAGGGCTAAGGGTCAGAGATTTGGTGTTGGATGGTGAACAGCAACCTGGAAGGATCTTTCTGGAGCCCTGCAGAGCTCTGCATTACAGGCTGAGCAAGGAAAGCTTAGAGAGGGCAAAGCATAAATGATGGGGTCCCAGGCAGCAGCAGAGCAAGAGCAGAGATTGCAGGATCACAGGAAGCCAGTGGAGTGAAGACAGAGGGATGCCAGGAAGCGTGTTGTGTGGCTGGGCCTGTGCACTCTGGCCCTGGCCCACGGGAGCTCCTTCTGTCTTTTCTAGAGGTGCTTGTGTCTGTCTGCAGGTCAATGCTGGGGCCCCAGGAGCTTAGCAGAAAGGCAGTAGGTCACAAGGATTACACACATTGGCTTAGGGTCCCAAGCTGCCTGGCCTTAAATCCCAGCTTTGTTCCTCCCAGGTCCTGGGATGGACTCTCTGTGGTTTAGTCTCTCCCTCCACAAAATGGGGCTACTAACAGTACAGGGTTCACAGGGGTGCTTCTGAGAATATGATGAACTAATATACATGGAGCCCCCTGAATAATTGCCTGGTCAGAGCTAGGACCCAAGAAACATCTACTGTCATTGAACGATTTCTGAGATGTACATGGGAACAGCAGGCCTGAGTTCAAATCCCAGCTCAGCCTCTTTGTATCTGGCAAGCTTGGGCAAGTTGCTGTCTCTCCTTGAGCTGCCCTATAGGATGGCTGGAGGAGTTCAACAGGCTAAAGTGCTTTGAATAGGGCCTGGCACAGAGGAAACCCCCCACAATGAGAACTACAGTGATTTTCTCATCATCGGCCTCTTGGCTGGGATTAGACCCCTCATCTCCTCCCTGTCCTGATTTCTCTAGATATAACTTTAAAATCGAACTATAACTTTAACTAGAGCTAAATTCACCCCAAGTCTACTGCCTATTTGTACATACCCACTCTTATTTCAGTGCTGAAATTTATGAAGATCTCTGAATTCAGGTCTCAAGAAGCAAAGCATGGTAGAAAGACCTTGGACTTAAGATTGAAAGAGACTGTGTGACTTTTGGCAAGTTACTGAAATTCTCTGAGCCTCAATTTCTTCATCGTACAGTATGCATGATGATGCCACTGAAATTACCAGGTTGTTTTGGTACTTAAGTGTGATAATGTGTTAGAAATATTCAGCAAACAGTAGGTACTCAATAAACACTGGTTTCTCCCCTGCCATCTCCTATTCTCCACCCCTCCTGAAGGGCAGGGACCAAATCTGATTCTATAGCACAGAGCCTGGTCTGTAATAGGTGCCCAGGAAATGTTTTCCAGGTGAGTTTTTCACCGAGCAAACATAGTGATGCCTAGGAGAGAGGCCACCCAGATTTCTCCCCCTAGCAGGCCTGCCCGCCTGGCTGACATATCTATTATAGATGCCTCACATCCCAATAAATATTTCAATGCAAATAAATAAAGGATGCCATGAGCCTCTCAGTGAGTGACTCTTCACAGCTCACTACACACAACATCTATCCCTGATTCCTGCACAAAGTCTGGTGTCCCCTGGGATGCCTCACTGGCTCTAGCGGGACACAATGTATGCCAATGTGGGGCTCGAAAAAAACCACTCAGCTGACTCCTTGAAAACAGGAGAAACTTCTCACTTTGGGGTGGCCTTGGGGACATTGGGAAGCTCGAGCTTATGTTTCATGGGGCCTATACTCAAGTGACAGCCACCCACCTCATCATACCAATGACCCCCAAGGAATGACAGAGATACGTTCTCCACAATTCAGTGGCATCTGAAGGTATCTTCAAAGGAATTGATTAGAAGGTGAATCCAGGGGTCATCTTCTAGACTAATCTAACTCCATCTCATCATTCCCCTCCAAAGTAGAAAGGTGTGAGATTGGTGGCCATTTGACTCATTCATTCAGTCATTAATTCATTCACATATTCACATATTCAACAAAGGGTTGCTTCCATGTGCCTTCGATGTGCCAGGAGCTTGGAACATAATGGTCATAAGGCAGGCAAGTCCCCCTTTGTGTTAGGTAGAATTCTAAGACAGCCCCTGTATTAGTCCCTTTTCACGCTGCTGATAAAGACATACCCAACACTGGGAAGAAAAAGAAGTTTAATGGACTCACAGTTCCACAGGGCTGGGGAGACCTCACGATCATGGCAGAAGGCAAGGAGGAGCAAGTCACAAGGATGGCAGCAGGCAAACAGAGAGAGCTTGTGCAGAGGAACTCCTCTTCATAAAACCTCATGAGACTTACTATCATGAGAACAGCATGAGAAAGACCTGTTCCCCTGATTCAATTACCTCTCACTGGGTCCCTCCCAAGTGGGAACTGTTTAGCTACAATTCAAGGTGAGATTTGGGTGGGGAAACAGCTAAACCATATCATTGCATCCCAGCCCCTTCCAAATATTATGTCCTCATATTTCAAAACCAATCATGCCTTCCCAACAGTCCCCTGAAATCTTAACTCATTTCAGCATTAACTTGAAAGTCCACAGTCCAAAGTCTCATCTGAGACAAGGAAAGTACCTTCCACCTATGAGCCTGTAAAATCAAAAGCAAGTTAGTTACTTCCTAGATACAATGGGGCACAAGCATTGGGTAAATACAGCCATTCCAAATGGGAGAAATTAGCCAAAACAAAGGGCTGCAGGCCCCATGCAAATCCAAAATCCAGTAGGGCAGTCAAATCTTAAAGCTCCAGAATTATCTCCTTTGCTCCATGTCTCACACCCAGGTCATGCTGATGCAAAAGGTGGGCTCCCATGGCCTTGGGAAGCTCTGCCCCTGTGGCTTTGCAGGTTACAGCCCCCATTCTGGCTGCTTTCATGGGTTGGCATTGAGTGTCTGTAGTTTTTCCAGGTGCACGGTGCAAGCTGTCAGTGGATCTACCATTCTTGGGTCTGGAGGACAGTGGCCCTCTTCTCACAGCTCCACTAGGCAATGCCCCAGTCAGGACTCTGTGTAGGGGCTCTGACCCCACATTTCCCTTTTGCACTGCCTTGGCAGAGGTTCTCCATGAAGGCCCCACCCCTACAGCAAACTTCTGCCTGGACAACCAGGCATTTCCATACATCCTCTGAAATCTAGGCAAAGGTTCCCAAACCTCAATTCTTGACTTCCGTGTAGCTGCAGGCTCAATGCCTCATGGAAACTGCCAAGGCTTGGGACTTGCACCCCCTGAAGCCACGGCTCATGCTGTACGTTGGCCCCTTTCAGTCATGGCTGGAGCATCTGTGACTCAGGGCACCAAGTTCCTAGGCTGCACACAGTACAAGGACACTGGGCCTGGCCCGCAAAACCATATTTTCCTCCTAGGCCTCCGGGCCTGTGATGGGAGGAGCTGCCATGAAGACCTGTGACGTGCCCTGGAGACATTTTCCCCAGTGTCTTGGGGATCAACATTCGGCTCCCCATTACTTATGCAAATTTCTGCAGCCAGCTTGAATTTGTCCCCAGGAAATGGGATTTTCTTTGCATTGTCAGGTTGCAAATTTTCTGAACTTTTATGCTTTACTTCCCACATAAAACTGAATGCCTTTAACAGCACTCAAGTCACCTCTTGAATGCTTTGCTGCTTAGAAATTTCTTCTGCTAGATACCCTAAATCATCTCTCTCCAGTTCAAATTTCCACAAATCTCTAGGGCAGGGACAAAATGCCACCAGTCTTTTTTCTAAAACATAACAAGAGTCACCTTTGCTCCGGTTCCCAGCAAGTTCCTTATCTCCATCTGAGATGACCTCAGTCTGGATTTTATTGTCCATATCACGATTGACATTTTGGACAAAGACATTTAACAAGTCTCTGGGAAGTTCCAAATGTTCCCATATTTTCCCATATTCTTCTGGCCCTCCAAACTGTTCTAACACCTGCCTGTTACCCAGTTCCAAAGTCGCTTCCACATTTTCAGGTATTTTTTCAGCAGTGCCCTATACTACTGGTACCAATTCACTGTATTAGCTTGTTTTCATGCTGCTGATGAAGACATACCTGAGACTGGGCAAAAGAAAAGAGGTTTAATGGACTCACAGTTCCACATGGCTGGGGAGGCCTCACAATCATGGCAGAAGGCAAGGAAGAGCAAGTCACATGGATGGCGGCAGGCAAAGAGAAAGAGCTTATGCAGGGGAACTCCTCTTTATAAAACCATCAGATCTCACGAGACTTACTCACTATTATGAGAAAAGCATGGGAAAGACCCACCATCATGATTCAATTACTTCCCACTGGGTCCCTTTCATGATATGTGGGAATTGTGGGAGCTACAATTCAAGATGAGATTTGGGTGGGGACACAGCCAAACCATATCAGCCCCCAAAGTTTCCACCCCTAAGAGTACAAGTCCTGTATAATCCTCTCCTCTTAAGTACAGGTGGGACTATGATGGGATTTCTGTCTATAAACAGAGACGAAGAGGTTTTTTGGATGTAACTAAGTCTCAAAGCAGTTGATTTTGAGTTAATCAAAGGGAGATTATCCTGAGTGGGCCTGGCCTAATCAGGTAACATGTATTTAAAAGAGAGTCTGGGCCCTTCTTAAAGAAAGAGAATTTCTCCTGCTGGCTTTGAAGAAGTCACCTGCCACATGTGAGAGTCTGCAAAAGGCCACATGGAAAGGACCACAGGTAGCCTCTCAAAACAGACTGAGAGCATTGCCCCCACTGCTGATAGCCAGCAAGAAAGCAAGAACTTCAGGCCCACAGCTACAGGAAACTGAATTCCGCCAACAACCTAAGCACTGTGGAGCCCAACTGATGCCTTGACTGCAGCCTCATGAGACCCTGAGCCCAGGACCCTGTTTGGCCATGTCCAGCCTCCTGACCCAGGGACACAGAGAGGTAATAAGTGTGTATTGTTTCAAGACATCAGGTTTGTGGTCATTTTTAAAGTAGCAGTAGAAAATGAACATACCACTTTTAGGGGTCTCCGAGTTGATGGGGGACACAGACAGCTCCAGCCTGGTGAGACCGGGACAGCCACTGGAGTAAATCCAGGAGGCTGTGGCACTTCTAAGTGAGACCTGGGGCAGGAGCAGGATTCAGTGGGGGGGGGGGGGTGTAGGAAGGCTCCAGGGGAAGGAGGAGAGAGAGGAAGAGGAGGAGGAGAAAGAGAAGGAGGAGGAAGCATATCCCAGGAGGATGCAGAAGCATATCCCAGGAGGATGCAGAACCATGTCCAACCAGGTGCTCACTCCTGTAATCCCAGTGCTTTGGGAGGCCCAGATGAGGGGATTACTTGAGGTCAGAAATTTCAGACCAGCCTGGGCAACATAGCAAGACCCTGTGGTTATAAAAGATAAGAAAGTTAGTCGGGCACGGTGGTATGCACCTGCAGTCCTGCTACTGAGGAGGCTGAGGCAGGAGGCTCACTTGAACCCAGCTTGAGGCTGCCGTGAGCTACGATCACATCACTGCACTGCAGCCTGGGTGATTGAGCAAGACCCTATCTCTAAAAAACAAAACAAAACAAAACAAAATGGAAAACAAAAGCATGTCCAAAGTCCAAGAGTTAAGCAGTTCAGGCCCATGGGCAGCTAGACCAGCAATGGGGTGAGGAGGAGAGGCTGCAGAAGCCAGATCCTGAGGGTCTCTGGAGGCTGCTGAGCCTTGGGACTTCTTCCCGGGGGCCGTGGGGGTGGAGACGTGTTCAGAAGGAGCCCTAGGAAGATTGTTTGCTCTCAGGATGGAGGGCAGATTGAAGGGGGAAATACTAGAGGCTGTGAGACCAGGAGGGAGCTGCTGTAGGGCCCGAGAGAGGTGAGAGGACAAGGGCCAGGAGGGTGGCGGTGGGAAGGTGAGATGTGGATGCTTGTGGAAAGTATTAAGCTGGGAGAATGCATAGCACTGCATAATGGTGCGGGCAGTGGTAAGGAAGTGTGTTAGTCTGTTCTCACATTGCTATAAAGAAATACACGAGCCTGGGTGCAGTGGCTCACGCCTGTAATCCCAACACTTTGGGAGGCCAAGGTGGGCGAATCACTTGAGGTCAGGAGTTCGAGACCAGCCTGACCATTATGGTGAAACCCTGTCTCTACTAAAAATACAAAATTAGCCAGGCATGGCGGCGCAATCCCAGGATTACCGTAGCTGTAATCCCAGCTACTGGGGAGGTTAAGACAGGAGAATCACTTGAACCCAGGAGGCAGTGGTTACGTTGAGCCAAGATAGCACCATTGCACTCCAGCCTGGGCAACAAGAGTGAAACTCCATCTCAAAAAAAAAAAAAAAAAAAAAAGAGGCTGGGTAATTTATAAAGAAAAGAGGTTTAATTGGCTCGTGATTCCACAGGCCAAACAGGAAGCATAATGCTGGCCATGTGCTCGGCTTCTGGGGAGACCTCAGGAAACTTAGAATCATGGCAGAAGGTAAAAGGGGAGTAGCACTCCCCATGGCCGGTGAAGGAGCAAGGGGTTGGGGGGCAGGTGCCACACACTTTTGAATGACCAGATCTCATGAAACTCTATCATGAGAACAGCACCAAAGTAGGAAATCTGCCTTCCTGATCAAATTACCTACCACCAGACCCCACCTCCAACATGAGGGATTACAATTTGACGTGTGATCTGGGCAAGGACACAGATCCAAACCATATCAGGAAGCAAAGAGCAGGGCAGCAAGGTGAGGTTCAGTTTCCATTTGGGCATTGGGGCAGAGGATGGTGCTACTTGCTGAGATGGAAAGGCTGATGAAGGGACAGGGTTAGAGGGCAGGAGGAGGCAATGTTAGCAACAATAGGAAATATCCATATAACAACGACTGTGAGCGGCCAGGCGAGGTGGTACGCCTGTAATCCCGGCACTTTGGGAAGCTGAGGAGGGCGGATCACCTGAGGTCAGGAGTTTGAGACCAGCCTGGCCAACATGGGGAAACCCCATCTCTACTAAAAATACAAAAATTAGCCTGGCATGGTGGCAGGCACCTGTAATCCCAGCTACTCCAGAGGCTGAGGCAGAAGAATCGCTTGAACCCAGGAGGTGGAGGTTGCAGTGAGCTGAGATCACATCACTACGCTTCAGCCTGGGTGACAGAGCAAGACTCCATCTCAAAACAAACAAACAAAAACAATGACTGTGAGGCAGGACTGTTCCAAGGTGCTTTAGCTGTATGAACACTTTAAATCCTCCCTGCAACCCAGTGAGATAGGGAGAGTACTATCATTGCTCCCATTTTATAGATAGGGAAGATAAGTAGTTAAGACCACACAGATGGCAAGAATAAGGGCCAGGATTTGAACACGGGTGATCTGGCATCAGAGTGTGGGCTCTGAAGTACCTTGCCATGTGAGATTCTGAGTTTGAACTGTTTGTAGGACGCCTGAGTTGTACTATCAAGTAGACAACAGAACAGACAGTCTGTCAACACTGACAGTGAGTCCATATCTCAGCTGATATCTGAAGGCTTGGGCATGACAAGGGGTCCATGGAAGTTTATGAGGGTGTCCAGGAAGAGAGGATTAAATAAGAGGAGGAGAAGGGAGGGAAAGACAAGGGAGGGGAGAGGGCTAACCCCCACTGACTTTGATACTTAAGGCGTGGGCTGAGAAAGAGGTGGCTTGGAGGATGTGGAGAGGGATGAATCAGAGAAGTCAGAAAACCACCCAGTGAGGAGTCTGGGAAGGGCATGCCTCAGGGAGGACCTAGTGATTAACATGTCATATACTGTCAAGGGTACATATCAACAAAGACTGACAAACTCATTAGATTTAGGAACAAAGAGATCACTGCTGAGTGACTGAGGAGATCAGCAGCTGTGAGGACTGAAGCCAGAACCCATGGCTTCCACAGTTGCCTGGTGGCAGATGAAATGCTTGCACCTGGGAGTCAGGAGCCCTGTGTTCAAGCCCAGTCTCTGCTCTTGACTTGCTGTGGTTCCTTGGGCAAATCACTGTCCCTCTCTTGCTGGGTCTCACTTTCCTCATCTATAAAATGGGAACGTGATGTCCACTGAACTACTCACAGGGCCGTTGTGAAGGTCAGAGGCGATCAGATGTAGGTAAGGATGAAAGAGTCAAGCTCAAATGTAAGAGTTGGGGCCTCTGGGTCAGATATCTGGGTTTATATCCCAACTCAACTGCTTGCTGTGTGATCTTGGACAGGTCGTTTCACTTTTCCAAGCCTCAGTTTTCTTATCAATACAATGGGGATAAGAAGTGTTCCACTTCATGGAGTGTTGTGAATATCAAGTGAGATAATGACTACAAAGCACTTCAATAGCCTGGTATCTTGGTGAGTGTTCAATTGTGTCAGCTCATGGTCATTAGGGCTATCTAGCTATACAGAAATGCCTATAGTGAGAGGTCCAGAGTCACCTGGGGCCCCTTCC
This sequence comes from Homo sapiens, assembly GCF_000001405.40. Lineage (NCBI taxonomy): Eukaryota > Metazoa > Chordata > Mammalia > Primates > Hominidae > Homo > Homo sapiens. The sequence goes on from NC_000016.10 coordinate 55,076,978, forward strand.
TCATGTTGGCTTATAGCCCCCAGCTGCTCTGTTCCTGGACAAGAATGATTCATTGGTTGGTGTGGATCTGCCTGGCTCAGTCTTCCTGGCACCCAGTTCCTACCAGCCAGGTGACTGCTGCAGGCAGGGAATGCCCCAGGTCTCGGTTTCCCATCTGTACAATGAGCACGTTGCAGGTGGTACTCGTTACCATCTTGTGAGCCCCAAAGAAGCAGATGGGCTTGTAGAGCTCAGAGGCCTCCCCTAGGCCTGTTCTGGGTAGCCAGGAAGAAGAACACATTTCCTTTCACACCATGAGTGAAGCGAGGCTCTGAAAAGCAAGTCTCCCAGCAAGTTCGAGGGCAGCATTGGTGGGGAGCCCAGCTGCCAAGCGAGTGAGGGCAAGATTTCTATGCAGATCCTCTCTAGAGCTTGCATATCCACCCACTCACATAACTGAGAACTGCTGTGAGCCAGATGCTGGGTCAGGCCCTGGAAGTGAGTCCTTTCTCACCCCCAACCCCCATTCGTGCAATATAACTGGCCCTTCCAGCCTTGTGGTTGCATCAGAATCAGGTCTGATTGAAAGTCCTGGAACAATATGCAGAAATGGAAGAACAACCCTATCTTATCTGTCCCCAAAGGCCAGGCCAACCAAAATGGGACAAGGAGGATGAAGGAGCCTCAAACAGAGGAGTGGTGTCTCAGGATAGGTGGTGATGTGGGACATCAGGGGACTCTCAGGGAGCAGGGAAAAGTCCATGCCCTTCCCTGACTCCCTGGTTTGCAGAGGAGACCAAGTCAGACATAGACAGGCAGCCTCAAGGGAGCCCAGCTAAGAGTCCCAGAAAAGGGCCGGATGCGGTGGCTCATGCCTGTAATCCCGGCACGTGGGGAGGCTAAGGTGGGTGGATCACCTGAGGTCAGGAGTTTGAGACCAGCCTGGCCAACATGGAGAAACCCCATCTCTACTAAAAATACAAAAATTTCCCAGCCATGGTGGTGCACACCTGTAATCCCAGCTACCCAGGAGGCTGAGGCAGGAGAATCACTTGAAACCCGGGTGGCTGAGGTTGTGATGAGCTGAGATCACGCCATCACACTCCAGCCTGGGCAACAAAAGTGAAACTCTGTCTCAAAAAAAAAAAAAAAAAAAGAGTCCCAGGAAAGGGAAAGGGAACAGACAAGGAGGGAGAACTCCATAAGGCGGCATCCAGGAATGACTCCTGGAGGAGAAGGCATCTCAGCAGGACCTTAAGCAATGGAGAGGCTTTCATCATGCAGAAGAGAGCCAGCCTTCCTGGCCAGGAGTTCAGCATAGACAAAGGCCTGGAGGCAGGACCCTGAGTGTGTTAATCTCCTCCGCGAGGCCAGTGCATGTCTCAGACACAGATGCCACATTCTTCTCCATGTGCTGTGCTGGGCCCATCAGATGAATGCTTGAGGGATAGACACTGCAAGGAGTCAAGAAAGGCCATGGCTTCTCTGCCTGGGTTGCTGGAGGTTGGTCAATGCTGTTCCACTTCCGGAAACAATTCCAGAGACGTGTGAGGGAGAGGAGTCCCCACATCTGCCTTCTAGGGGTCCTGCTAGGGACCTTCTAGGGAACCTTCTAGGGTTCCAGCCATGGCAAGCTGGAAACGGGGCTGGGGAAGCCTAGGAAGGGAACTGTTGAGAGATGGCATGGGGTAGGTTGGGTCTCAGCAGAGGATGTTGGGGTCATCCCAAGGAGGCTCACCCAGGCTCAGGGCCTGGGCAGAAGGAAGGAGGGAAGGCAGGTGGATGCTTCAGGGCTCTTCCATTGTAAGGGAGAGAAAGCTGAGGCTCGGGGCTGTGGACAGAGTTTCAGAAGGGTGACTGGCTCCATCGCTCAACCTGGCTTTCCTCTGTGCCAGCCTCACTCTCAGCAGCCTTGCGCTGTGGCTCTCCCAGGGACCCTAGCACTCTGGTTCTTCTGTCCCCCTCATCCGCCAAGGGGGCTGTATGCTGGGAGTCTGCAGGCTGACTCCCTGAGAGTGTCAGAAGCCCAGTGGATAAGGAGAGCATTTGCCGCTTCAGTGCCCATTAGGTGTCGTGTGGCCTGGCTTGAGACATGTGTCAATTCAGCAAGAACTACATGGAGATGGGATATGGCAGAGCATGTCTTCAAAAGAAAATGAGGGTGAAGTTCCCAAAAGAAGAGGGAGTGGTTGGAGGGCCCCACCAAGAGCAGCTGTTCATACAGTAGGCCACTGCTAAATCCTTCCATCATCCAAGAGAGGCTTGCCAAACATGACATCAGCAGGATAACCAGCAGAATTTTGTGTCTCGAGGGACCCCACCATTTGGTGGTCGTGTGTTCTTAAAGCTATCCTTTCTCTTGACAACCAGAGACCTTTCCATGATTCTTTCAGCAGGCTTACAAGCTAATCATATGAAGGCATCAGTGACTCCCAGAAGTAAGAACTCTGCTTTCAGCTGGGGCTTCCTGGAAAAGGCAAGGCCTCATTGCAAAGGATAGAATTTAAGGCAGTGCAGCAGAGTGTGTGGGACCTCCAGGAACTCCAACACATAAGGGCAAAAGACAGCCAAGGGGAGAGAGACTCCCTTCCCCAGCTTATGTCCCCATTGGAGGACGGTGGCTCTTCCAGGAACTCCAGGACTCTGGTTCTTCAGTCCCTCCTTATTGGACGGGTCCATCCATCCACCTCTCACCCAATTAGTTCAGCTCTCTCTGCTCCAGAGCTGCAGTATAGGTATGTGTTCATAAAACAAAGGCAGGTCTGTGTGTCCGGGCCAGAGAAGATGTGTCTGTCAGAAGGGTCAGAAGAGTGGACACTGGAAACAGACAGGATAGGGAGATCAGTGAAAAAAGTCATCCAACCTTCGCACATGCCCCTAGCCATTGTCTACTGATGTTCTCCTCTGTCATCTACTCATCTTCCCATACATCCACCAAGCACCTGCCTACTCACCTCCTAGCCATGTAACCATTTTATCCACCTGTATTAATCCATCCATCCATCCATCCATCCATCCATCCATCCATCCATCCATCCACTCATATAACTGAGAACTGCTATGAGCCAGATGCTGGGTCAGACACTGGAGATAAGTCATATCTCATCTCCAACCCCCATCCATGCTGCCTTCCCAATACAACTGAGAAGCCAGCTATAGGCACCACTCACTGCGTCAGTCTGTGACCAATGGTGGGAGCCCCAAGGAACATCTAATTATCACAATTACATTGTAACTGAGTGTTGGCTGATGTGTAAGATTTGCCAGGGAAGAGGAGGAAGGACCTTCCTGGTGGAGGAAATGGCATGGGTAAATGCTGGGAGGTCTGAATGAGAATGGTAGTTTGTTTGTTGAATAAGTGGAGAAAAGAGGTAGAAAATGACTGTGCATAGATAAGCAGGTCCTGAACCCCAGGCCCTTGGGATGACCTCTGAGTACTTGAGTCAAAGTCAAGTAAAGACTCCTGTGTTTTACGACTCTGCAGGGATGAGGGTTGAGGGGTGGGGGCGGAAGAAGGGCCGGAGGGCAAGACAATGTAGGCAGAAAGCTTGGTTTCTGCAAAGAAGGACCCATCCCCTCCATGGTCTTCCACTAGGGAAGAAACTTCTACTTTTTCATCTACAGAGAGGGCGCTAAGATTCCTCTTGGGTTTGGATGGGGTTGGGCAGACTTGGTGGCCAAAGTGAGACTCTGAACTGGACTCCAGCTGCCCAGGTTTCTGGGTGCAGGGGCCAATGATAGGGCTGCACGGACACTGACCACTTGTGTGATGTGCAGGATAGGGGGCTGGGGAGTTCAGAGGACAGATCCCGAGATTTAAAACCACCTGATGGAGCCATGAGTCCTGGAAGTTAGGGGGCCATCAGCATAGTAGAGAGCCCTGCAGAAGTGACAGTGACCTCGCATATCAGGGCAGCAGCTTGATAGAAAATGACCAAGATGAGAACTGGAGGGCAGAGTACTGGGATCCTAGTTCACACTTCTTCTGCCAGCTGGGAGGCCTCTCTGAACACTGGAGTAGGTACTTCTCAGGTGCATGGGGTGGCAGGGGTGGCAGGGATGGCAGTGACCTGGAACAACAAGAATAGTGAGAGTGGATTCTACTTGATGTAACACATCAGATGTCCACAGCCTAGAGGTCACATCAACCCTGTGAAGTAGGTACTATTGTTATCCTCATTGCACAGACGAAGAAACTGAAGAACAGAGAGGCCAAGTACCTTGTCCAAGGTCATACAACTAGTAAGTGGCAGAGCTGGGATCAAAACTTCAGTTGTCTTGTTCAGAGTTTGTGCTCTTAACCACAACCTCAAAGCTTTCTCATTGCTATCTAGAGAACAAGGTACTAAGGTACTATATTAGGCCATCCCTGCATTGCTATAAAGGAATACTTGAGGCTGGGTAATTTATAAAGAAAGGGGGTTTAACTGGCTCACCGTTCTGCAGGCTGTACAGGAAGCATAATGCCAACATCTGCTCGACTTCTGGTGAGGGCCTCAGAAAGCTTCCATTCATGGCAGAACGCAAAGGGAGAGCAGGCATGTCACATCATGGGGAGAGCAGGAGCAAGAGCAAGAGAAAGGGGGGGTCCCAGACTCTTTTAAACAACCAGATTTCATGTGAACTAACTGAGCGAGAACTTACTCCCCACCAAAGGGATGGCGTTAAACCATTCATGAGGGATCTGCTCCCGTGATTCAATACCTCCCACCAGGCCCCACCGCCAACATTGGGAATCACATTTCAACGTGAGTTCTGGAGGGGACAAACATCCAAACCATATCAGGTACTATCTGCACAGGAAGACCTGCACTGGATTGTCCATCTTGTTTTCATTATCTTACCTAGGAGGAGAAAAGTCACCATGGGCCCACAGGACTAATTCATTCATCTTCCCTTCCCTTCCCTTCCCCTTCCCTCCCTTCCCCTCCCCTCCCCTCCCCTCCACTCCCCTCCCCTCCCCTTCCCTTCCCTTCCCTCTGTTCAAAAACTGTTTACTTGCCTTCCCTGCACATCACATCAGGTATCTAGGGAGTGTGCCCAGAACATAGTCAGAGGCCTGGGGGTGGCCTGGCCCCTGGCCCAGGCAGGACAAAGTACAGAGCTCACCTCCTGTGAGTAGGTCCCAAGTTAACACATCTTATCAAACTCAGGCCTACTACTGAAAGCAAAAAAAAAACACACCTAAAACCTCAGGATGGGAGCAATTTAGGAGAACCCTGAGCCCATACCTGCCAAATTGGACAGACAGACAGAGAGAGAGAGACAGAAGGGCTGTGACCATGAACAGATGCAATTATGAGCCATGCCAACAACTCACCCTGCACACTTCCGGAAAAACAGTGAGATCTGGGGCGTCAATTATTTAAACCCTAATTAACATAGCTCTGCATGTCTTTTTGGGGGGCGCACTCAGAACACACGGCATTGTTATCGTGGAAGAAAAGAGAGAATGAAATATTGATGGGGGCCGGCTTTGTTCTCGGCTCAGCAAGAGCAGGCTGGTTGTAGAAAGTGGATTCCCGCCGTTGCTGCAGCTTTAATTAGGAAGGTCGGTGGCTTCTCGGGCGTCTTGGATTCCTTTAATTTCCACAGAGGGAAGCGGCTTCTGAATTTTATTGAACACAGTTGAATTTTTATTTTCAAAAATCAAAATAGAAACAGTTCTTGGCATCTGTTATGAGCCCTGGGTGTTATTTGCTCTTTAGAGATAAAGTTGTTTTTATATGGGGAGAGAGAGCCAGGGAAAACGGGGCTGGAGATCTGTCCTGGGAAAGATACTCAACTGGGAGATGGTAGTCAGCAGAAAAATAAACCTCCGCTCGACCCAGCTCAGCCCGGGCTCCCCAGCATTCTGGCTGGCTCAAGAAATCCATTTGACAATAAGCAGTTTGAGCTGAGGTTGAGGCGGTTAACTCTTGGGGCTCCAGAGTCTGACCAGGCTCCAGAAGTTTCTGGGGCAGGAAATGATGTGGAGAGAAGTCCCCAAGGCCATGGCAGACCACTGCAAGGAAAGGAAACCTCAGAAGGAAGGTCCCCATTGGTAACCTCAAAAGTCAGAACCATCTCTGAATGCTCAGTCCCAGGTCCATGTGGGGTGGGGGAAGATGCCACGAAGAAGGATTCAGGTTTAAGTAACTTCTGTCCTTCCTCTTCCTTTTTGGTGGGTCAGTTGATCAGTTCGTTGATTAAACACATGTCACACATCTGGAAGCCAGGCACCCAGCAGGCACTGGGCTACCAGAGAGACAGAGCTACAGCTGCTGCCTAACAGGGAAACCACCCAGAGCAGGACTGTGTGCACAGGCTGGGGCGCTGGTGTTGAGGTGGAATAGGGGTTCTCTCCTGGGTGTTTGTTGGAAGAGCCTAGGGAAAATGCAGTTGGGGAGGTTTTACTCACTTGAGAAGTGACATTTGAACTGCTCATGAAGGAAAAACTCAGATTTCGAAACAAAGAAGAGAAAGAAGGGCATGCCGGGCATAGTGCATGGCCTCTGTGAAGGCATGGAGATGTTAGAGAGCAAGTCAGAAACTGACTTGAGTTGCAGCAGAGGAAGCCGATGAGCATGAGGCCTGCCCCAGGGACAATGCTCTGGGGACAGCGTCTTTGTGGGCTCAACCTCAGGGTCCACAGCACATGAACCAGGGAACACACTCAGCCTTGGGCTGGGGCACCTCTGCCTGAAGTTCAGGGAGTGGGATGTGAGTGCATATGGCCACCCATGTAACCCTGCCCAAACCCTGGGAGTGGGTCCCGGTGTCCTCATTTCAGTGAGAAGTATGAATAGTGGAAGCATGGAATGAGGTCACTTCTTTAGCTACAAGAATGTTCCAGTTGCAATTGAGCAAAGCCAGAGTATTCATTCAACAAATATGGAGCCCACATGTTGCGGCAGACACTGTCGGGGCTCCATGAACAAACCCCCAGATCCTTTTTCCATCTTGAGGCTCATCACATCCTGGCTCTGGATGCACTATCTCTCCCAGCAGCCGGCACCTGCATCCTTTTATTGGTGTGCTGCCCTTGGGTTGCGGTGCTTTGTCTGAATGCACGGAGAGCAGCACATACAGCCTTCTAGAGCAGCCTGATGGGGATAGGGTGTGAAAACTTCACCTGCCGGCCGGGTGCGGTGGCTCAAGCCTGTAATCCCAGCACTTTGGTAGGCCAAGTCGGGCAGATCACCTGAGGTTGGGAGTTTGAGACCAACATGACCAACATGGTGAAACCCTGTCTCTACCAAAAATACAAAAATTAGCTGGGTGTGGTGACGGGTGCCTGTAGTCCCAGGTACTCAGGAGGCTGATGCAGGAGAATCGCTTGCACCCAGGAGGTGGAGGTTGCAGTGAGCTGAGATTGCGCCACTGCACTCCAGCCTCGGCAATGCAGCGAGACTCCATCTCAAAAAAAAAAAAAAGAAAACAAACAAACAAGCAAAACAAACAAACAAACAAAAAACTTCACCTCTCCTGCCCCTGACTGGGACAGCTCTGATGTGTGACCTACGCCATCTCCAGCCCAAGGAATCTTCCACAGGACTTTGCATGATATGCACTGTCTCTTGGCCTTCTTCCCTTCCTTGTTCCACTCTGCCATCCCCTGTGGGTTGTTTCTGAAAATGCTGTCTACTAAATCACTTTCACCCAACTCTGTTTCAGGGTGGATGTTGGGGAATCCACTCAAAACATCCATTATGTTTCAGGCATGGTTTTAGGCCTGGCATCACTGTGTTAAATAAGTCACACACATGCCATCTCCATGCACACAAACCAAGAACGTGCCAAACAATTATCTAGGTGCTGGAGGAACAGCGAGAGAACAAAAGCCCCTGCCCTCAAGGAGCTGCCATTATCATGGGGGAGACAGCCATACTTGAACACTAAATAAACAGGGTGGTCAGGAAAGGCCTCCCTGAAGAGGTGACTTTTGAACAGACACCTAGAGGAGATGGGGAGGGTTGAAGCCATGAAAATAGCTGGTATTAAGTGTTCTGGCCAGGCACAGCAGCTCGCGCCTGTAATCCCAGCACTTCAGGAGGCTGAGGCGGGCAGATCATCTGAAGTCGGGAGTTCGAGACCAGCCTGACCAACAAGAAGAAACCCTGTCTCTACTAAAAATACAAAAAAAATTAGCTGGGCATGGTGGTGCATGCCTATAATCCCAGCTACTCGGGAGGCTGAGGCAGGAGAATTGCTTGAACCCAGGAGGCGGAGGTTGAGGTGAGCCGAGATCGCACCATTGCACTCCGACCTGGGCAACAAGAGCGAAACTCTGTCTCAAAAAAAAAAAAAAAGAGTGTTCCAAGCAAAGAGTTGGAACCAACCCAAATGCCCACCAATGATAGACTGGGTAAAGAAAATGTGGCACATGTACACCATGGAATACTGTGCAGCCATATAAAAGAATGAATTCATGTCCTTTACAGGGACACGGATGAAGCTGGAAACCATCATTCTCAGCAAACTAACACAGGAATAGAAAACCAAACACCACACGTTCTCACTCATAGTGGGAGTTAAACAATGAGAACACATGGACACAGGGAGGGGAACATCACACACCAGGGCCTGTTGGGGGGTGGGGGGCAAAGGGGAGAGAGAGCATTAGGACAAATACCTAATGCATGCTGGGCTTAAAACCTAGAAGATGGGTTGGTAGGTGCAGCAAACCACCATGGCACACTTATACCTATGTAACAAACCTGCAAGTTCTGCACATGCATCCCAGAACTTAAAGTAAAATAAAAAAAAAAAAGTGTCCAGCGAGAGACAACAGCAAGTGCAAAGGCCCTGAGGCCAGTTGGTCAGAATGAATTTAAAGGGGGCAGAATAAAGGAGATGAAGGCCAGAGAAGCATGTGGTGTAGTTCTGATAGGGCCTCTACAGTCCACTGCGCACATACTGGCTTTTATTCTGAGTGTGGTGGGAACCAGCAGAGGGTTCTGATCTTTATCTCCTGCAGAGCAGTTTCAGCCCCGTTAAGAAGGCCAACAGGGAGCTGACCTCAATAGGCCACGGGATACCCTGCTCAGAGTGGACTTGTGAAGAACGATGCTCTTCAGGCAGAAGAGCATTGGCCTCTTCCTAAGAGGCTTTTTGCACCAGCTGCCACAAGAATATGCCCCTCTGCATCTTTTACACAGATGCACACCGACACTAACAGGATCATGCCATATATGATTGCTGAAGCTGCTCCTTCTTCTCCTTACTTGCTTACTTATTCAACAAGCATTTGTTGGGCTCCTAGGCCTGTCAGGTGCTATTCTGGGCCTGGGAGCAACCTGGTAAGCAAGGCAGACAGAATCCCTGCCTGAACAGACTCCACGTTCCAGTCGGGGAAAGGGCTGAGAAACAAATGATCAGAAAAACATGGAAAATGTATTTCAGCTGGCACCAAGTCCTATATAGAAGAAAACAAAAACAAAAAACAAAAAACAGGGTCAGATGTGGTGGCTTGGGCCCGTAACCCCAGCACTTTGGAAGGCCAAGGCGGAGAGATCACTTTAGCCCCGGAGTTTGAGAACAGACTGGGCAGCATGGCAAAACCTCGTCTTTACTAAAAATACAAAAATTAGTCAGGTGTGGTGATGTGTGCCTGTAGTCCCAGCTACTTGGAAGGCTGAGGTAGGAGGATCACTTGAGCCCAGGAGGTGGAGGTTGCAGTGAGCGGAGATCACACTGCTGCACTCCAGCCTGAGCTGCAGAGCAAGACCCTGTCTCCAAAAAAGCAAAAAGAAACGCGTGGGACCAGAGGTTCTCAACTGGGAGGATTATGGATTCCATTCCCTAGGGGCACATTTGACAATGTCTGGGGAGATTTTTGATTGTCATAGCTTTCCATGGGTGGGTGCTACTGGCATCTTGTGGATAGACATCAGAGATGCTGTTGAACATCCTGCAATGCACAGTATAGGATCTTGCAAGAAAAAAATATCTGGCAGAAAATGTCAATAGTGCTGAGATTAAATGCTCTGTGTTAGAGATAAAAGAATGAGGCAAAAGAGGTATTGCAGCCAGGGTTGTCAGGGAGGGCCATTCTGAGGGGGTGACACTTCAGCAGAGACATGAATAAAAACTGGTAGTCAACCCTGGGGGAAGAGCTTTCCAAACAGAGAGGACAGCCAGGGCAAAGGTTCTTGATGTGTTTAAGGAATACTTGCAGACTCAGGTTATTCTTTCTAAAGACTTTAGGGTATTTCACTCTGTGAATTAGATAACTCGGGGAATCCAGATTTCACCTTGGAATAATTTCTCAACATTGTCTTCCAATAAAAGGAGATTATCTTTCGTTCACCAGAAGGATTGCTGGAGAGTTTCTACCCTACAACTGGCTCCAAGCAGGCATCTTGGTGCAAAAAGGCTACATTCTTCTGGGACAAACCCTTTGACCCTTCTTCAGCAACAGGGGCCCTGGGGTAGGGAGGGTGGGTGGGCTCTCCTGCTTGCAACTGTCAGGAGAGAATTTCTCCCACCTGGATAATCAGGGCAGGATATTCGCAAAGAATATCATGTCCATGACATTTTAAAAATCTCACAATAACCTGGGAAAGTTAACAGGTCCAGGGGCATCACCCCAACCCTCCATTTCATACAGGAAACTGAGCCACAGAGAAAGACAAGACTTGTCCAAGGTTTTATAGACAGTGAGTGCAGGGCGCTGGATGAGTGTCTCCCTCCATTTTCATCCCTGTTTCCCAGCCACAGAGGTACACCAAGCCATCTCTAATTTTATAAACAAAGCTCAGCTCTGAGAGTTTCTTTCTCCCAGGCCCACACCCTCTTTGCTGTGACATTTCCTCTTCCCACCTTGAGTCTGCCTCCCAGGGCCCAGCCTCGCTGGAGGCTTTGATTAAAAATGCACCTCCTAATCTCATCAGAGGCCAGAAACATGCATATATGCAAATCAACATCTGCTCATCTACTCAGGGAAGGATCTTCCCAAAGTGCTCTGGGAAAAGGAGTCCAGCCCAGTGAACTCTGAAGGGAAGACTCCAGAACATCCAAAAGTCACTTCAAAATCCCAGGGTCCCTGATGAAACTTCACCCTTCATGTAATTGGAGGTTCTACTTGAAGGAGCAATAAAGGAGCAGTCATCACAGAGTGGCCTGCCTCAGGCTGAGGCTCTTTGCTGATCAAACCCCTTCCGCATTACAGGAGACGTGGCCTGGCCCATGGTCTGGGGAAACTTACTGCTCTGGCTGACAAGAGAAACAGTAGCTGATGTTCACTTCTTGGCTTTGATGATGTCTTCTTTGCCAATTTGAAGGCATAGATCCCTTTCTGGAGAATTATTGTATGAGTTAGGGCACACCACATCAGCTGCTATAACAAGTAAACCTCAAAGTCTCTGTGCCTTAAGATGATGCAGCTCCATTTCTCACCCATGAGATCTGAAATGGTGACAGGGGTTGGAGATGAGGATGGTTCTGTGCTCAGTGCAAGCATTCATTGCAAGCTCCCCCAGCATGTGGCCCTGCCCTCCTCCAGGACCTGAGTCCACTCCAGGGAGAATTGCATTGAGGTTCTATGGGCCAACCCTGAAAGTGACACACATTGCTTAATGCCCACATTCCAATGGCCAGAATTTAGTCACATGGTCTTGCCTAGCTGCAAGTGAGCCTGGGAAATATGATCTTGTGGTGTGCCCAGGGAGGAAGGGAAGGACATGGATGTGAGTGTTCAGAAGTGGTCTCATTCACAACTATCCTCTCAGACAATTACAGAATTGAAAGGGCCCTTAGAGCACTAATTGGTTTAGGTCCTTTCGTTGTAAGCAACAGAAACAGATAAGCATTGAGACATTCATTGGCAGAATATCAAGGAATTTCAAGCATAGATATGGCAGGGATGTTCTGGACACCCAGGGAATAGCAACTACAAACATGGTGTCACAGTAGGAGTGGCCTGGTTATGAGTTAGACCACCTGGGGCAAGGAAAGTCTACTCACGTCTTCATCCATGAATCATTGGTTCCATGAACAAAGTCCTCATGATTTTAGGTGTGCCTAGATCACACACCTGTTCTCTGATTGCAGAGTGGAGGGGAGAGGACTAATCTTGTCCTGTTGGCTTCCACATAGCATAGCAAACACCTGAATTCATCATTCCACCCAACTACCCCTTTGAGGGAGAGAGATAATTCTCCAAAAGGAAATAAGGGTGCTGATTTCAGGAGACTGGGTGATGGGATCCAATGAGTGTCTGCTACTGATTAAAATGCTTCCTTTACAGGTGGATCCACTGGGCACAGGAGAGGGGAAGTCAGGGAAGAGGCAGAACTGGAGCCTTGATCTCTTGATGGTTGCAGTAATTGCATTTTGTTTGAGTGGCATATGGAATTTGATGCCATGTTTCTTTTCAAAGCCTGTGAGGCCCAATGTCTCTTTTCTGATAATTCTGCCTTGTCAGGGTCGGCAGTCACCTTGGTTCTCTCTAGAGGAGATATGTCTGTTGGGAAGTCTGATTTTCAGACTTACATTAGAAGGGCATAAAGGCAAAGAGCATCTGTAGGAGAATCGCAGGGTGCAGCCTTGAATAAGGACCATAGGTCTGGCATTTGGATAGGTGACTGGTATCTATGCCTCTCCAAGCTACCCAATACTTTTATGCACATTTTTTGGGAAAAATATATTTGTATATGATTACATTCAAAATGTGTGGTGAACATGAGTTGTTTTGCCTATCCATCATCTGTGCACCCTTGCGTTGAAAAGAGCATCCCAATTTCCTTTGGGGAACTGATCCACCTCCTCTTTTAGGCCACGTATTCAGGTGGGACTGACTTTATCCCCAAGCCCCAGCGGGAACATGTGACGCAGGCTTGACCCATCAGAATCACAGTGATTGGTTCAGGAGTGGGCACATGACCTGGTCTGGGCCAACCAAATGGAATTCTGGGACTTCTGCAAGAGCAAAGGATACAGAGATGCTCTCTTTCTATTGCTGTACATAAGGTCTGCCTAGACTTGCTGGTGGCCATCATTCCTGCCAAAGGTTGAAGCCACACAGAGGAAGGCAGATGTAAAGATGGAAAACAGTAGATCCCCCGATGACATCATGTAATGCCTGGGTCATCCGTGCCTGATGCCTGACAAGCTTCTTCTGAACATTTTAATCACAGGACCTCAAAAATTCCTTTTTGTCTTAAACTGGTTTGAGCCAGGTTTTCTCTACTTGCAAATTGTAAATGAAAGACTTCTTCTTAACATAAAATATTAACACTGGTAGTCTCAGGTTGTAGGATTAGAGAGCTTTTACTTTCTTCTTTTATTTTACTTCTCTGAATTGTATATCATAAACTTGGATTACTTTTGTAATTAAAAAAAGTTACATAAAAAATGCTTTCTGTCTTCCCCATGCACCAGGGCCAAAGCAGTTTTTTTTTCCCTCCTGGTAGCCCAGAAGGGCCCAGTAAGAAAAACAGAGGTGAGGAACACCAACCTGTTAAGGCTGTTTTGTGTATCAGTGTGTCGGGTCCTGGTGTATATTACCTTATTGCATCTCCACAAAGGCAAAACCAAGGAGGTCTTGTTTTTAACCCCCTATTCACAGACTAGGCTCCAGGAGTTGACATCTTTAACCAAGGTCACACCAGTAGTAAGTTTCAAGGCGGGGGATTCAGCTTCAGATTTTCCTGATGCCAAAGCTCTCTTTTTGCTGTCTAGCCTGGCAACAGGTGAATGAGGTTCAATCCTAGCCAGCAATCCCTGGAGGGCTGATCACTATTGAAGTGAGCCCTGAGACTATAGAGACCCTTAGACCACATCGACGTGTTTAGTGTTTGTGGGGTCAGGCACAGAGGGCAGAAAAAAGATCAGTGAGATTTGTCTCGGCCAGTTCAGAAAAACAGGTAAATTTAATGACTATCGTATCATTTAAACATAGGCAGACATATTTGTGTTTCTGTGTATATGTGTGTATGTTTATATCTATGTCATCATTACTTTTACACCTTTGTAACTACTGCTGTTGGACTGAACCACATAAAATTGATATTAGACCATTTTTGATCTATTAGAGTGGTTCTTTCAAATAGTTTAACCCTGTACCTATATCATCTATAGTTATATCTATGTCTGTCTATATCTCTTTTTTTCACAAAAGATTCCTGTAAGTCTGAGGGTACCACCACTGCCTCCCCTCTCTTCCGGGATGCCCCGAGATGCAGAGGAAACCAGGCCTTGAGAACCCCAGGGCCAAGAAGGCCCGTGGATACCTGCGCAGCATCTGCGGCTCCCCTGGCCTCTGAGGAAGCAGCCCCCCTCCACTCTCTTGGCTGACCAGGGAAGGCCCCAATTCATTGGCTACGGCCCCCTCTGCAGCAGAAGGGAGACATCAATGGACCATTTGACACTGGCACTGGTTTGCTATTGATAGGCAAGAAAAAGGCAGCTCACAGGGGATGGGCCCATTCCTGCACATCCTGGGGTGAGGCGGGAGGCTGCAGGGCAGAGCCAGGGCTGAGGGAGGCGGGTCCACTCTAGGCCCTGCCCTGGGCCAGTCCAGTCTCTGCCTTGCTGCCCTCCCACTTCTGCAAGGGACGCCTGACATGACGGACCCACTCTCCCCAGCCCTGCCTGCCCACCGTGCCGGTCCCCTCACAGGCTCAGTTAGCCTGGCCTCCAGAGTCCCCTCCTCAATCCCTGCGGCCCCTGGCTGCCCAGCTCGGTCCCCGGACGCCTACTCTGGCCACGGGCCTGTTTGTGGAGCCATCCCAGGCAGCCCCGAGCTTCTGTCTTCCTATTTAGAAAAACAAACAAAAGCCGGTTCGATTACCACGGGCAGGCTGTGAAGCATCCAACACAAACCGAAGCCGCCCGCCTGGCGTCTCCAAATGCCCCGGGTTCGGTTCAGGCAGTCCCAGGACATTTGCCTCGTTCCTGCTCTGGCCTTGTCACCAGACACTCCACGCCTCCTGAGAGGCTGTGTGGAACGGGGCTGGGCAGCGCCTAGGCTGCAAAAGAAGCCCGGAACCCTGATGTCCTCAATCCCGAGCAAGGCTGAAGCCCACTTGTACGCTGAAGCCCTACAATGTCTTGCTTCAGAAGGACTTAGGGATAACTTTGTCCAATACCCATTTAACAGATGGGAAAACTGAGGCCAGAGAGTAGGGACTTTCCAGGGTTACTCAGTGAATTTTGGACAAAACCTTTAAAAGTTATAACCAGAGTCAGGAGCTAAATGGAAGGATTTGAGGAACAACTCCTGGAGGATTTTTTTTCTCCATGAGTCTCTTCCCTAAGGTCATGAATAGTCTAAAATTCCACCATTAGAGCACTATTCCTTGAATCTAGATGCATTAAGATTTTTTTTTCTTTTTTCTTTTTTTTTTTTTGAGATGGAGTCAAGCTCTGTCACCCAGGCTGGAGTGCAATGGCGTGATCTTGACTCATTGCAACCTCCACCTCCCAGGTTCAAGTGATTCTCCTGCCTCAGCCTCCCAAGTAGCTGGGATTACAGGCCTGTGCCACCACACCCAGCTAATTTTTATAGTTTTAGCAGAGTTGGGGTTTCACCATGTTGACCAGGCTGGTCTCGATCTCCTGACCTCAGGTGATCCACCCACCTTGGCCTCCCAAAGTGCTGGGATTACAGGCGTGAGCCACTGAGCCTAGCTGGAGAAATCTCCTTGACACTGAGTTAAGGAAAGAAAGCAAAGTATATACAAATATCTAAAAGTATTCAGTATTCTACAATATATATGTAATACATATAATTTTAAAAATCATACACTCACACACACACACACACCCCACACACGGAGAACATTTCTGGCAGTGGATCCAAGAAACTACGAGCAGAGGTTGCCTCTGGGGAGAAAGGCAGAAGATACACAATCATAGGGAGACTGACTTTTCATTGTATGCTCTTCTGTATAATTTTCACTAGGTGAATTTTTACTTTGCAATAATAAAAATGAAGGCAGACATTCACCAGCCCTTACTATAAGCAGATCTTGTTCTTGGTGTTTTGTATTAACTCATTTTATTCTTGTAATAGCCCTGCCAGGAGCGTATTATTATTGTCCCCATTTCACAGACTGGAAGACTGAGCCATTGAGATATTAAGTAACTTGCTTAAGGCCACACAAGCCAGTAGATAGCAGAACTGAAATTAGAACCCTGATAGCCCAGCTCCCAAGTGCAGACATGTAACCTCTGTATTCATCTGCTGCTTCATAAAAACTGCTTGACAAATAGATTGAGACATGAAAAGGTGTGCCCTGGGAAGGAACAGGGAACAGATGTGCAAATGGTCACAGAAGCTTCCTTTCAGCTCCAAAGCCTTCAGCAATGAGAGTCTATCGGGCCTGCTAGAGTTGCTTTGTGAGCAGGGAGTGGGGCCAGAGAGAGAACTGCCCATGCATGCGACATAGCAGGAGGAGGTGCCTCTGGAGTGGTGGGCTCTTGGAGGGTGGGGAAGGCATGCCCTCCAGGTTAAGGTCTAATGAAAACCTGTTCATCACCCACCAGCTGACCAGCCACAGAGGGGTGGGCAGGAGCCAGGACCCCACCCTAGACTAAGGAAGAAGCTGATTTTCAGGACCTGCTTCTTCAGCAGGTGCAGTGGGAGGATCTCGGGTCCAGTGCTGCTTCTTAAAATTTCTAACCATTGGATAAGAATAAATAAACACAGTTGATCCTTGAACAACCCAGGTTTGCACCGTGTGGGCCCACTTACATGTGGATTTTCTCCCAACTCTGCCATTCCTGAGAGAGCAAGACCAACGCCTCCTCTTCCTCCTCCTCAGCCTACTCAACCTGAAGATTAGGAGGATGAAGACCTTTATGATGATCCACTTCCATCTAATGATTATTAAGTACATTTTCTCTTCCTTATGTTTTTAGTAACATGTTCTTTTCTCTAGCTGACTTTGTTGTAGGAATACAGCACATAATACATCTAACATACAAAATATGTGTTAATTGACTGTTTATGTTATTAGTAAGGCTTCTGGTCAACAGTGGGTTATTAGTAGTTAAGTTTTGGGGGAATCAAAAGTTATACACAGATTTTCAACTGTGCAGGGGTTGGCACCTTTAGCCCCTGTGTTATTCAAGAGCCAACCTAAATAAATACATACATAGTCATAATAAAAATAGTAGTGTGACAGATTAAAGATGGCCACAGATTCTTTGACATCCTTCCATGGAGAGGTGGGTTCCATGCTTCTTCTTCTTGGACCTGGATGCTCTGTGACTGCTTTGATGAATAGAATTTGCTGGAAGTAAATTGTGCTACTTTCCAGGCTCAGGCCTTAAGAGACCAGCAGCTTCCACTTCCTGCCTCTTGGAGCCCTGAGCCACCATCTTGTAAGAATTTCAACTCCACGGAGAGGGAAAGAGGCCCAGATAAGCCCTGTCTTCCACCTTGTCCGGACAAGGCACTAATAATGTGAGTGAAGGCATCTTGGGTCCTCCACATTAGCCCTGTCACTAGCTGATGCCACCAAGCAATGCCAGTCATCTCCACTCAGAGCAAACAGATTGTCCTGCCGAGGCCTGCTCAAATACCCAACTCATGTAACCACCACCCAGTCAAGGGAGAGAATATTGCCAGAAATCCCAAGCCCCTGTAGTGCCCCAGACAATCACCACCCCTTCTCTGCCCCAGACAATCACCACCCCTTCTCTGCCCCGAGAAGTAACCATCATCTAAGCTGTTTCGTAAGGTTTTCCTCCCTTCTAAAAGTTGATTTTATCATCCACGTACAGATACGTAAATACGTAGGTTAGTTTTGTTCTTTTTTGAACTTCATATAAATGGAATCACACAATATGCATTCATTTATGTCTTACTTCTTTTACTGAGCATCAGGTTTGTGTGAGTCATTCATGTTGTTGCCTATATCAATATTTTGGTCATTTTCATTGCTGTATAGCACTCCATTTTATGGGTACACGACAATGTATTTATTGGTTCTATTATTGATGTTGTTTCCAGTGTCGGCCTGTTTGGTACAATGCTGCCATGCTCATTCTTGACTGTGTAGAATATAGACTCACATGTCCTAATATGTGCCAAGAAGTGGAATTTCTGAGTATGGTCTTTGCATATCTTCAACTCTTCTAGACAACATCTTGCCTCAACTTGCAGTCCCACCAGTGGTGTCTGAGATTGTCATGTGAACTGTACCTCATTGCTGGTTTAATTTGCATCTCTCTGATGACTAATGAAGTCAGGCATTACTTTATATATTTATTAGCCATTTGAATTTTTCTCTTTTGTGAAAAGCCTGTTTAAACTGTCTCCCTATTTCTCAGCTGACTATCCAGGATTTAAAAATTTTAATTTGTCTGCAGCCTTTAAACAGTGAGAAACTCTATACTAAAATACAGATGTCTGGTTTCAATAAAGAAAAGGGACTCTTTGACCACCCCAGGCTGGTGTTTCTGCATGGCAGTGATTGGATGGGAGTGAATAGTGGAGATTCCCTTAGGGTGTGGGTCACCAAAGTCCCAGGGTGCCTACAATGAGGGATGTCGCATTCATTCATGTGCCATGTTCTCTAGGCATTTAGATTTTAGACCTATGATTTATTTTCTCTGAGCTGTGTCAGACACCTCTATCTCTATATCCACCTGCTTTTTTTTTTCTTCTTTCAAGAGAGGGTCTTGCTCTGTTGCCTAGGCTGGAGTGCAGTGGTGCAATCACAGCTACTGCATCCTCTACCTCCCAGGCTCAAGCAATCCTCCCACCTCAGCCTCCCAAAGTGTTGGGATTACAGGTGTGAACCACTGCATCCAGTCTATATCCATCTGCTTTTCACCCAACCTGCTTCGGTGGGTTAATTACAGAAATGGCCCAATTTGTTCATGCCTCCTGTGTCTTCATCCTTTGGTAGTGGGGCCGTGCCCTCTATGTGACTTGCTTTGGCCAATAGAACAGTGGCAACACAAGCAGAGACTTAAAAAGCACTTGCCTTCTTGCAGCTCTTGAAACCGTATAACCTGAGCTAGACTGCTAGACGATGAACAAACTCATGGAGAGAAGCCAAAGCAGTCCAAGGTATCCCAGCTGAGGCCATCATTATCCTGCCAGGCCCAAGTGATCCACTTGTCGACTGCAGACGCGTGAACAAACCCAGTCAAGATGCGTCAAAGCTGGCTTAGTCCAGAAGAAGTCTCACCAAAGCTCAGTCCAAATTGCTGTCCTGCAGAATTGTGAAATAACAAAGGTTGTTTTTAAAGCTACTAAGTTTTGGGGGGTTTTGTTACACAGCACATCAAAGTGATACACTTGCCAACTGAGTTTTCCACAAACCCCAGCGATGTCAGGGAGGAATATAGGTAAGTATTAAAAACCTGCTTCCACATCTACATCTCTACATGGAGCAATAACTATCCTGGGCCCTGGATCCCCTCCTCCAGATGGCTGGGGGCCCAAACCCCACTGTCCTTTCCCCACTGTCCCAAACCCGACTCCTACCCTCGTTTACTCTCCTTGAATGCCTGGTTTATTGTGATCTCCTCATCTTACAAAGAGCCCAGGCAATAACCTAGTGTAATTGGTTAATATTTTCTCACCTTAATTAAAAGTCCAAATGGGAATATTGGCAGCTTAGGCCCTTATTTGAAAATTGAGCCATATTCCCATTAATAGGAAAGCCTAATTAAGACATCCGTTAAAAGTCGATAACATTAACTTAATGGGGGAGAGCCAGAAGGAATTCAATTAGATTTTATTTCTGTGAAATTAATATTAGCAACTTAAAAAAATGTCTCCAATGCTAATTGTTATTCATAAAAAGCTCTTTGAGCATTAGAATGGGAGTCTCATTAGACTGTCTTAGAGATCTGGCTAAACTCAAATGGGTGTCTAGCTGAAGATGGAGAGTGGATGCACCAAGTCTTGGACTGAGAAGATGCAATTCATGGCATCTAATCTGAAACTTCCCAATAGTCCTAACCCTAGAGGCTCCAGAGTGGGAATCTGGAGACCTGAGTTTCAGTTGACGGACTTTGGCCAAGCCCTTTAGTTTCTACAGATTCAGCTCACTCTTTTTCAAATAGGGCAGCAATTACAATTTTGACTTGCTATTAGGTTGGTGCAAAAGTATTTGCAGCTTTCGTTATTACTTTAATGTCAAAAACCACATTACCTTTGCAGCAACCTAATATGTCACAGGTGTCTCTTGAGGCTGTAAGATAATGAGGATAAAGAGATAAACTTGGTGCAAAGGGAGGAAAGAGGAAGAAGAAGGAGTCTGGATTCTGCCTATGCAATCTTTAATATGCTTCAGGATGGACTGATCTAGAATGTAGAGGGCACTCAATTAATGGCAGCTTTTGTCTTTTTTTAAAATTTTACTTTAAGTTCTGGGATACATGCGCAGAACGTGCAGGTTTGTTACATAGGTATACGTGTGCCATGGTGGTTTGCTGCACCTATCAACCCATCATCTAGGCTTTAAGCCCTGCATGCATTAGGTATTTGTCCTAATGCTCTCCCTCCCCTCAACCTCCACCCCTCAACAGGCCCTGGTGTGTGATGTTCCCCTCCCTGTGTCCATGTATTCTCATCGTTCAACTCCCACTTATAAGTGAGAACACATGATGTTTGGTTTTGTGTTTCTGTGTTAGTTTGCTGAGAGTGATGGCATCCAGCTTCATCTATGTCCCTGCAAAGGACATGAACTCATTCTTTTTTATGGCTTCATAGTATTCCATGGTGTATATGTGCCACATTTTCTTTATCCAGTCTGTCATTGATGGACATTTGGGTTGGTTCCAAGTCTTTGCTATTGTAAATAGTGGGCAGCTTTTGTCTTTATTATGTCAGCGGCTTAGGTTTTGTGAAAGAACATTGTACCAAAAAATTTACCAAAAATTATTTTTGGTAAAAAAAGTTATGGTTCACTTACACAATACAAGAAATTTTAACATGTAAAAAATAAAAATCAAAACAAAAATCATTCTAAATAGCCATCGTTCGCATTAGTGCATGTTGCCACAGCTGTTCCTCTCCACATACGCACTGATGGAAAGGAGGGTAGACCAATAGGAAATCAGGCAGATGGATCCAAACAGAAGTGAGTTATAAAAATGGGCTCCTGTTATGTATTTATGTTACTTTGAATAAAAGCTATTGAATACATTTAGCTTGAATTTAATGAAAGAAAAGTAAACTGTTATGAAACCATTAGTTAAAAAAAGATGGCTGAGTATTTAATTTCAAGAAATATTCATTCCAAAAAGAATTGGAGTTTAAGAAAAAAGATTGTGAAAACATTAAAAGTCTGAGTGTCTATCAGAAGGGGCATTTTTGGCTGTAAGTAATGGAAAAGTGACCACACTTGCTTAAACAGTAAGGGCATATTTGCGTTTACAGAAGTCTAGTGTTCGGCGGTTTCTAGTTATTCCATTCTATCAGGCAGTTCAATAATTTCATGGAGGATCAGAGTTCTGTTTCTCTCTGCTACTCTAGAGCTGGCTCTGTCCTAAGGATGGTTCCTCATGGCTATAGCATTTCTTGGTGCTAAGATAACTAACTTTACAGAGCCATGACTTATCTACTTTCTCTGCATTATTTGGGTTCTCACAACCACCCCAAAGGAAGCTACCATCATTATCTCTCTTATAGAAAAGGAAAACTCATTATTTAACAGGATAGCCTACCATATTAAATGGTTCTTATTTCATTTAACTCATTTGATTAAACTGTATTCTAAAACATTTGGAGTTTCTCCTCCTATTCACTCTTAATCCTGGCATATGCATTTGTAAATTGTGATGTCATTGGGACTATATTTAAGTTTGACTTGGCCACATTAACATGTCCTAAGACTCAGTGCAGAGAAGCATGGCAGTACGTTCTTTGACACAAGGATGGCATTAAATAATCATTTTCGAACCTGTGTAATAAAGCCTGAAAGCAGGGAAAATAATCTGCTTTTCCCCTTTTTTGTGTTGTCTGTAGGAATTGATTTGGGATTTTTTGTTTTGTGTTTTCATTTTAAATGTAAATGGATGATCTTTTATAAGAAATAAATAGAATCACTTAAACCAGGGAGTCAGAGATTGCAGTGAGCTGAGATCGTGCCACTGCACTCCAGCCTGGCAATAGAGTGAGACTTTGTCTCAAAAAAAATTCAAAAATTAAAAATAAATAAATAAATAAATAGAAGCTTTATTGGGTTCCTTTGTTCATAAACCAAAAAGCAATAAATGAATCCCTGTATTCCCCGCCCCCTCCCCCCTAGAAAAAAGGAAAGGAAGGCTCAGAGAAGTTAAGTAACTTACTCAGAGTCACACAGCTTGCAACTGGTAGAATAACAATTCCAAAGACACAGTCTGTAAAGATAGCATTATTGACCCTGACTTTTTACCCTTTGCTGGGTGACTACAGTACCACTCAGTAAAGGGGTAGAGTATATTTCCCATCTTTGACTTTGTGCTCAAGTATGTAATTTCCTTTGACCAAGATCATGAAACAGAAGTGACAGTGTGCCAGTTTTGAGTGTAGGCCTTAAGAGGTTTCATGTTTCTATTTTCTTTGCTTGTGAGAATATTCCCTGGCAAGTTCACGGGCCATTGCTATGAGAATGTACCCTGATTAGCTCACTGGACCAAGGAGGATAACAGACAAGAGGAGCAGATGTGCAGATCTTCAGGTAGGACAGACCCAGCTCCACTGCCTGGATCAGCTGATTCCTAGCTGGGCCACTAATATACAAACAATCTCAGCTAAAGGTCAGTGGAGCTGTTCCAGCCAACCCACAGAGGCATTAGCTAAATTAATACTTATTGTTATGGGTCATATCAATAATACTTACTGTTATGAGATTTTGTGGTCATTTGTTACACAGCATTATTATGGCAATAGCTGACTGATACAATCTGATTCCACAGCATAGACTCTTAACTATTGCTCCATCTGCCTGTGTTGTATGTGTGCCTGCCCTCCACTAGATGGATGCTGTTCTTCCTGAGTGAGGAGAGGGCTAGAAGCCAAGGAAGATGTCTCAGAGCCAGGCAGCAAGGCTTAGGACTCAGGATGGCAATGGCTGCTTCCCTTGGGCCCACAGGTAGGTAACCAGTCAGGGCCTAGCCTCTCAGTCATGCATTGCTATTGATCCACAGCACCTGCAAAATGCTTGGTGCGATCTTGTCAGCAAGGCACACCTCTGACTTCCTCTGAAGGCCCCCTCTTTTTCAAAATCTCCCTCTCTTGTGGCTGGGCTTGCTTGTATCTGTGGAAACCAAGGCAGTACAGAGGGATGAGTCAGGTTCCAACTGATAGCTCACCAGGCCTGGGTCAGGAGAGCAGCAGGGGTGGAAACTCTGGGCCTTGCAGCATGGGTTGGTAGCTTCTAGGCTCAGCACCCTAGAAGCACCCTCATTGCTCAATCCAGCCACCCTGAATTGCTTGCAGCTCTCCTGAACTTCCTGTATTCTCTCTTGGGGCCTTTGTTATGTGGTTCTTTGTGCTGGAGCATTTGGTCACCTGATGTCTTAAGATAAGTTCCCCAAAAAGAGATGGACATGGAGATACTTGTACAAGTGGCTTTCTGAGGAATGGTTCCTAGGAGCAAGCTGGTAGAGAGTGAGAGAAGAGGCTGAGCATTGCTGTACATTCAGGAAGAGTCCAGCCTCAGCCTGACCCCATGGGGAGCTCTGGAGAGTGGATGGCACCAGTTTTCCCACCTTCAAGCAGGGAGGCTGGGCTTTTGAACCCTCACATCAGTCATTGACTAAATTCTGCCCTTCAGGGTGGTAGTGGGAGGAACACCGAATTTCTCAGGAAATCTGGGTGAAGTGGCTCCCTGCCTGGGCAGATGCTTTCCTGGAGAGGGTCAGTGGTGAGCCATTAGCAACCCCACCTCAGTGGCAGGGGGGTGCACCAGGGCCAAGTACTCCTGGCTAACTCCTCCTCAGCCTTTAGGTTTCAACTTCAAAGCCATCAGTATATCTTTGTCCATCAGTATATCTTCAGCATCCAGCACACAGTAGTTGGGCAGCACATTTCTGTGGAAGGAAGAGAGGGAGGGAGGGAGGGAGGAAGGAATGAATGAATGAAGGAAGGAATGGAGGGAAGAAGGAAGAGAGAAATGGGGGAAGGAAGGAGGAAAAGAAAGAAAGAAGAGAGGGAGGGAGAAAGGAAGGGAAAAGGAAAGGGGGGAAGGGAGGGAGAGAGAAAGGAAAAAAGAGAGGGAGGGAGGCAGAAGGGAGGAATGTGAAAAATATAGGGAGATGGGTCATTGCCAAGTATTCTTAGAATGAATGCTTAAACCCTGAGTTTGGGAGAACAGGGTTGTCTCCAGGCCATGCTTAGCGATGTCTGCAAAACATGAACTGAGCCAGAATTAAAAATAACCAGAGGATCTGCCCCCTGGTTCCCTGGGGCTCTGAGAACCATCAGTGCATCGTCCTTGCTGGAACTAGGTACTGTTAGTTCAGAGAAACTGGCTCCTTCATTCAGGAGGGCTCCTTGTTTGTCTACGGCAGCTCTGGCTGCCCCACCCACCTCCGGGGCTTCTACAGACCCGAAAATCCAGACCTCAGCTTTCCTTTTCGTCTTCCTCCTTGACCCTCTTAGATGCAGTTTAGAGCTATAAAGCCCAGCACAGGTCATCTTGTGCAGCCCTCTCCCGGAACAAATGGGGAAACTGAGGAACACGGAAGGCCAGAGAATGATCCAAGATGACCCAGCAAGCCAAAAGCGTCCCCAGGACTAGAATCCAGCACTCCTGGGCCTAAGCATGTGCTGCCTCCTCTGTCTCAGGCAGCCTCTGCACTCTCTCAGGTTTGATGACTTGAGATCAATCCCAATGAATTTGATCCTGGAAGGAGAACCCAGGGGCAGATGAATTTGGCACTGCGGGGTAGTAGGAGGCATACACAGAAGGCAGGTGGGGGGGCACCCAGCTTTCTCCACTGAGGCTTGATGGGCTTCCTCTGCTGACGGTGCCACTATTGAGCCACTGCACTCAGACCATAAGCACAGAGCCACAGGCTTCAAGGGAATACCCTTAAAGATCACTGAGCTCAATTCTGTCCTAGTATAAAAAGTAAACTGAGACCCAGAGAAGGCAGGGATAGGACCCAAAGACACATAGTCACCCAAAATGCAGAACCAAGGCTAGAATTGAGCTCATCTTCCCTGTTAGTCTGTGGTTTTGTGGCAAAAACTACCCATTGCCTATTCAAAGCCACCACTCATGCCCCCTTCCCTCCTGCTGATCCAGTCCCAATCCCTGAGAGGTGAGGAGCAATCTGCTAAGGAAGGCTTACCTTAACCAGTACAAAGATGAAATCTCCTTAAGACAAAGCTTTTGCCTTGATCCTCTTTTTTTCTGCATTGGATTCAGATGTGAAGACTGGAGAGCCAGCAGCCATTTTGGGACCAGGAGGCAAAAACATGTGGTCCAAAGTCAACGTGCTAAGGATGGTGGAACTGAAAGATGAAACAGATCTTAGACCTTGACCACATAATTGAGTAGCTGAACCAATGCCCCAACATGCCATTCTTTAAATATCTTGTGGGAGAAAACCCCCTATTAATTTAGATCATGAGTAGGAGGCTTTTCTGTTCCTTGAAGTTGGGAGCATTCCTTACTGACAAAGACATTTTCCATCCTATTTCTTAACTATGCTTTGAGGTGGCCAGATAACATATCAGCATGCCCATTTCACGGTTAGAGAGAAACTGTAGAGAGTCTATGCATTTCCAAGCTATTCTCCCTTGGATACTTTCAAACTCCAGATTTGCAGAAAATCCATGCATTTCATTTGGTCCCTGGCTTGCATTACAAAGTGGGAGGAAATGTCTTTTTCAAACAAACATTGTCCCAGCACATCGTGTGGGTCCCGGGTTTGCAGGAATATCAAATAGCACTGAATTAGGCCATGGTTTGGGAAACCCTGGCTGCCGCCCCACTGGTTCTTCTGGGGCTTCATCCTGGGAGTGCAGTGGTGGGGCCAACAGTGGAGGGGGAGGAAGCAGGATGGCCTCAATTAATTAACAAAAAATGGCTTCATTTTGAGGGGAAAAAAAAACCCCTCCCCATTGGAGACTTAGCTGTATAAGAGCTACTTCAATCAATATGCAGTAAGAAAGTGACGGCATTGGACATAAATTTCCTGCCAGCTGACTGTCATTGCACCCTGAGGCCTGATATTAAAACCAGATGAAATTATAGAGCGCCCAAGCCTCAGCCACTTCTGCACCTCTGGAGAACAGGGAACCCAGCTGCACCAATCACTCAGAGAAACTAATCTCCTGGGTGCCCCACCTCTGGTGTCTAAATGGCTTTCCAGCCTAGCCTCACCTGGCCTCAGCCTGGCTACAGCCAAGTCTCATCTAGAGGAAGATGGGATTCTTTCTGCCTTGCTTAGACGAGTTGCTCTTAGAAGACAGAAGTTTCCTCTTGAAGGAAGCTCTGAGTTTCCCATCTTGCAGATCCTTTTTATATATAGGATTCACATGTGAAAACTCTGTGTATGAGTGAGTTAATTCTGGCTGTTGTGTAAAACACACACTAAAATGTCAGTGTCTTCACATGATAAAAACTTATTTTCTCACTTCCATTATTTAGTCTAAGGCAAGAGATCCTGGTCGATAGATGACTTCCACATGGTGATGGGGACATGGGCTCCTTCTATATTTAGGCTTCGTCCTCCCTAGCTCCTCTATATTAGTCCACAGATGAGCAAAAATAAGGGAAGGCAGGCCTGCTTCTTTAGTTGTCTGGGACTAGAAGTTAAATAACTTGCTCAAAGCTCTGTAGAGTCCCACAGCTGAACATGTCCAGTTGCATGTTCCACAGGTACCTCAAAGGACATTTTCATCTCCATCCACCTCCAACCCACTTCTCTCACTCCACGTAGGCAGTCCCGGGTGGTTGGCTTTTGTCAGCCCCGGTCTCCAAGCCCTCGGGTCATCTGGGGCTGGCTGTCTCCTCACTTCCCAGAGCTCCTTAGCCTCCAAGCGTGATATTCTACTGCATTGTTCATCTCATCCATCGCCCGTACCTGTAAACCTGGCTGTACTTCCCGCCTCCATGGAGATCACAATTGCATTATGAGTGTCTTGAGGCCAACACAGCATGCATCCATGGTGCTGAGCGTGGGCACTGATACTTGAATACTGAACAATGCAGAAAGCATCAATCTGCTGCTGTGACCCAGAATGATGATCCAACATATATCCCTTTCTCTCTCCTTGAGAGGCCATGCGGCAACGTGCTCAAGGAGTCTGGGATTCTGAGTTCACCCCCTGCCTCTACCACCTAGTGACTGAGTGATCCTGGGCATGTCAATTAGCGTACCTAAGCCAAAGCCTGCTCATCTGTAAAGTGGGGATAAGAGATTCCTACCTCATAGGGCTGATAAGAAGAGTCAGGGAGACAATGACAGAAAGCATTGCCGTGGTGTCTGGTACACTTTCAAAAAACACAGTGACTGGCAGGCATTTGCTCCACATGGTCCCAGCTGTGTTCCATTTGCCCCCACCAGACCCAGTCTCCACCCTCTACACCTGCTTTCTGGCTTGAGAGAATGGAGTCTATAGACAACAGCAAGGGCTCCCTCGCCCTCTAGCTTCTGGTTGGGTTTAGCCAATACAAGGCCCCAAAGGGCTTGTGGAGGGTGCAAGGAAAAGCAGGTTGGAATATTTAACCCTCCACTTCCCCATACCTGGCTCGCCATGCACTGGCTGTACCCTGTATTGAAGGCAGCCCTCTCTGTACAGCCATATCCTGCCTTCTATAACAGCTGCTCCTTCTATTCTACCTCCATGGATTCCAGTTCCTAGGTGCCGCCCCTTGCTTTTTCAGGGTCCTCAAACCTGTCCATGCCTTTGAAAATAGTCCCTTTATTAATCTCACTTCCCATTACTCAGTTTGGTTGCGCTGTCTGTTTCCTTCAGGGCCCTGACCAATTCAGCATTGTTAATTACTTCTTTATAGCATTTTATATTTTTCAAACATTTTTCCCCACTCACAATCACAGTAAGTTTTCTCCGAGTTTCTTCAAACCCCCACCTGATAATAGAACGATCAAAAACCCAGAGAGGTCGAGAACCTTTCCCAAGGTCATGCAGCTCAGGAGCAGGGAGCCCAGTGGGCAGATGCAAAATCCATTACCACTTCCTCCGCTCCATTTTCTCCGGGCTGAGAAGCTCCGTGGGGTAACGGGCTCGTTTCCCCCTGGGTCAAGAGAGGAAACCTTCTGACACAGATGATCAGAGGAGCTGGGTTGTGGAAGAGACTTCAGGCGAGAGCCAAAACACAGCAAAGGATTCAGAGCTAGAGATGGAGTTTTTAATAATAAATAAACGCCAAAATTGGGCCTACACATGGAAGGCTTGGGGAGCCTGCAGCCAGCATGGGGTGCTCAGGAAGCCGCCCACCCTCAGCCTACGGATTATCTGGTCATTGTCCAAATGGTCGGTGGGACAGAGTCTTGAGGGATGATCTTCAAACCCCAAAGGGGAGGGGAAGAGAATATTTTGGGATGATCCCTTTTTCATACAAATAAAGAGGCTCTTAGAAGTTGTATCAAGTGTCTGAATTTCCTGACTGTATATTAATCCGCTTTCATGTGAATTATGCAATATTGTCATGAAACAAAGGAGCAGCTGGATGTTGGATGGGCAGCCCTCGAATCAAAGAGGACCCATGCTGCGCTGTAGCCTCTGCAAAGAAGCTCAAGGAGGCTGGGCTGCCCCGTGGCGCCCTGTCTTCCTCCCACCCATGGGGCAAACATGTGCCCAGAGGGAGCCAGGGAGCTCCAGGGCCAGTGGTGAAGACGGGGTGAGCTAGAGAGTAAGTTAGATGCCTCATCAGAAGGGGCCGCTCCAGAATTCAGGTCAATGGTTGCTAGGTTGACATTGTAGCCGTAGTGAAACAAGACCTTCTGAGTTTTCAAGACAAGCCAGGAGCCCAGGGTTCTTTTTGTTTTGGTTTGGTTTTTGAGAGGGAGTCTCGCTCAGCCACCCAGGCTGAAGTGCAGTGGCATGATCTTGGCTCACTGCAACCACCGTCTCCCATGTTCAAGCAATTCTCCCATCTCAGCCTCCCGAGTAGCTGGGATTACAGGCACCCACCATCATGCTTGGCTAATTTTTGTATTTTAGTAGAGACGGGGTTTCGCCATGTTGGCCAGGCTGGTCTTGAACTCCTGACCTCAGGTGATCCGCCCGCCTCAGCCTCCCAAAGTGTTAGCATTACAGGTGTGAGCCACCGTGCCCAGCCGGGAGCCCAGGTTTTTATGAGAAGTCTTCCAATCTTTATATGTTGGTGACAAATTTTGGTTTCTAGGAGATATTATGCAAACCAGCAAAAGCTGCTGCGGGTTGCCCATGTGTGACCTCTGCTGATTCGCTGTGTCAGAGGGGTTCTACTTTGAGGCTTGGGAAAGTAGCAGCATTTTTGACTTGGCCTGAAATTAGACTACAACCTTCACCTCTGTCTTTCTCTCTTTCTTTTCACCCTTATCAGATGCCTCTCCCCACTGCACTCAGTTTCTGAGTGTAATAAAACCAGCACCGGGCTAGAGCTGTGTATTTGGAGATGGGGCCTCTGAAGAAGTGGTTAAGGTTAAATGAGGTCTTAAGGGCGGGCCCTGATCTTATAGGATTAGCATCCTTAGAAGAAGAGACACCAGAGAGAGAGCCCTCTCTTTCTGTCTCTCTCTCTCTTCTCAAGCACAAGCTGAGGAAAGGCCATGTGGAGACACAGCGAGAAGGTGGCCACCTACAAGCCGTGAAGAGATTCCTCCCCAGAAACTGCCATGCTGGACTCTGATCTAGAACTTCCAGCCTCCAGAACCAGGAACAAATACGTTTTTGTTGTTTACGCCCACACACCTCTGGTATTTAAGGATGGCAGCTCGAGCTGACTAAGACAGGGTCCAAGCACTTGGTTTGG
Source organism: Homo sapiens (assembly GCF_000001405.40). Taxonomy (NCBI): domain Eukaryota; kingdom Metazoa; phylum Chordata; class Mammalia; order Primates; family Hominidae; genus Homo; species Homo sapiens. Next base: position 55,106,824 of record NC_000016.10, read on the forward strand.
GTTGCTCATGTCCCAGGGACTCACATTTCCAATCTGCCTTCTGGGGGTCATAGCCACCTCTCAGGGCTTGCTGATGGGATCGGTGGTTGTGAATGTTCCTTGTCAGTATGGAGAGCCATGATCACGTAAAAGAAGCCGGCAACTCGTAAGGACCTCAGCTATCTGATAGCATGCAGCAGGTACGACGATCCATCTATGTACTCAGGTGTGCAAACGGGGTAATCTTGTTCTTCCAAAACTATATGAAGTTTCCATCCTTTTCAGTGGCAGAAATTATCCTCAGGGTATTTGGATTTTGCCCCCATCTCACTCAAGTTTCAGCCAGGGGGACAGGAGCTGCTGTGGGTATTTCCAGTAAACATGATTTTAACTCAGGAAATGGGAAAATGTGCAATTCTTAAAAGCCAGTGGGTAGCGGTAGCGATGGAAGCCAAGGTTGGGAAGGTTACTAATGACTTTTAAGAAATCTGGAAATTCAGGAATTGTGAGGAAGCCTCTGCCCATGACCTCAGCTGCCTGTGCCCCAGTGCCTGGGCTTCTTGAGGAGGAATTTGAGTATCATGGAAAGCCAGCCTGCTGGTGTTCACGACTGTGTAATTCCTCCTTCCCCTCCCCTCTCTCCTCAGCGGATCGTAATGTCTCTCGAGGTCTTTCTTTATACCTGAGTCCTGAAGCTGTAAAATGTGTTCTCCTGCAGCGGCTGCAGAGATAAAGTGCCAGGCCCTGAGATGTGGTTCAGGCTCCAGGTCCAGCCAGATTGCCTGTACCCAAACCAGAACTCTTTTTTGGTCCAGTCTGGGCTTGGACAAAGCCAGCAGGCAGTCTCTGGAGGCTGATCGTCTCCTGAGCTGAGGATCCCTCTTGCTTTGGAATTTGCAGCCAGATAATCTCTCCTATTTTGCTTTTCAGGTTTCAGCCCTGGGCTCCCCAGCTACCTACTACTCGAGGTCTCTCATAGGGTCTTTGCAGAGCCTCCAGGGGGAGGGGTCTTCTGCCCCTGCTCTTTACTTGTATGGGTTATTTTCCTACACAAGCCTTTTCCCCATGTCCCTCCCTTGACACAATTGCAGCTAAACCAAGTGGCTAACTAAAGTGATGCAATCCTTTCTCCCTCCTTTCTTTTCTTTTCTTTATTTTTTTCTATCTAGGAGGCAATATTCATAGTAGAAGCCACGGAGAGCTGTGGGATTGGCCAGACCTGGATTGGAATCCTGGCTCTAACTTTGGAGCTGTGTACTTTGGACTTCACTAATCCAAGCTTCAGTTTCTTCACCTATACTCTGGGTGAAGAGTCATAGGTGAAGCCTGAGCCACAAGATCGGAGGGAGAAGAGCTCATGGATGAAATGCCATCACTTGCGCTGGTCTCTTCCTGGGGTTGGGTCCCCTAGGCCAGGTTCAGGACCCTGGAAAATGTGGCAAATGCAAAGACAACTCTGACAGCAGACCCTAACCTCTTTGGCACCAGGAATGGGTTTCATGGAAGACAGTTTTTCCATGGGCCAGGATGGAGGGAAATGGCTTTGGGATAAATTAAGTGCATTGCATTTATTGTGCACTTTATTTCTGTTACTGTTACATTGTAACATATAATGAAATAATTATACAACTCACCATAACGTAGAACCAGTGGAAGCCCTGAGCTTGTTTTCCTGCAACTAGACGGTCCCATCTGGGGGTGATGGGAGACAGTGACATTCAGCATTAGATTCTTACAGGGAGCATGAGACCTAGGTCCCTCGCATGCGCAGTTCACAATAGGGCTCATGCTCCTGTAAGACTCTAATGCTGCCCTGATCTGAAAGGAGGCAGAGCTCAGGAGTTAATGAGAGCAATGGGGAGTGGCTGAAAGTACAGATGAAGTTTCCCTCGCTCATCTGCGCTCACCTCCTGCTGTTTCTGTTCCTAACAAGCCAGGGACCGGTACTAGTCCATGGCCAGGGGGTTCGGGACCCCTAGTTTGGGGAACATCTTTGAGCTCCCTCCCTCTTGGCTTGAGTGATGTAGAGAAGCCCATAGGCTGGGATTTAGACAACATGCTTGCCAGGAGCATTGCAATTGCTTTATGTGGGCCTTCAATGCGCTTGCAGAGTAAGCTCCACAAATCCTGCAGCCAGGCAGTGAACCCAGGCTCTAGGAGTAAGATGCAAGAGCTGACTTCTCTGGCTCTGAGCTTAAGCTTGTTATTATTGTCTGCTCAGACTGGCATCTGCACGATAACCCAAGAGCTAGAATACTCAGGCCAGGGGGAGAGGGGAAAATCCCCAACATGTGTCTGTTGTCAGATGATGACTAAGCTGCCCTCATCGCCAACAGGCCTTGTCACAGTGGAATGATGTTTGTCAGACATGGATGGTAACCCTAAGGTTATCACAGAGGGCCAGGGGATAGATGAACGGTGTTTGCACTAACACCTTTGATCACTTCATTAGCCGCTTGGGTTAGTTGCAATTGTGACAAGAGAAGGGCATGGAGAAAAGGCTTGTGTAGAGGCATGGACATCTGCAGAGGTAAGTCTCAGAGATAGACCTTTCCAGCTCCAGCCAAGGCAAGAGGCCAGTCTTGAGCAGACCAAAGCTCTGCCACAATTATTTTCCACAGAGGCTGATGGATTGAGACATATAATTAATATATGTCTATATATTTATATATAAAAACCCTTACAAATCACATCCCTCGAGCCAGGATCTTTAAATAATGGAAGACAGTAGATTACTGCTTTATTAGTCCCTTCCAAAAGCTTATAAAAATTATCTTTTGCCGCTGGGAAGACATTTTATCAGAATTTATGGCAACTCAGAGAGTCTTGAGATATCAGATTCAGAAACTAAAGGTGCTTTCTGTGGCTGTTTCTGCAGCAGACAGGCCCTGCTCTCCCCTCTCCTTGTAAATTAAAATCTTGAACATTATCTGCTTTATGAAATAAGACACTTGGCTCTCCTATCTCTAGCCTGCTTTTTAATTAATATAGACTTGAGTAGGCAAAAGCCATAAACGTGAGTGAGTGGCTGTGGCGTGTGTGAGAATGGGATGGCAGAGGGAGACACATGGAATGTGGAAAAAGAGAAAACCCAAAACATATGTCTCTAGGGGCAAGTCTCTGACTTGGGGGGTAAACATTTCACTAATGGCTTGGAGAGATTTGCTGCCTTTGCATGTTTTCTGGCCAAGGCTGGAAGCCTCCATTATTTATTAGCCAGCGTTCTCCAGGGTCTGATATCTCCCTTACGGAGGGTTGCTGAGCTGGGTATTGCCAGGTATCTATCCCCTGTTAGGGGAACTCAGGATCTGCCCTCCAAGAGTTTATATCCGGAGCAGCATCCCTCAGGTGTATTCCTGACCCCGTGCTGAGCCACAGACCTTTGTAACTGGCCCAACTGGCCCACCACAAGATAAAGTACAGAAACTGCGAGTAACTCTTAGCAATAACCCATAGCGATTCGGTATTGCCATGGTATCCGAGGGTCTGAGCAATGGTCTCCTCTCACTGAACAGGATTCAGACAAGCTTGGATGTTCTTCATTTCATTTTCCTACCAATGCTTTTTAAAAATTCCATTTGGCAAAGTTCATGAAAAATGATTTCATTTCATAGTCTCTGGATTATTTTCCAGATTATTACTTCAGATTTTATTATTTTTTAGAATATTTTCCAAATTACTTTATATGCACTAGGCTATTTTCTAGAGTATTTCAGCTCAACCTAACCTGATTAATACAATTTCACAGCTTCCAAAACACTTTTTAAAATCATTAATCCTGCTGGGCGCAGTGGCTCATGCCTGTAATCCCAGCACTGTGGGAGGCTGAAGAGGGTGGATTGTTTGAGTCCAGGAGTTCAAGACTAGCCTGGACTACGTGGCAAAACCCCCATCTCTACAAAAAAAATAAAAAAATTATCCAGGCATGGTGGTGCATGCCTTAGTCCCAGCTACTTGAGAGGCTGAGGCAGGAGGATCATGAGCCTGGGAGGTCAAGGCTGCAGTGAGCTGTGATTACACCACTGCACTCCAGCCTGGGCAACAGAGCAAGACCCTGTCTCAAAAACAAAAATAAAAAAAAAATAAAACCATTAATCTGATCTTCACAAGAGCCCCAGGAGGGAGGTCCTACAAAGACTAGTGTTCCCAATGGATATGTAAGAAAACTGAGATTCACAGAAGACAAATGATTTGCTCAGAATCACTCAGCTTATTATTGTCTGTGTTTTTCACAGGGGCTGTCCTAACAGGCAATACCTCCTAGTGGTTTTGCTTTGCATTTCCCTGATGACTAGTGATGTTGTGGGCATCTTTTAATAAACCTCTTGGCAGTTTTTATGTCTTCTTTGGAGAAATGTCTATTTAGGTCCTTTGCCCAGTTTTTAATGGGGTTATACCTTTTCTTGCTATTGAGTAGCAGGCATTCCTTATGAGTTTTGGATAATAACCCCTTATCAGATCTAGGGTTTGCAAATATTTTTTTCCCAACACACAGGCTGCTTTTTCATTTTGTTGCTTATTTCCCTTGCTGTGTTGAAGCTTTGCGGTTTGATGTAGTCCCATTTCTTTATATCTGCTTTTGTAGCCTGAGCTTTCGGTGTGATGTCCAAGAAATTATTGCCAAGGCCAATATCAAGAAGGTTTCCCCTAGGTTTTCTTCCAGGAGTCTTATGATTTTGGGATCTTGTGTTTAGGACAAGCAGTAACCAGTGTCAGCAAGGGTGTACAGAAAAGGGTACTCTTGTACACTACTGGTGGGGATGCAGATAAGTACAGCCATTATGGGAAACAGTATGGAAGTTTCTAAAGCAATTAAAAACAGAGCTACTGTAAAATCCAGCAATCCCTCTTTTGTGTATATATCCAAAGGAAATGAAATCACCACTTCGTAAAGATATCTGTACTCCCGTGTTCATTGCAGGATTGTTCACAATAGCCAAGACAGGGGAAATTACCTAGGTGTCTGTCGATGGGTGAATGGATACAGAAACTGTGGTATATACATTATTATATATGTGTGAGATATATATATATAAAAATTCCGCCTTTAAAAGAGAGGACATCCTGGCCGGGTGCCGTGACTCACGCCTGTAATCCCAGCACTTTGGGAGGCCGTGGGGGGGATCACCTGAGGTCAGGAATTTGAGACCAGCCTGACTAACATGGCAAAACCCCGTCTCTACTAAAAATACAAAAATTAGCTGGACGTGGTGGCGCACGCCTGTAGTCCCACCTACTCAGGAGGCTGAGGCAGAAGAATCGCTTGAATCTGGGAGGAGGAGGTTGCAGTGAGCTGAGATCGCACCACTGCACTCCAGCCTGGGCGACAGAGTGACTCTGTCTCAAAAAAAAAAAGAAGAAGAAGAAGAGTTCCTGACTTTTGCCACAACACGAACAAACCTGGAGGACATTACGTTAAGTGAAATAAGCCAGATACCGAAAGACATATACTGCCATCTCACTTATATGTGGAATCTAAGAGAAAATTTAAATATATGAGACAGAGACTAAAACAGTGGTTACTAGGGGAAGAGTGGGGAGAGGAAGTAGAAGATGTAGGTAAAAGGATATAAAGTAGCAGACACTTGGGATGAGGAAGTCTAGAGATCTAATGTAGGAGATGAGTAGTATAATTAATAGTGTATTATATTCAAGATTTTTGCTAAATAAGTAGATGGTAGCTGCGCTGGCCACAAAAAATGTGGGTAGCTATGTTAGGAGATGGACAAGTTAATTTGCTTCACTATAGTTATCATTTTCTATCTATAGGTATCTTACAACATCATGTTGCACACCTTATGTGCGTAATACAATTCATTTTTAAAAAAATATATTAACAAGGAATGGACCTGGGTAAAGAGCATGTGCTTTGCATCATTCTTGCAACTTTTCTGTAAGTATAAAATTGGTTTCAAATAAAAAGTAAAAAAAAAATTTAATCACTCAGGTTATAAACGGCAGATGTGGGATTCAAACCTAGGCCTCCCAGCTCAGATTCAACACTAATTCCTAGCTAAGGCACATTGATATGTGAAGAGGCAGTCGTTGGATCTTCTTTCCTAGGGATTTTTCTGGTTTTTGTTTGTTTGTTTGTTTGTTTGTTTGTTTTTTTCCATGGAGGAGGTGAGGGTAGGGATTTTTTACTTTTTAGTGGAGACAGGGTCTCACTATGTTGCCCAGCCTGGTCTCGAACTCCTGGCCTCAAGGAATCCTTCCACTTTGGCATCCGAAAGTGTTAAGATTACAGGCATGAACCACCGTGCCCAGCTGGGTATTTGTTTTAAAGGGGGTAGCTGCAGATAAAAAACCTATGTACGAGGGTAAAATTAACCCTGTGCTTACCAACAAGACAAAAATCTTAAAGTAAGAATTTCTGGCAGGGCTATAGGAAGTGATTTGGAGGTAACTCTGTGAGTGTGAATAAGATGGAGATGCTGCTGCCTGCTGTGCCACACCAGGAAGGTAGGCCCTATGACACCCATTTGCTGAGCAACTCCTGCCCAGGCCCCTGGGGAAGGGTCTCAGGAATGGCTTCTGCTGAGCTGGCTGAGGCCAGGCAGCTGCCCTGTCAGACAAGCCGCATGCAGGATTACAGGCAAACTCCATCTGACCTTGGCCAGGGCTGCCTGGTGTCTGGTCCCACCTCTTTCCCCAGAAAGGGTGTCGGGCAGCCTTCCAGGATGAATCTTTACTTCTTTTAATAGAGAAATAGGAAATGAGCCTGAAGAGAAAGTGAGGAATTATTGCTGCATTTAATGGCTCTAAAAATATCTCACTGGGGTTGGCTGTGAGTTCACTCCTGGGTGCTGATCCAGTGTTCCAGGGAGAAATGGCCAGACCTCAGGTGGAACACAGAAAACCAAAATGACAAAGCAAGCTGAGAAGTCTGAGAAGGGATGGCTCATGCCAGGCCATCGCAGTGAGGGCCAAGGCCGAGATCCCCTGGCTGGGCTCAGCCCTGGGCACTGCAAGGCTCTCAGGACTGGATGGGTGTGTAACCCGCTCTGGGAAGGGTCTGACGTGAGTCCCAGTTCTGTCTCTCCCCGAATTCACAACAAAGTCCTGGCCACATTCATTTCCATCTTCTCTCTAAGCCTCGGCACCCCCATCTCTGAGAAAAAAGGAGTTTTATCCTTTCTAAGCTCCCTTCTGTAGGAGACACCATTGGTTGTCTTCCCAGATCTCATTGCCCTTCTTTTCCTCCCTACAGTTCACGTCTTGTTCAGAAATCCACCCATCTCATTGCCGGCTCCAGAAGTGGACTCGTGCTTATCCGAGCTGATCAGCATGTGGCAATCTGTGGGATTCGTGTCACTCTAGAGGTGGACATATGTCCTAACTTGGTCCACCGAGGTCAAGGAACACCTTGTACTAAGAGGAAAATATCTACTCTGTATCCTGGAAAACCTGGGCAAGGAAATGAGGAACTTCAACCAATGCTACTGTCATTCTGAGAAGCCAAGGGGATGCAGCCTCAGTGTGGTGGCCATGAGAACGGGCCTCATAGATCTCCAACTAAAGTCAGCTTAATGACCGAGAGCCCTGGCTGCTCTGAAATCCTTTGCCACATTTGTTCCAAAGTCGTGCTTCCCACTGGCTGCTCCTGGCCAACGTGTGGCAGCAATACCCCATCAGTCCCATTCCACTGAGGACTGTATGATGGCCTTGTCCAACCCACCAGGCTGTGCAGCCATCTAGGACACTTCCACCCAACTCTCCTTTCTCCCCCACCCCTCCCCTGGTTCCCTTGGCATTCACTTTTTGGAGGCTATCTATCTCCAGTGGTGCCAGGAGTGGTCTGAGAACAGAAGTGGAAAGATGAGGATTTGAGACTGGTTCACCCAGCTGGTGGCAGAAAAGGATGCCATCTGGGTTGGTGGGTGGGACATGGATAGCCCCTGACACAAAGCAGTGTCTCGATTGCTGAAGAATTCACCAGGGACGACCTGGGGAAACATCCTGGTGGAGGGAAATGGTGTGCCACGTTGAGTGGTTCAGGCATTTGAGAAACATGGGGCAAACAGTGCCTATGAGGACGTGGAGTTCGCTGGTTAGTGCTAAGTAGTTTCACCCCTGCAGCCTTGCAGATGGAGAATAAGAGGGCGATTCACAGGCAGTTAATGGAGGTGGGGTAAGAACCCAAGTGCTTTGGTGGTAGATCACAAGGAGACCCTTGTCACCTACCCAGAAAGGGCAGACAGCTGAGTGAAAGGTGGAGGACTCTGTGGTTAGAACTGTACAACCGCAGACATGTTGGTTCTGTTACGTAAGGTGGTTCTATTATGCAAAGGCCAAGGAAGCCCTGGTGGGAAAACCTAGGTCCTGAAATACGGAATGAGGACATCTGAATAGATGCCTCTGAGAACGTGGATTCTGCAACCCCCATGGGCTCTGGGGGGCTTGCAGGAATGGCTGTCCTTCCCTAATAAGAGCTGGCATGCTACAGCTTCTCCCCAACACTGGAACAAGGGCTTCCCTGGGGAGCTGCCCCCACCTCCTCACCCCAGCTGCCAGGCCAATAACTGGAGGCAAACCCCAGCATCACCACTAAGCCTGGAATGGAAGGGAAGGGAAGGGACTGGGCACCTAAAGGGATACAAAAATTAGCTGTGTGTCATGGCACAGGCCGCAGCCTGGCGGTGCTCCCGAGACTGGCTTTAAGGGTTCCTGTTCAAGGGGGCTGGAGTATGAAACTACATCAACAAGAATTCATTGAATTGAGGGCACTTTCTTGGGGCACAGGAATGTAACACCCTGGCAAGGACCCCAGAGGATAGGGCAAATGCTACTGGGGTGGTTGTTAGAAGCCTAAGGAAAGGCAAGTCTGATGCTCGGCAATGTGGTAATGCCCCAGTTGCCCTGGCAGATGAGAAAGGGAAGTGGGGAGGCAGAGGGAAGTGGACTTGCTGAAGTGGATATGTTATGGCAGGTCTGAAGACCCACCAGGGGATTTAGCTCCACCACAGGGCTCAGCAGGTACACCCTCCACCAAGGCCATGAGGAAGGCACCGATGCAAGGACCAGCAGCCTCCCTAAGCTCAGCAGAGGCTCTCCCCTGCAGACCTCTAACCATGAGACAGGGACTGAACAAGATTGCAGCTGCTGTGCCCGGAAATCCATGGCCACCTTTGCACTCAGGCCACTCTTCCCATCAGTGAATGAGTGTGGCAGGGATACTGAGGCAGGCTGGTTCCAGAGAGACCCAGGGTGCATCGAACGGCAGTGACTTTGGCTAGAGGACTATCTAATAGCCTTGCTGAGCCTTCTGTTGAACTGCACTGCAGTCCAGGCTGTCCTTATCCAACCTCCCTTCCCTCTCTCCCTCCCTGAATGTTGGACTTGCATTGCACTCTTCTCTAGCTCTCTCCCATCTCCTCTCCAAGATGGTTTTCTAAAAACTTCCCTGTGCATTTGCTTCTCAGACCAACACAGTGAGAAGGAAGCAGGCCAAGGAAGGCCCAAAAGACAGAGAGAGAATCGGGTGCTTGAAAATATCACTGCACTGTTGAATCAACTGGCCCCACAGCCCCTCCTACGAAATCCCCACAGTGGTGGCATGAGAAGCTCGTAAGAACCAGGAAGAGTTAGTTCTGTCCATGGAAGCGAAATCAGCCTGTTACAGTTGATACAGTATCCCACTGCAATCTTTCACGAGACTTTGAGGCTCATACTGTATATTATCATGGTTCAGCTCCAGTCTTTTCACTCCCACTTTATGGCGATTCTCCCTGCAATACAAGGCTCTAGAAAGTGATTTTTCCAAGGGACGGGCCTTTCTTCAGCAAAAACACACAACTCTATAAACAAAAAGCCACTCATGGGTAAAACCAGTGAGTCACCGAGGGCTACTAAGACTTGGTATTTATAAACGAAAATCAGCACGCTAGGAGAGTTTCCTGAAGGCCCGATTCAGCATCTGGCTAAGAAGTCAGAATGCCATGCAACCCCTGGCAACATCACAAAGTGCTGCCACATGTTCCCACAGGCAGAGACGTCAGAGGCGAGATGTTCAGGCAGGATCCTTTCAGACCAGGGCACCATTGGGGCTGCCTTGGGCTGGTCTTGGTTTTTGGTTGCTGCTATTCTTACATTTTAATTATGAATCGCTGTTGGTTTGGTTCCCTCTTCATCAGCTCAGCTTGTGGTGGGTTGTTGGTTAACCCCACAACATGTAGAGATACATATTTGCACCAACAGAGTGTGGGGCCTATCATTTTCCAATAACTACTAGACTCTGAAACATGTAGGTGTTGCAGTCTGGTTGTGAATCATCTGTGCCCTTATTTCTATAGCAGAGGTGTACATGAAGATTCCCTAAGCGCTTCTGCGAGGCTTTTCAATGTGATCCCTTCCTTCTGGCTGGGGGATAGGGTGAGATGGATGGTCTGATGACTTTGGTTTGACCCACGTGGGCTGTGGATGTAATGGTTGGAAATCAGTGCTCTCTAGAAGATCCAGGGCTAGGACTGAGGTCCTGGAGTGTTGAGGAGGGAAGGCTGGAAGAAACAGAGCTCTCAACCCTCCACTCCCACTTCCATCAGAGAATCCTCATGGTAGGTTGCTGTCTGTGACCTAATCTTGTGAGGCTGAGTGGGACAGCGTGTAATCAGGGCTGGCATTTGGCGGCAAGCCACAAATGTATCATCACTGATGTCTGCTGGGAAGGTAACCTGATTCTGTATCATTACTGTGACACCCCAAGGTTAGGCATCCTGGTAGCAAGCAACAGAAATCAAGCTGGGTTGACCCAAGCAAAAAAATCAGTTTGTTAAAGGGATACTGAGTAGTTTACAGAACAGACAGGAGGGTGGACAGTTTGTCTTGGAATTAGGATGAGAACCAAGGTGGCTTAGAACACCAGGCAGAGAACTCTACTCCAGGTATCAGTACTACGATGAGGATGATGATGATGATGATGGGCAGTGTTTGTTGAGGTGTCCTAAATACTTGATGTGCCTTTACTATTTAAGCCTCCAACAATCCTATGAGGTAGGGATCATTATCATTCCCACTTTGCAGATGAGTAAACTGAGGTACAGGTAAGTTAAATAACTTGCCCAAGGCCATGCCACTGATAGATGGTGGAGCCTACCTTGGACGGGCTGTGTCTTTCCACTGAAGGTCATTGCTCTCTCTCAAGCAGCTCCTCTCTCTCTCAACTCTCTCCTTCAAGGTTCTAGTTACAGAAGGAGCAGGACTGAAAAGAATTAAAAAAAAAAAAAAAAGGGTTCTAGTAACCACGCCCACCACCTCCTCCTGAGGCCGGAGTCATAGCAGCCTCTCTTCCCAGTCCCAGGTCCTTTACTATCACCTGCGATTTCCCTACACCCCAGCCACACCTGTGTGTTCCTTTATTACAACCTCCTCAAATGATCTTCATTTGAGAGTGCCATCTGTTACTGTCGTGCTGGTGTATTTCATAGAATCCTTAAGATCATTGATTAGATACCACTCCATTATTCGATGTACCATTGAGAGGGAGAATAAATGTGGTCACTTAATGTCAGACCACTGATTGTAAGACCAACATCAGAGTGTGAAAATGTGTGCCTTACAATTGGAAAGAAATTATTGTTTCTATTTCATAGATGAGGGGATGGCTACACAAAGAAGTTGAGTAACTCCTTTGAGGCTACCCAGCCAGCAGATGGCCAAGCCAAGATTTGAACCAGACAGCTTTGTTCTGGATTCTGCATCCTAACTGTACCAATGCTGCTCTGGCTGTGTGGAGCCGGACTCTAGAAAAATCCTACATGGGGAGAATTTGCGGTGGAACTAAGGCAAGCAGAGAGGAGAGGCCTGGCTGGGACAACCAGCCACTGATGGTCTGAAGGGAAGTATGTCCTAGGGGTGTTGCAGCCCAGGGTGGGGTGAGGAGAGCAGAAGGGCCGACTCCTCCTGGAGGAGAAGTCAAATACTGCCCTGGGCAGAAGGGAGGCCTGAGATGATGTCCCAGCCTCCCCAGAGAGGCCCTGGTCCCCTCCACCCCCTGCCTTCTGAGTTCATCTTGTCATCCATCGACAAATATAGACCAGGAGAAACCTAAATAAATGAGTGGCTGCTCGAAGCCGCAGGACAGCTAACCATAATGGGGGTTTTTGGTTTTCTGCTTGAGACACAAACAGCACATTCCTCAGCCGAAATAGCCGGGTGGAGAAACAGGGCATTATTGGATGGGAACACCCGGCCAGGATGAACCAAACAAGACAGAAATAGGCCCATGCCACCACATGAAGGGAGCGCGTCGGTGCTTGGCTGGCTGTGCTTGGCCTGGCCCTGCCCTGCTGGGGTAGCTGCTGACACCTGGGGAGGCTCCGGCTTTGCCCCAGGAGGAAGGCAGCTGTGTGTTTGCCTGAACCCTCAACCTTGGGCAGCTGGGGCAGCAGCCCCTTTCTTAGACAAGGGTTCTTGGGACTTGAGATGGGAAATGAATCCTGGTAGCTCTGCACACACACACACAAATGCACACACAAAAACGCACACACACTCAGACTCACCAACACACACATTGTGTACATTGTGTACCTGCAGAGCCAGAAATATGTACGTAAGCTCATGTATCAGTGTATACTGCTTCAGACACATGTACCCACATGAGAACACAGAGGCACACACTGGCCACATTGCTCATGCACGCAGATGCACCCCGCGCTCACACCCCCACACACATGTGACAGTGCACATATGCAGAGATCCACAGGACTGTGTGTTCTTACCCTTAGAGATGTACACACATGCAAGCACAGATACATGCAAGCCCTAGCATGTATTCATAAGCAGTCATATGCACACACACTCATATGTACAAGTCACTACACATGCAAATATCCACACATGTAAGTGCATGCACATCAGCACATGGGCCCAGGCACATTGTTCCTGGCCCCCTGGGCCTCCCTCACCCTGGGCATGTTCACCCCAGAGGTTGGTGTTCTCTCATCTGAACCAGCATCTGAGGACAGGTTTAAGGGGGCTCTGGGACAGGAGGGTCAAGGAGAAGCTGCCAAGAGAGCCCAGGATCTATCCCACCATCTGCTTCTAGCCAGTCTCTCTTCCCCTCATTTCTCCTGAGTGGTCCCCAGGCAGTTGTAAATAGTAGACCAATTCCAAGGCCTCCCTGTAGACTGGGCCTGGGCATAGCCACAGCTTGATGGTACTACTATCACTGTGAATCTCTGAGCTCTGTGGAGCCAGGGATCCCGGTAGTGACGATCATCCCCTTACTCCCAAAGACCTCTATAGTAACTGGTGCTCAGTACATGAATAAATGAAATAGAGGAGCAGTGATTGGCATCCCTACTTAACAGCTAAAAAGACTGAGGTCCAGAGAGGCTGAGCAGGACTTCACCAAAGTCCTCTGTCTGCCTCCTACCCCACCCCAGTGCTGCCCCCATCTGTGGAAGCCCTGGTGTCCCCTTCTGATGCCAAGGCCAGGACAGTAAAACCTGGACAAGGAAAAGACATAGTAATGTGTCCTGGGAGCCTCTGGGCTATCCACCTGGTGTCTGCCTGGCCCTTGACCCATCTGTCCTACCCTGCCCCAGGGCCAGGAGGCAGCTTGAGGCTCCAGGAAAAAAGCCCAGTTCACCATCGCGTCCATCCCCTGAAGCACTGGCTGCCAGGTCTTTTCCTAGCCTCAGATCAGCTCCCCATCTCTGCTACCCCTGTGACTTCCCCAGACCTAGGGATGGACCATGGTTTTCTGGTCCTGAGATCAAGCTGGAGTGAAGAAGGAATAGATGAAGACAGCAGGGGTCAGTGTTTGTTCAGTGGAGGCCACACAGGAGCAGGCATGAGAGGACCAAACGTCTTCCAGGCAGGGCACCCAGCAGATACTCAGACACATGGTGTCAGACCCACAAACCGAACCCCTGGCCTCAGCTCAGAGCAGGCAAGGGCAGAAGCTGGGTCTTCCCAGGAACCCACACTGGTGTATTGGGAAAGACCTCTAGTCTGCTCCAGTTTGGGGATTTTCCAGCTTTTGTTTTGCAGCCACAGAATCTTTTCTTCAGATGATTTTTTTTAAGTATTAAATTAGGGTATAATTTGCATTCAGCAAAATTCACCCTTACAGCATACAATTCTGCTGCTTTAACAAAAACATACAGTTGTGTAACTACTACCACAATCAAGATATAGAAGAGTTCTATCGTCCCCCTAAAATCCCCAAGTCCCTTGTGGTCAGCCCCTTCCCCCACCCCTGGCAACCATGGATCTGTTTTCTGTCCCTGGAGTGTTGCCTTTTTCAGAATGTTCTGTAAATGGAATCACACATAATGCGGCCATTTCATTTAACACAATGCCCTGGAGACCCATTCGGTTGCTCTGTGTGTCGGTAGCTCATTGCCCTTGGTTGCTGCATGGAATTCATTGTATGGATAAACCACAGTTTGTTTAGCCATTCCCCACAGGAGGGATATTGAGTTTATTTCTACTTTTCGGCTATTACGAAGATTCTATGAACATTTGAGTACAGGCTTTTGTATAAACACACACAACATATATATTATATCTTTTTGGAAAATACAAGTGCATTCTGGGTCATGTTATAAGTATATGTTCAACTTTCTAAGAAACCACCAAATTGTTTTCCGAAGTGATTGCACCATGTTGCATTCCCATCAGCAATGAATGAGAGTTCTGGCTGTTCTATATCTTCACCGGCAATTGATACTGTTACCTTTTCCCACTATTCTAATAGGTGTGTATCAAGGGACAATTTACTAGAAACGCAAATCTACAGAACAGGTATGTTAAGCTACCCTGGGTAGAGCCAGGAGCCAGAGTAGGGGTTCTGAGCCCTGTACACTGAGACCCTCCCTTACTACAGTGGCGGTTCCTGAGTATCTCTTTGGAACCCAGAACTAAGGCCAGGGAGGGGAGGAGCATTGCCCAAGGTCACACAGCTCAACAAGAGGGACCAGTGGGCAAGGCCCAGCCCTCTGTCTGATACCAGTGACTTGTCCTTTCCTGAGCACCATGTCACCACTGGAGGGGAGGAAAGGAAGGTTCTCAAGCCACGTCCCAGGGACCTGCCTTGAGCTGGGTCGAGGACCCAGTTGAGTGCAAGGATGCTGTCAGCCTCAGGGCTATTCCATGTTGAGAGTTTCCAGTGAGACAACACGGTCTAGGGGAAATGACAACATCTTTGGGATCATGCAGAGACACACTTTCAAAACCCAACAGGAATGCTTATTAACTATGCTGCCCTGGGCAAGTCACTTTACCTTTCTGAACCTCAGTTTTATTAACAATAAAATGAAAAGTTATCTTACTATTTTGTTGGGTTGTCAGATAGATTGCAGCTCACAACACAATTCTTTATTCAATAAATGTATTGAGCTCTTTCAGGCCAGACACTGCTCTGGATGCCAGTGTTATAGGAGTGAATAAGACAGACAAGATCCCTGATCTCAGAGGAGACCAGGGGATTCAGTAATCAAGCGTATAATATGTCAGGTGTTGGTATATGGTATGCAGAAAAATGAAAGATAAAGCAGAATAACAGTATGTAGAGAGAAATGGGGTACCCTTTTAAATGGAGTTGTCAGTGAAAGCCTCCTTGAGAGGTGCCTTTGGAACAGAGACCTGAATAGAGTAAGAAAATGAACCATATGGATACCTGCATTACTCATTAGCTGTGTGTTCTTGAGCAAGTCACTTAACCTCTCTGAACCTCAGTTTCTTCATAACTAGATTGAATTAGAATCCTCCTTACTGGACAGTTGTTAAGTTTCAGTGGGAGAAAGCTGGTAAAGTGCAGCACAATGCCCAGCACAAAGGGCATGCATATTTCAGTTAATCTCCTTCCCTCTCCAAGGAATTCAAAGTCTAGTTGGGGGTTGCAGTTGTAGGATGGACACATAAGACGTATATGAAAATAATATCATAGCTCACAAATTATTTGAGCACCTGCAATGTGCCTGGCATGTTCAAAATGTTCTGCCTGTCTTATGATAGGTGGAATTGCTTGTCCCAATTCTTTACACTTCCTGTATCCAGGTCTCTTGTTACATGACTTGGCTGTCTTTCCATCACAGGTGAAATGTACTCCCCTGCCTTGATTTTGAGCTCAGCCATGTTACTAGCTTTAGCTAAAGGGCTGCTCACAGATGTGACACAAGCAAGGGCTTGAAAGTGCTTGTGTAATTGGGCTTGTTCCCTCATGTTGCTGCTATCATCATGAGAAGAGTGTCTCCTGAACAGCTCAATGGTTCAAGGAAGAAGACAGAACCATGGAACAAACTCACGTGTGCTGCAGCTTGGAGCCAAGCTCAGCAGAGCCCAGCCAAGATCAGCCAGTTCCCAGCCAACCATCATATACACAAACAAGAGGACATCATTGTTTCAGCCACTGAGTTTTGGGGTTGTTTTTTATGTAACATTATGGTAGTGATATCCATATGTTATTCGTACATATGTTAACCATTTAATCCTTGCAAAACCCTTATGAGGTAGTTACTCTTATTTTATAGATAAACCCAGGGAGGTTAGATAGTGAATAATTGTTAAGTAGAGATTTGAATTTATGTAATCTGATTTTAGAGCCCATTCTATGAACCATGACACTAAAAGAGAGTGAGAAAAATATGTTGAGAGGTTTGTCACGTGCTATGTGCACCCATAGGGGTGCACACTTGGTACACCTCTGTGCACCAGGTGAGGAACTAATTGCACTATGGGAAATAGGGAAGTTTTTCCAGAGAAGGCTGTATATGAGTTGAAACTTGAGTACAGGTAGAATGGAATTAAGTAGACATTGGGAAAAAGGAATTCCAGGTAGGAGAAACCAGTCTGAGCAAAAGTGCCAAGGGGGAATACACACAACGTTCTTACAGCTCCCTCACCCCTTGTCACCTGATCAACCCCTACTCATTCTACAGTTCTTAGGGTCACAGTTACTTCCTTGGGAAAGCCTTCCCTAACCTGCTGGACAAGGCCAGTTCCTTTCACTGCACTCTCCAGGGCACCAGATTCCTCTTCTTCGCAACACATAGTACAGCTGTAATTACATTAGCATTTGCCTATATCTGCCTTGGTCAGCATTATAATAGCAGCACCTGACTCATGGTAGGTCTGCAACAAATATTTGTAAAATTGATGCCATTCAACAAATGTATTAGTTATGTATTGCTGAATAACAAATTAACCCAAAACTTAGCAGCTTAAAATAATCATGAGCATTTATTATTTTGCATCATTTTGTGGATCAGGAATGCAGGAGCAGCTTAGTTGGGTGGTTGTGGCTCAAGGTCTCTTGTGAAGTTGCAGTCAAGTTGTCAGCTGGGGCTGGGTCATCTCAAGGCTTCACTGGGGCTGCAGGTTCCTTTTCCAATTTGGCTGACTCACAAGGATGGCTGGGTGATGCTGGCTGTTGGCAGGAGGCATCAGTTTCTAATCACATGGACCTCTCTTTAGGGTTTTCTGAGTGTTCTTACTGCAGGGTGGCTCGTGGCCTCTACAGTGAGTGACCCAAGTGATCCAAAAGGAAGGATAGCCAGGCACAGTGGCTCACACCTATAATCCCAGAACTTTGGAAGGCTGAGGCAGGAGAATTGCTTGAGCCCAGGCATCTGAGACTAGCCTGGGCAACATAGAGAGACCCCACCTCTACAGAAATAAAAATAAAAATTACCTGTGTCTGGTGGCCATGCGTGTAGCCTCAGCTACTTGGGAGGCTGAGATGAGAGGATTGCTTCATTCCAGAGGTTGAGGCTGCAGTGAGCTGTGTTTGCACCACTGCATTCCAGCCTGGGCAACAGAGCAAGACCCTGTCTAGAAGAACAAGAGGAAGAAGAAGAAGGAGGAGGAGGAGGAAGAGGAAGAGGAGGAACGTCTTCTATGACTTAGCCTTAGAAGTCACATGCTGTGGCCTCCACTGGATTTTGTTGGTCACCCCCGGCCACCCTGACACAATGTCAGGCTATGTAAGGGTATGAATACCAGGAGGTGATGCACATAGGGGGACATCTTTTTTGATAGAAACTAACAGGGTTGGGGCAGGTGCATGTCTGGTTTCCAGACTCTGAATTCACAGAGTTTGGGTGCAGGTGGGTAGGTGGGTAATCTAGGAGTTGTTCTCAGGAAGCAATGAAGGAACAAGAAGAGTGAGACAGGGAATGGGAAAAAGCAAATAAAAGGTGTGTTAGTGAAGGAGTCACCACTGTGAACCCCTGAAACCCAATCCCCTGGAGGATCCTCAAAGGTACTAGCTAGAGCATGCCTCAAATTATCTCCCTGAAGGACACAAGGCTGTGGCATTTATCTACACAGTCCATCTGTTTCTCATTGGTTCAATGGGGCATTAACTCCCCTAAGCCCCCTCCCAGCAACCCCTGCAAAACACACACAAGACTAGGCAAGCTGCCAAGGCTGTGAAGAAGGCTGAAGACAGAAAAGCTGAGCAATGAGGCAGTACTTAGATGAGATGAGGCCCATTTGCTCTAGAACTGTCCACCAGCCACAGCTGCAGCCACAATCCTAGGTGGCCTGAAGGGTTGTGGCTCAGATCTCAGGAAATATCTGCCATAGACTCTTCAGAGAGAGAGCAGTTTGGGAAGGGCTCCCCAGGAGCGTGGGGCATGCAGGATAAGAATTCGTCAGTCCTGGGATAAGCAGAGGATGAGGGAACAGCAGGTGCAAAAGCCGTGAGGCAAGGGTAAGGAGGGCTGGCTCCAGAACCCTCCAGGTCAGTGTGGCCAGAACAGGGTAGGAGGAGAAAAGAAAGAGATGAGGCCAAAATTCTTGGTTGGGGTCAGATCACATAGCACTTTGCAGGCCATGGCAGGGAATGACTTACTGGCTGTGTGACCTTGGGTTAGTTCCTTTACCTCTCTGAGCCTCATTTTTTACAGATGTGAGGATTAAGTCCGACAGCATAGATCAATTTTAAGCCTGGTGTCTGGCACACAGTTAGTGTGATATAAATGTTTGGTATTGTTATCAGTGGCGAATCTGTACAGGTCTGTGGCAACTCAATTCTCACCTCCTCAGAGGAAAAAATTCATCTAAGGGCATACAGCAGAGTGAGAGACCGTGGCAAGTTTTAGAGTAGAAGTGAAAGTTTATTAAACAGTTTTAGAACATGAACAAAAGGAAATAAAGTATACTTGAAAGAGGGTCAAGCAGGTGACTTAAGAGATTCAAGTGCACGGTTCAGCCTTTTACTTGGGATTTTATACATTTGCATGCTTCCGGGGGTTGCCTCTTGTCCTCTCTGATTCTTCCTTTGGCATGG
Source organism: Homo sapiens (assembly GCF_000001405.40). Classification (NCBI taxonomy): domain Eukaryota; kingdom Metazoa; phylum Chordata; class Mammalia; order Primates; family Hominidae; genus Homo; species Homo sapiens. The sequence continues at coordinate 55,126,040 of NC_000016.10, forward strand.
GCTGTCTGCAGGTGCAGTGGGCTGCCAGCACTTGGGAGGGACCACATGTGCAATGCGTTTACTGAAGTTGTGTGCGTCCTCATTTGAGGCGTTTTTTTCCTTACCAGTCAAGTGTTCTTGGAGGAAGGTCATATACCAGGTAAACTCCGCCATTTTGCCTCTTAGAGTGTACACTTGAGCCTACTTGCCCATACTTGAGCCCACTCGCCCAACTCCTGAGATCTTATCCAGAATGCTGATCAACAGCTTCAGGTGTATTTTATCTGTTGGGAGACTGCCTTCCCCTGCACTGGCTGCAACCAATTACTATTTCAGAGACACTTTGACAACTGCCTGACCATCCTGGTGGCCTGGCATTCCTGATGGGGTCCCCCTCCTCCCCTGCTTATGTCTGCCTGACTACCTACTGTAACAGTATATTGTTGATTTCATTCTCATCCCAGGCCTTCCCTACTCCGGCTCTCTCATTCACTCGTCCCTGTCTCCTCAGAACTCCAGTTTCAAGCAAAGCGCAAAGCCTCATGCTGTTCCTAGTCAGGCCACAACAACCTAGCACCCTGCTGGCAGCAAGATGCAGCTGAGAGCCCTCGCAGGTCCCCCGAGGCCCTTTGGAGCGTGACCAACCCACACCCACAACTCCCTCCACCCCAGCTCAGCCAAGCGGTTCACATGGCCCAGCCATGCACACCAAGCTCCCTGCACCAGCTCACTTCTGCTCCTGCTGTCCCATCTGCCAAATGCCTTCCTCCTCCCCACCATCCTCTGGCTGGTTAAAAGGAAAACTCATTTCTCTACATTCGCAACACTTCTGAACTAAATATGTGAGTTTTCCACACCAAGCAATTCTATAATATTCTGCAGACACGAACTGAGTGTCCAGCAAATCAACTCAATTCTGTCACTGACTACCTGGAGTTAGCATTAGACCATACCGGTAAAGGGCTGCCCCCCACTTCAGGCACCAGTTGAAAGTCCCCAGTGTCCTGGACTAAAATTCAGGGGTTCCCACAACCCCCTCCTTGAGTTTGAAATTCCCACAACCTCCTCCTTGGGTTTGAAGATTTGTTAGAATGGCTCACAGATCTCAGGGAAACACTTTACTTATGTTTACTGGTTTTGTTAAAGGATATTTTAACAAATACAAATGAATAACCAAATGAACGGGTACATAGGGTATGGTCTGAAGGCTTCACTGGGGCTGGGGGGATCCTCTTCCAATATGGCTGACTCACTAGAATGGCTGGGTGATGGTGGCTGTTGGCAGGAGGTCTCAGTTCCTCACCACATGGACCTCTCTCTAGGGCTGTCTGAGCATCCTCACTGCATGGTGGCTGGTGGCCTCTAGAGTGAGTGATACAAGTGATCCAGGAGGAAAGACGGCCAGGCGTGGCTGGTTTTTCCTACCTGGAATTCCTTTTCCCCAATGTTTACTTAATATCATTCTACCTGTACTCAAGTCTCAACTCATAGAATGTCTTCTCTGTGAAAACTGTCTTCTTTCCCACAGTGCAATCAGTCCCTCACCTGGTGCACATCAGTGTACCAGTTGCACACCCCATGGGTGCACACAGCACTTTGTTGGCAAACCCCTCCGCACTCTTTTTCTCACTGTCTTTTAGTGTCATGTTTAGTAGCTCCTGTACCAAGCATGGGAGCTCTGGTCCCTGGAAATGTGGGGTGTGCCACCCTCCTGGCATGTGAAAGCACTCACCAATCTAGAAGCTCAATTGTTTAGACTTTTATGGAGGCTTCATTATATAGGCATGATTGATTAAATCGTTGGACATTGGTGGTTGACCTCCATCTCCAGCTTCTCTCTTCTCCCAAGAGGTAAGGGGGTGCGGCTGAAAGTTCCAGCCCTCTAATTACATGGTTGGTTCCTCTGCCAACCAGTCCTCATCCTGAAGCTATCTAGGGGTTTCCAGCCACCAGTCATCTCATTAACACACAAAAAGACACTCAACACTCCAGAGATTTCGAGGGTCTTAGAGCTCCTTCTGTTAGGAACCATGAACAAAGATTTAATATATATTTCTTATTATAGTAAAACACCACAGTGGATGTTCCCTCCCCATACTTCGAGACCCGCCTCTGCACGCTGAAGTCTTCTGAGACTTGCCTATCAGCCCCAGCTCCTCTCTTCCCACTTGCAGACCCTGAGATAGTCAATGGGGATGATCAGTTCTCATGTCTGTCTTCCTACAGGGTCCACTCTCTACCAGGATGCAATTTGATTTTGCATTACAGTTACAGTCATTGTTGATAGCTAGTGTTTGCCCTTCCTTATCTCTGGCTGATATTACAGTATATATATTTGTTTATCTGTTTTCCCCACCACAATATAAGTTCCATGAGGGCAGAGGATTATTGTATTGTATCCCTTTCTGTCTCCCCAGTGCCTAACACAGCACCTGACACATGATGGATAATCAATAAATATCTATAACTACTTGAATTATTGCTCTACTCCATCCCTGGGCCTGGCACAATGTCATAATTACAAAAGCCACCATTTGTTGAGTATCTACTCTACCCTGAAACACTGAGAGCCACTTCACACTCATCATCCTCTCTAATCTTTACAGTCGTCTTGTAATCACCCAATGGGTTAGATAGAGCTGATTTATCAAGACAGGGAAACTGCAGTAGAGAGAGTCTAATTCACGCAGAGCTGGCTGAATGAGAGACCAGGGTTTTATTATTACTCAGATCAGCCTCCTCGAAAATTCAGAAGCTAGGGTTTTTCAAGGATGGTTTGGCAGGCAAGGGAATGGGTGTGGCTGATTGGTTGGGGGGATGCAATCATAGAGGTGTGGAAAATGGTCCTTTACAGATGTTAATTCATTAATTCTCTTGTGTGTGCTGAGTCCACTTCTGGGTGGGGGCCACAGGACTGATTAGAGGGTCCTGGTGGAGCCATAGGTCATCAGAAATGCAAAGACATGAAAAGGCATCTCAAAAGGCTAACCTTAGGTTCTGTAAGAGTGATTTTATCTGTAGGAGTAATTGGAGAAGTTGATATCTTGCAACCTCTGGAACAATAGCCAGGAATCATTTATGTCTATATCTTAGCAGAATTCAGGTTCCTCTCATCTTCCTAACCTGATGTTCTCTCATTAGCTTTACAAAGGTGATTTAGTTTGGGGAAAGGGCTATTTTCATTTAAAATATAAACTAAATTTCTCCCAAAATTGTCTTGGCCCAAGCCCAGGTGTGATGAAGGCCAGTCTGAAGGTTAAAGGCAAGATGGGAGTTGGTTAGATCAGAAATTTTTCACTGCCACAATTTTCTTACTGTCATAATTTTTGCAAAGGTGGTCTCAGTCTGACTTGCAGCAAGATGTATGCCATTATTTTCTGTACACATATACATGTAAATTATAGTATGTTAATGTGTATATAAATGTTTGCATTAATGTGGTATAGCTTAATTTATAATATTGCATGTATTTTATATATACACATACATATGTATGTATATATATAAATATATCGGTTACTTGTTAGCACTTACTGGGTGCCAGGCCCTCTTCTAAGAACTTTACAAATATTAATTCATTAATTCTTATAGCAGCCCTGTAGTGAGTTGAGTGGTGCCTCCCCACTACCCCCCCAAAAAAGATATATTTAAGTCCTAACCTCTGAAACTTGCAAATGTGACCTTATTTGGAAAAAGGGTCTTGAAAAATGTAATTAAGTTAAAGATCTTGAGATAAGATCCCCCTGGATTACCCAGGTGGGCCCTAAATCCAATGACAAGTGTCCTTATGAAAAACAGAGGAAAACAGACACAGGGAGGAGAAGGCAATAGGAGACACAGGCAGAGATGGGAGAGGTGTAGCCACAAGCCAGGGACTCCTGAAGCCACCAGAAGCAGAAAGAGGCAATGCAGGATTCTCCCTGAGAGACTGCAGAGGGAATACAGCCCTGCCGACACCTTGATTTCAAACTTTGGGTCTCTGGAACTCTGAGAGAATACATTTATGTTGCTTTATGCCACCTGGCTTGTGGCAATTTGTTATGGCAGGGCTGGGAAACTGATACAGCCCTATTAGCTAAGTCCTATTATTTAGCCCCATTTTACAGATGAAGAAATTGAGGCACAGGGACAGATAAAGTAACTTACCCAAAGCCACACCGCTAGTAGGGGGCAGAGCCCACATTCAAATTCACAGTCAGTGCTCTTAACCATGACGCCCAGAAGACAGAGGTTATGTGACGTGGCCACTGCCCCATGGCCAGCCAATGGCACAACTAGGATATGAACCAAGGACACCCTGACTGCAGAACACACCAGATTGCACTGTGGCTGCAATACCACATAGCTCTCCAGTCCCCCACTGCAGGGTCCACGTTGAGGCCCTTACACAAACCTGCCCCTTTCACAGAGTGGTTGTCAGGCAGAGCAGCCAGTCTGTGCCCTGCGGCTCTCTCCAAATAGGAGCACCCTCCAGGTCAGACTGGGCCCCCGGTGGTACTACAAAAGACCGTGATTTATACAGTGCAATCCGGTACCTCCTTGCTTCATCTTCCCACAATTAAGCAGGGCTCGCTGGTGACAAACGGCCCCCACTCCCACGGCCTCACTTCTCCCGGGGACCCTGCTCTCCTCTGCAGGCCCTGGAGCTCATTCATCCTTTCGGGCTGCCCAGATTGGAGTGGATAAATCAAGCTAGCTTGAGAACCGATTGCAAGGTCATCACTCAGAGGAGAGAGCAATGGCCTGGAGTTGCCGAACTTCATATTTTATTGGAACAGCTAGAAGTGCTGGGCCACTGACCCCCTCCCCTCGAGAGAAGTATGGCTTCCAATCTGGCACCACAGGTGACCTGCCAGGAGCAGGGGGCCACCTCCCTTAGCCTCTACAGGACTTGGTGTTCAGCTCTTACTGGGGATCCATGGACACAGGGGTAGGAGGGTGGCCCCAGAGCTTGAGTGGGTCCAACTCTCTGCCCACCCCACCCTCTCCTAAAGCTTCCCCAAAGCCCTCTGGCTTTCCTGTCTCTGAGAATACAGTTTAGCACAGCCCAGGGGTGGGGCAGGGGTGACACCAGCCTTAAATCATCATTTGGAATGTGACATTTACAGTCAGGCAGATTTATGGTTGAGTCTGGGCTCCATCACTTCCTAGTATTTTGTGACTATGGGCAAGTTACTTAGCCATTGTCAGCCTCAGCTTCCTCAACTTTGAGATGGGTCATGAGGATTAAATGAGATAACACATGTAGAGGGCTTGGCTCAGGAAGCATTTCACCCGAGGTCCCCGCTTTAAAAAAAAAAACTTTCTTGGAACACCTGTTAAGTTTCTAGGACACTTGGAAGAATAGGAGATGCTATAAAATAGGCCTGAGCAAGGTGGGGACTCAGCCTCTCCCCACACAAGGGTTTTGGGACCACCAAGCCTTCTTTGGGGTTCTTGAGGTCAATCAAGGCTGCCCTTTAGTGGGGGATGAGCAGAGTGGCCATCACTCCCTCTGCTCCCTTCCAGCCCCTTGAGCCTCTGATTTCCTCCCACGGCTGGGTCTCAGTGGGGTGAACAGGCAGCCTCACAATCACTTGTTCCTTGTACGAAAATATGATCCCATTTATTCAGTGCAAAGTGCTCACCCTGCTATCTATGTTAGGATTGGGTTCTGCTACATAAAATCAAAATCTGATCCATGATGGCTTGAATCATTGGTTCTCAAAGCGTGACACCCAGACCTGCAGCAGCAGCATTACCTGGGAAAATGTTAGACATGAAATTCTCAGGCTGTGCTCCAGGCTGACTGGATGAGAATATCTGAAGATGGGGCCCAACAATCTGTATTTTAGCAAGTGCACCTGGTGATTCTAATGCATGCTAAAGTTTGAGAACCAATGCCTTAAATAAAAATTAGTGATTACTTCTCTATTCCTCAGAAAAAGCCCAGGAGTAGACAGCCCAGGGCCAGTGTGAGAGCTCCATCTTTTATTTCCACTATCTTCAGCCGGTGGATCTACTCTCAAGGTTGCTTCACGTTCCAAGATGGCCGTTGGAGCTCCAGCCATCATGTGTGCACTCCAGGCAAGAAGGAGGAGCAAAGGAGGAAGGAAAGACAGTAGATTTGTCTCTCAGTTGAGGCAGGCTTCTATAACATGCCTGGAAACTCCACCATCACCATCAATAGCTTCCATCCACATCTCATGGGTCATCCTTAGCTGTGAGGATGGCCAGAAATGTATTATTTTATCTAAGCGCTTTACTGCTCAAATAAAGAATCATAAGTCTGTAGGTAAAGAGGAAGGACAGAATGCACATTGGGTCGGGATCCAACTTCTTCTCCCACCCACCCCCGCACACACTCTCTTCTAATTCCACCAACCATCCTCACAGGTAAATGTGAATATCTCCCCACTTTACAAATGAGGAAAATGGCCTGCAGAAAGATCAAGGTCATGTAGCTAGAAAGAGCTAATTGGCTTAGGCTGAACTGCCTGATTTTCTTACCCCCTACCCCAGCCTTGTTCTTTACCCACAGAGATGGCCTGGGGGTGGGCATGGTCTTATGTAACTTCTCCTCTCCTCCAGACCCCAAAGAGGTGCCTACCCTTTGCATGGAGCCAGAAAGGTTTTGGGGCCTGATTCGGGGTGGAGGATGGGAAGGAGAGAGGGGAGGGGTCAGGCCCTCTCCAGAGCCCAGACAGCCTCTTCTCTTTCCAGAGGTAAATAGTGAAACTTAATTAGCAGGCGGTGCGTGCCAGGCAAGTAATCCACAGGCTTTCTGAGGCATCTGTTTCCACGTGCTCAGGGGAATGTCACCAGCTCCCCTCCACCTGGGCACCGAAGCTGACGGCTGCGCAGACTCCGATGAGGCTTGCTCAGTGGGAGGGGGCCAGGGGTACCCCTTCCTCTTCCAGGCTGTGTCTAGTGAATCTCTCCAACCCAGTTGCTTTAGGCAGCCCAAGGTGTGACTTCAGACAATATGGCAATTCAGGGCGCTCACAGCAGAGGCTTCTGTCCTTATCACATACGTAGTCACCAAAGTATTTCAAGAAAACATTTCAGAACTGAGGGTTTGGTCGAGTGTGGGGCGGCGGGCCGGCGGAGAAAGAAAATGGGTTAAGAAACAGGGGGAACAAATTAGCGCCTCCATTTAGGTGGAGGGCAGAGGGGGCCTAAGAGATGGGAGCTGTGATCTCAGAGCACCAGGAAGGGCCCTGCTCTCCTCCTGTGAGAGTTCCCTCCCTCCCTCTCGGCCTTCACTGATATGCTGACTTTTGCAATTCATTCCTGCGGGTTAAGCATCGTCCCAGTCCCAATCCCCAATCCTGGTCAGAGCAGCACATCAGATTCCCAGAGATTCATTCAGAAGCGAGACTGGGGTCTCTTTTCTCCACAGGAAGGCTTGAGCCCCAGAGTTTGTGGAAGGAAGGACACAAAGAAAGCCAGAAGACTCCTGAGATGGGAGGGATATCAGGAACTTGAGTGAACAAAGGGAGGACTACATCTCAATTGCCCTCTGACCTTACCAGCTCTGACCCTGCCCAGAACTTACTGTCTCTGGGTCTCAGTTTCCACCTCTGCAAACAAATGGAGATGGCCCTAATCATGCCTCTTGACTCTTCTAAGCTTTGGCTACCTGCTTTTACCCAAGGCCTGCCCTGAAAACGGAGATAGAAGTGTCTCCCAGCTGCATCTTCCCTGGTGCTTCAGCCTAGGCAGTGAGGACGTTGGGGCTTAGAAGGGAAGTGGCTGGACCAGCAGAACCTTGGATGGAGGCTTTCTGCTTCTCTGGGCAGCTGTAGAAAGCCTAGCAGGGATTGAAAGCTGGTTGGGCTCCAGTACCTGGCGGGGCCCAGGGTCTCTTCCCTGCAGGTATTTGCCCCACCTCTTCCCTCCCACACTGGACTCAGAAGCCCAGTGGGAGCCCAGCCTAGGCACAGCCAATCAGGTGCAGCAGCTTCTACCCTAACCCATGGCCCTTCCATGCAGTCCATCATAAGCCAAGCCCCCCAGGGAATGCCACTGCTCTGAGTCCAAGCCTCAGGGTGAATGTCAACCCTTACCTGCCTGAGAAGACTCCTTGGCCTGATCCTGCTTCCTCTCCCTGCTACTCTACTTCAAATTTTCTGCTTTTCCACACCAGCTGCCCAGAATGGTAGATATAATTCTAAGCTGCCCCGACCCCCAAGATTCCTGACCCATGGTTAATCAAATATGAATCTAGGTGTTGAGGTGAAGGGAACACCTACCCTTTGCATGGAGCCAGAAGGGTTTTGGGAACATCAATTTTTTGCAGGTAAAATTAAAGTCCCAAATCAGTTGATCTTCAGATACAGAGATTGTCTGGGCAACTCTAACCTGATCATGGAAACCCTTTAAAGCAGAGAGTTTTCTTCCACTGAATGGACAAGGGAAAGTCAGATAGACTCAGGCTATGGAGAAGGTAAACACCCAGGCTGTGCACTGCTGATGGAAAGGACAACCTCTTGGGGCTGAAGGCAGGAAACTGGGGACCTCAATCCCACAGCCACAAGGAAATGAATTTTGTCAATAACCAGAGAGCTTGGAAGAGTACCCTGAGCCCCAGGTGAGAGCTGTGGTCCCAGCCAACAACTTGATTTCAGCTGGTGAGACCCTGGGCAGAGAATAAGGTCATGCTGTGTCAGACTGACCTACAGACCTGTGAGCTAATACATGGGTGTTTCAATCTGCTCTGTTTGCAGCAATTTGTTACACAGCAAATGAAAAGCCTACCCTCTCCCTGGGGCCCCCCTTCCTCTTCACACAGGCCCTGCCCTTCTTGGCCTTGAGCCTCTACCCAGAATAAACCCCAATCTCCACCTCCACATCCACTCAACTTTTAGGAGGGCTCAAATCAAATGCCACCATTCCTGTGAATTTCCCCCAGAGCCCATCATCTCCAAGCGGAAATCTCTCTCCAGCCATTTTCATCTCCTCTGCACAGCCTATGCCCAATTTCATAGTCATGCTGGATAGATTAGCTTTGTTGAGACACAACACACCTTTCAACAGTTCTGGGTTTTGCACATGCTGTTCTCGCTGTCTGCTCCCACCCCTGGGGCCAAATGAGGTGAAACCCTTCAGAATCCTCATCACCTCCTCACTGAAGCCTTCCCTACATGTGGGAAGTGACTGTCACCCCTGGGACTTCATCATATTTTGTATCTCCTACTATAGTCATTTCCCCTTCTCTTGGGATGATTTGTCTACCTCCTGCTGGAGGGTAGGCACAGGAAGCCTTGTGCCATTTTTCTTTCTGGGCTGGATGCAGAGCCTGCACTGCCATTAGCGACCCAGTAAGTGGCCAAATGAGTGAAGAAATTTTTGCCCCACCCAACCAGCTTCCCTGGCACATGTGTACCCAATTCTTGGGGCCTGGATTAGGATGTGACAATGAAATATCCCCAATCCCTTATTATAATAGTTAGCTACAGATCAGATTCTCACGGGCCTCCCCTTGTCAGGCCTAATGGAGAAGAAAAACAGCTCCCATCAAGCTGTAGGGAGGCTGTGGCAGGAAGAGAGCCCCGAGGAGGTGGCTTTTCTTTCTCTCCCTGGGATTGGTCATGGTGCTGGTGCTCTGCTTGAAGACAAGCCTTGGGATTCACCTGCCTCTCTTTCCCAGACACCAGGACTGCCCACCTGAGGTCTGCAGGAACTGATGATCTTCTCAGCCAAATCTGGGCATTCAGGCAGGATTAGAGCTGCTATTCTATAAGAACCTAACCCTAGGGATGCCTGGCCCACTGAGAAGGCATGGCTGGAGGGACGTTAGGTCCCCTGAGGGACAGTGTCTCCAGGTGATGTGCTTTCTGAGGACTGCTGAGGCCAGAAACCATCAGCTATGGCAGGAGCTGAAAGCTCCTCTCTGGAGGCACAATGACCCCTTGGGTTTGACGCATACACAGCCCAGGGTCACCTAGTCCTCTGCAGTGTGAAGAGGGGGCTCTGCCCAGTATTGACCAAGAGACTGGGGAAAACCACTTAACTTCTCTGAGGCTCAGGGTCATTGAGAGGAATAAATAAGGCAATGCATGAAAAGGGTAAGCACATGCTTGACATATTGGAAGTACTTAATAAATATTAGCTATTATTACTATTCTGGTGGTGTCCCTTCCATCTCTGCTTCAGGGTTCTGGCATATCCCAATCCATCTCTAACAATAGGTTCAGAATTGACTTCTCCATACCCTGTTAAGCACTCATGCGTTCTCCTAGAAACGATGATGATTCCGAGATGTGGAGAGAGAGGGGTGTGGGGCAAAGGAATTTCCAGCTCACCTAATATCCATGTGTTTCCTCAAATTTTCCAGATGTCTTGCAATAAGTATGGCTGTATGATTTGTTCTGGCCAGTGGGCTGTGAGCAGAAGTGGTGAGTAGTACTCCTAAGCCAAAGCATTTAAATACTGATTTAACCTTCCAGTTGTCTCTTCAGTGGTCATGGAGGCCATGTGTTGAGATAAGGGAAGCTGCCTGGATCACTAAGTCACTGCATGGAGACCAGATGGCCTGAAGAGCTGCTCCACTTGCACAGGATTTTTTATGGGTGACAAATGAACTCCTGTTGGATTGAGACATGGTTATTTTGTTATTGCAACATAGCCTACCTAATGCTGATTAATACAGACTGGTTGAACTATTTGACCCCAAATATGATTAGCCCCAGACTCACTGGGTAGCCAGATGAGCAGGGTATTTTTTTAGCATACTAATACACTGAAAGAATGCTTTACTAGAAAGATTGTTAAGAAGAGCCAAATTTGTCTTAAATAGAGCCTGTCTACCACCAGGTTCCAAGGATGGCCCAGGAATAATGCCACCAGGGAAGGACCAGGATCCTGTGGGAGGAGGGAGTGAAGTAGGTCCACTAATTACCATTCCCAAGGGAAGACTCTCACTGCATGGAGGACAGTGAGATCATCACCATGCCAACCACCAAGAATAGGAGTCTGAATGCTTCCACCCACTGCATTCTGGTTAAGCTTTACCAATTGCCTTAGTCCAGGGGGACAGAACATAGTCACACAAGTTATATGAAGTGGATTTATTGTTTATAGATAGACCGCAAGGAAAAAGGAAGCTTATAATCCATTGTAAGCAGATACTCCAAGTCTCAAGAAATTGTGGTGGTTGAAAGATGAAGGATGAAAGGTAGGACCCTGAAGGCAACCTGCCCTAGGTTATATACTTCAGGAAAACATGACTTACTGGGAAAAGTTTTGAAAGACATTCTGTTTCCAGGGGCAAGAGGAACAAAGGCTGGGCTGTCCTGCACAGTTCCTTCCCAATGCAGGATATTATAGTCTCTAGGAGGAACAGGAACAGGGCCTGGGCGGTTAAATTAGTCCATTTTCACACTGCTATAAACCTACTACCTGAGACTGGGTAATTTTTAAAGGAAAGACGTTTAAGTGACTCACAGTTCTGCCTGGATGGGGAGGCCTCAAGAAACTTAAAATCATGGTGGAAGGGGAAGCAGGTAAGTCTTATATGGTGGCAGGTGAGAGAGAGGGTGTAAAGGAGGAACTGTCAAACACTTATAAAACCATCAGATCTTGTGAGAACTCACTCACTATTATGAGAACAGCATGGAGGAAACTGTCCCCATGATCCAATCACCTCCCACCAGGGCTCTCCCTTGACACACATGAGGATTATGGGGATTACAATTCAAGATGAGATTTGGGTGGGGACATAGAGCCAAACCACATCAGCTGTCCCAAGTAGATCCTACGTATCTCAGGATATTGCATTCCCAGCATATTCTATGGTTATTCTGAGAACTATGAGAAGGAAAGAAAGAAAGGGAAAGGGGGAGAAACTGGGTTGGCCAAGGATATTTGGGGAATGTCCAGTGAAAAATTTGGAATTTGGACAAAAAGAAGGAGAACAGAGAGAGCAGAAGCAGCCAAACAGCCATCTCAGGGGACTTTGTGTGGCATGAAGGACCTCTCTAAGAGTAGGAATGGCAGTGAGTGCTTTCTACCATCTTTAGTCTTGGGTGAGTTTGCAAATAGCTTGTAAGACTACAATGCCTCTGCTCTCCTCTCCTACTCACTATGGTGGGCAAGATGGAGAATTCATACAAGGTTGGCTGCCTGCTGTCTTCTAAAGAGCATGATCTATCTTTAGAGTCTGAGAAGAGGAGAAGAAAGAAACACAGTCTGCAGCTGCCATTCTGCCTCGTTAAGTCCTGTTAGCAGGGGGCCCTCAGGACCTGGTCCTGGCATTCAGGCCAGGTCCCTCCCTGAAGCCAGGAGGCGAGCTCTCCACCATGGCCACCAGCCAAGCACAGCTCATTTGCTTCAGAACCTTAACAACAAACACACAAAACCCCAAACCCAAGGGCCTCTGTCTCCTTCTTCCCATGGGTGTTGAGGGGGGTGTAGGAAGGGTCTGAGGTTATTGAAATGCTATTTTAAACAATAAGTCAATGTTAACCAAAACCTTGAGGCTGATTAAACACGACCTTTGGGCCACGGTGCTCTGGCTCAGAAAGGCAAACAGCTTCTACCATCTCAGCAGCTCCAGGCTTGTTTATTGGTTTGAAAGCCCTTACGGGGCCCACCAGGCTGAGGGGTGAGGAGGGGAAACTTTAATATCTAAAGGGAGAGATCAAAAGCAGTTGACATTTCTGGCAGAGAGCAAGCATGTATGTATCTTTATATGTATAATGTTATAGCTCAGCAGAAAGAAAAAGGCATTTCTTCTCTGGGTTAAATCAAATCAGGCCACATGTTCTTGATCTCGACTGTGTTGTCTTATAATCCAACCAAATTTAACTGACATTGAGCATTTTTCATCTAAGCAGTTAACATGAAAATTTGGCCCAAATTACTTTCTGTACATTCTGAACATGAATTTGGTTCAATCATCAGAAATGATGGGAAAGGCCCCTCCCTGCATCCCTCCAGGCAGCCAAAGGAGCGGCTTGTGGGTCAGGCTGCCAGCTCTTCAGGGTCCTCTTTGCTGATGGAGTTGATGGGGAAGAACACCTTCACATCTGGTCATACGATGTCCACATCTGATCCTGGGGCCCTGGATTTGTTCCGGGCCACCCTAAAGAAGAGAGATGACCTTGACATGTTAAAAGCATCTAATGCAGCCACAAGGTCTAGGAAGAGCCCTGGAAGATGTCTCTGGGGTTATCTCTCTTGAGCTTCCTGGTAGCCTTGGTGAGGGCAGTTTCACTGCGGTATTGACTGGAGGTGAGAATGGCCTTGGATGATAGAAAGAACACCTCTTCCAGCCCCTGGTGCTGTGTGCTCAGTGGACATTTGCGGAATACACTTTGAATAAATGAATGTATGATAGACCCAAGCAGCTTGTTACCCCATATGCACGTACCCCCATTCTTCCATGCTAAGTGCATCCTGTTTTAGTTCTAGAAGGCAACACAACCCCTTCCAGGTGATAGAACATCATGGACATAAGCTAATCCTGCCAATCCTATTCTCGGTCTTCCCTGTTTCCATTGCAGCTAGGGACAGATCTGTGACCCTGCTCTGGCCAATGAGACCTAAGTGGAAGTTTCTGGGGGAGTTTTGGGAAAGCTTTTACATTTTTGGTTAAAGTTGCAATGTCCTTCCCCCCTTCTCCCTCATCCTGCCTTCATTCATTGCTTTCATTCTGCAGCGCAGGACTGTCCCTGAGAAGTGGCTGCCTTCCCCCTGCATTGAGATTTGACTCCGTCATTGTTTCTCACCAGTGATGAGAAAGGAAATGATACATGTAACATCTGGACCAAGATTCTAAGGACTAGATGTGCCTGTCCCATGTTCTGTCTTTTACCCGGTGAGTGAGGTCCACAGAGAAAAGGCCCTAGAGAGTAGCAGAGCTGCAAGACAGAAGGAGTCAGGGTCCCTAAAGCACCATGTAGAGGACAGTACCCGGTGACCAGAAGCACTTGCATTGGAATGGTAGGGCATTTAGAGGTTCTAGACTGTTAAGAATTTCTATTCCTATAAGCATTAACGTTTTGGGGATTGCTTGTTACAGAACTAACGCTATCCTAACATATATAGTTACTTTTTGCATGATTTAAAGCAAGTTACTTCAACTCTCTCTCTACCTTGTTTCTTCTTCGGGAAATTGGAGCTATCTGCAGGACCTACCTCTTAGGATGGTTGAGACAAATACATAAAGCACTTAGCACAGTGCCTGCTCCATAGCATGTGCTCATTACATGCTAACAAATTTTCTTACTATTATTATCATTCCTGAATTGGGGATGAGTTAGGTGACCCCTAGAGTCTCTCATAGCCTCAAGATCCTGAGATTCCCTCCATGGTTCAGATCCTAAGTGGAAAGAGCAAAAAGATGTTGTGTCTGAGGAGTCTCCAGGGGAGGTAAAAATACCTTCAAGGGCAGTGATGGCTGAAGTACAGAAGAGAGATTCCTTCCTTCTGCATTCCCCACCCAACTCTCAGACAGGCTCCTGGTATGCCTTCCTTTCCTAAACTGATGAAATATTACCTGGAGCAGAGATCTGACATTCAATAATCAATCTTTCTTCTCCATTTTTGTATGATTCATGCTAGGAGACCAGTATGTTTCATTTTATCCTGGTTTGCTTTTGTTAAGCATACTGCTACTTTCTTGTACTGAGAAGCTGATATGAGAAACATTGTTTGAGAAACTTTTGAACAAATTCTCTCCTGCCTTCACAGTGGGGCTGTGCATCCTCTCTGAGCACAGAGAAAGAGAGAAAGCCCCAGGAAGGAGTCAGGAGTGCAGCATTCCAGTCCTGATTCTTCCCGTTCATTGCTCTTCTCAGGCCTCAGTTTCCTCATCTGCAAAGTGGGATAATAATATTTCCTATTTAAGAGGATTATAGCAAGGTACAAATAAATTAATATATGTCAAATCACTAGAACTGTGCTTGGCATATAGTAAATTATCAGTAAGTGTCAGCAATATTTAACATTATTGCTGTTGCTATTATTGTTGTTCTTATCAGTGGGTATTTACTACAGGCAGGCACTGAAGAGGAAGACACAAAGTTGACTACAACTGAGTCCTGTCCTTGAATATCTTTTAGTCAATCAAAAGAGACTGATAGATAAGCAAACAATTACAAGAAAATGCAGTATAAGCTTCAATGAGAAAGGCAACCCATCCTGGCTTGGGAACAGGGCAGGACTCCATAAAAATGGGGTCTTGGACTAGATGATTTCCAAGGTTTTACTCAGATACCTTCGGTCATCCTTAGAAGCAGAACCCAGAACAGGGATACAGTTGATTCTTTTTTTTTCCAGAGAAAGAGATTAAGAGAAGTGGGCTAGAGTAAGGGAAAGGGCTAACCCGGAACTTGGTCTTAGCTGATGTCTAGTTTCAGCCTAAATGCCCGGTGAGCCCCAGAGCATGAATCACAACTCAGAGGGATTTCCATTCAGAGGCCAGGTGTCTAGGCTTTCATCCCCTCATGTCAGTTGATCATTGGCTACTGGTCATTCTCAGGGATTGGGGAGTTTAACCCCCCAGGAAAAAGGGCTCACAATCTTCTCAGGACAATTGTCTGGAAAAAGGAAAACCTGTGAGCCACTAGCAGCCAATACTTACAGCCACCGAAGGCTGCATGCCCCAGCCTATAGAAGGATTCTAGCCAGGGCACCAAAGGATTCATTATACTCTTAGTCTACAGTTTCAGACTCCACAGGCTACAGGACTTGCCTCCATCTTCATCAGTCAATTGGGGAAAAGGATCCTAGCCCTGCCTCTCTTAGAAAGCAAATCTATGGCTGACATGAACCAGTGTAGGGTCACCAAGACTGCAAAGCTGAGAGCTAGGCCAAAGAGCAGGGGTCTGGAAAGATTCCCAAAGACTTGCCCTACTAACCTGCCACCTGCAGGCCTGTTGGTGACAGATGGGCCAAACCTCTTGACCAGAGGGAAAGGACATTTGGGAGAGTCTTCCAGGGGACTGCAGGCCTGTCCTGTACTCTGGCCACTCCTCCCCAACGGTAGAAAAACCAGTTTGGCCTACTTCAGAATTCACTGAAATAATGAATAAAATCAATATGTTCTTCAAGCCTCAGCTTCCTCATCTGAAAGGGTCATTGTAGACCATAATGCTAATTTGAGGATTAAGTAACATAATGACTTAGAGAAGGCTTAGCCTAGTGCCTGGTAGATAGGAGACCCTCACGATTGAGTGAATGATGGTGAGAAATAAACTCTGACTCATTTTCTTCTCATGTGAAATTAGGTTGACAATACCCACTTGGAGAGATGATGAGAGAAAATATGAGATTGTCATTGTCAAGTGCTCAGCATAGGCCTGGGGCTTGGTGGTTCCCAGTAAAGGTTGTGAAATGAAGGTGCAATGAGCTGAGAATAATGCCCAGGAAGAGCATGCACAGCACAAGCTGCACCATAAGCACGTACCTCTTTGGATCATGGGAAGGTGTGTACCTATGACCAACCAGACCCTGGGTGTGTGGACCCCCTGCACACTGCTCTCTGTTTTGAGCTTTTAGCACGTATCTGCCCTCTTCTCGGGCCTTCTTCAGCCATGCCTGTGCCTATCTGGCTTAGGTAGTGGCTCATTCTTTCTTGAGCAAGGGCTTCTTACTCTCTGCTAGGTGGGGGGCTTTGTCATGCAAAATCCAGGCTGAGCTGATGTCGAGACATAGGGAGCTGATTTTTAATTAAGCAGCTTGAAAATTGGCAGAAGAGGCAGGAAGCATGCACTGCAAAGCCTCTGGCACTTGGAGTTCTGCTGCTCATGGAAAGAGCCACTGGAAGTATTCAGGGAAAAAGTGCTCTGGGTCTTGGATGTCTGGAGATCAAGATTCTGGCTCCAGATTGGCTATGAAGACTTGAGCAAGTCTCTCCCTCTCTCTCTCTGCTTTAGTTTACTTATCTGTAAAGTGGAGGGATGGTCTTGGTGTGCTCCGAGCTGCCTTGTAGGTCTAAAGGCTCTGAGCCTATGTAGTGAACATCTAAGGAGCCGTTCCTGACCCTGTCACCTACAGCTTGGACCTGTTTCCTCTCTAATACATTTCCTGCTCTACAGGGAAATATATTTCCCAGGCTCCCTTGTCAAGGGCCTCCTTGTCTGTTGGACAAATAGGAGAGACTGAAAGGAGATTGACAGGCTATAGGCAGGACAAGCCTTGGTGCATTTTCTCCCCTTGCTGAGCCTTTGGCAGTGCCGTGTCTCCTCAGTTGCTCCAGCTCCCAACTGGGCAGCTCCATTATAGTGACTCCAGATTCTGGGCTTTGGTGACACCACCCCCTACTATTACCACTCCAGCCCTAGGCTGCCTTGCCATTCTGTTTGGCTTCCCAATTCTTTCCTCAATTGTCTAATCAATTCTCTCTATTAGATTGCCCCTGCAATGGGGAGAGTTTGGTCGGAGAGAGAGGACAGGCAGACAGACTCAAGCCTGAGCCAGCCAGAGAAGACAGCAAGTCTGAAAGACCCAGCCCTGGGAAACTTTCAGAGCAGCTTTCAAACCAACACTTACTTTTCTGTCCACAATGACATGAGCATGTAGTCAGAGGTCACAGTTCAGAAAAGAAACAAAGCAATTACTATGGTTTGAATGTGTCCCCCAGAGTTCATGTGCTGGATACTTGATACCCAATGTGCTGGTGTTGGGAGGTGAGACCTTTAAGAGGTGATTAGGTCATGAGGGCTCTACTCCCATAAATGGATTAATGTGTTATCACAGAAGAAGGTAGGTTATTGCGGGAGTGGGTTCCTTATGAAAGGACAAGTATGACTCTTCTTTCTTTCTCTCTATTTCTCTCTCCGTCTCTCTCTCTCTCTGGCTCTTTGCCCTTCCACCATAGGATGATGCAGCAAGAAGGCCCTTGCCAGATGCAGGCTCCTCAATCTTAGACTTCCCAGCCTCCAGAACCACGAGTTAATACATTTCTGTTTATTATAAATTATCCAGTCTCTGGTATTCTGTTATAGCAGCACAAAATGGAGTAAGACAGCCAGGGTGGCTTCTATAGCTTCTTACTCCCATCCATACATGACTCTCTGGGGTGGCACTGGAGAGCTCTTCTCCTGGGAACTACAGCTCTGAGCCCCTTCTGTGTTCCTTACCATTTCCCAACCTAGAATGTCTTCTTCCTCCTTGAAGTGGGGCAGGCCTCTGGGAGGCTCTGGATCACACATCTGAGACATGGAAGAGTTGTTTGATTTGTCTCAGTCTGAACCCCTTGTTTGTAACCACTTAGCAACACTGCCTTTCATGGAAATGACCCGGAGAGATAAGACAGAGCTCCCTCTAGCTAGACATGATGATGGAGACTTTGTGGAGGAGGGTCCTTAGAGCTGGATAGGGCTCTGCTGGGTGGGAACCCAGGGAAGGGGATTCTAGGTGGGGGCAATGGACAAAGGCTCAGAGGTAAGAATGCTTGACATGTTTAGTGGGTAGTGGAGATGAAGTTTGACACCTAGATGGAATAAATGGAGAAAAGACCTTAAAAGAGACGTAGGACTATGCTTTCTACATTCACCATCATACTTATAACAACCGATGGAGTAAGTAATATGGCTACACTTTACCCATGAGGTAGGTGAGGCTCAGACCTGTGAATAAACCTGACCAAGGTCCCAGAGCTCGTAAGTGGCAGCTTGCTCCTGGATCTGAACCCAGGTCTGTCTGATTCAAGAGCCACCATGCCTTATTCTTAATTACTGTATGGCTCTACTTTACCAACATTGAATCTCATCCAATGCTAGGCATATGAGCTTCACATACTTGCAGCATAAATTTGAGATGAGATTCTGGAAGAAGATTGCATCAGTTAGGGATGTGGTCAGCTGCAATTAATAATTCTTCTACCGTGGCTCAAACAGAAGAGAGTTTATTTTTTATCACACAACCAAGAGTCTATGAATAGAAAGCCTGGGGCTGTAAGTGACTCAACAACATTAGGGACTTCGGCCATATCCATCTTTCTGCTCCACCATGCTTAGCATAGTGGTCTTGAGCCTCAAGCTTGTAACTTCATAGTCACAGCATGGCTGCCGTACCTCCAGACTTACATCCACATTCCAGGCAGGAAGAAAACAGGAGAGAAGGAGAAAAGGGCAGCATATATGTCAGAACAACAAAAACTTTCCCAGAAACTCCAAGTCTGTGTCTTATTAGTCAGAACTGTGTGGTGAACCATAGCTTTAAAGAAGAATAAGAAAGCTTTTTTTCTGGGCGGTGGGGGCGGTGCAGCATATTGCTACCCTGAGAACAAACTGGGGTTCAGTTGGTCAGCAAAAAGGAATAATGAATCTGGAGTGGGAACTAGCAGTTCTGTCTCAAAAGTGGAAGTTAAAATATTATTAACCGTCTCCTGAGAACAACCCCTTACCACTGATTCTCCACAATTCAGCTGCAGTGAACAATCAACTAAATTGAACCAAGAGCCAAGTATTAAACAGTTAGGATTTCACCATCACGAATTTGAGAAATATCTCACTGTTTTCTCTGCCACAAGCTATTTATAGAAACTGATTTCTAATAAACACAGATTGGCAGGTGTGTGTGTTGCAGGGGGGAGGTCAATAGTGCACCCACACAGCTTTATTGATGCCTTGTCAATCAACTGCTCTTATTTTGTTGTTTAATTTTTTTTAAGTGCATGTAAGCACTTTCCCTGCTAATAGCAGATTTATTGAACAGCACCACAAAGCAGTTCATCTCCCCCATAGACTGTGGCAGCTGGTTATCAACTTTGTGGCTTCAGGTCGGAGGGTAAATTGACCCCGTATCCATGGCCCCTTCCAGGGGAATTGCAGGGGTCTCAAAAATTCAATACAGTCCAATAAAATGTCCTACCCCTCACTCTCCAGGAACCTAACTCAAGGCCTCAGCTTTGCTGTCAAACCAAAGGATGTAATTTGACAAATGGAACATCTAAGCATGTGGTCATGTTGGCAGTTTTGTTAAGACCCAAGGAGAATTTTCTTATCTTAGGAATTTGGCCTTTCCTAAAATTGTGCCTGAGCATGCACACTCCTTGCTCTGATTGAATCAGCTTCTAGTTAAACCATGCCTGGTGCTCACCCCTCCCAAGCCTGGCATTTAGGCCCAACTTAGCCTACCTCCTGTATCTCATTTCCCCTTCTCTCTGTCTCTTATACCCACTCCAACCAAATGTGTTATTTGCTAATTCCTACACACACCTGGGCATTATTCCCACCTCACCTGGAATGCCCTCCTCTCTCTTCTTCTCTGACTTTCCACCTCCCCAATGACTTCACTTCTTGTCCAAATTCTTCCCATTCCTCCAGGCACATCTCCAAATCTTCATTATTTAATAAACTACCTCTTATCATTCTCAATGAATGAAGCCTAATCCTCTTATGAAAGCCCAGTATTGGTATTTCTGGAAGTTCAGATAATGATGATGATAATGATGATGATGATGATGATGATGATGAAAGCAGTTCTCATTTATCAACCTCTTACTGTGTGCCAGGCAAGGTGCTTTTCATGGGTAATCTCATTTTATCTTTTCCGTGACTCCATAAGGCAGGTGCTATCCTTATTTCCATTTTATAGACAAGGAAGCAGGGACAGAGAGAAGTTAAGTGGCTTGGCTGACGATACATAGCTGGCAAGCAAAGGGATTTTGAACCCCTAGAAGCACATTTCAAGGCTGTCATATTTGGCTTTATGTCTTTGTGAATGTGCCTGGTTCCCACCACCCACCTCTGGTCAGTGTAACTACACACTCCAGGAAGCAGGAACCCTTGAGGGCATAAGATAGGCCCAAGTCTCAGCTTACAACATCTGAGAAAGGGGAATATGCAAAGAAAAGACCAGGAAAAGTTCAGTTGATCCAGAAGAGGCTGTAGTCAGTCCCAGGCCTTGGTGTCCAAAGATATGAAAGAAAAAAAAAGGTTCTTGGTTGACACCTCTGGCAAAATGAATCCAGCAGAGACTGGGAGGAGGGCATGGTTCTCAAAGTTTGAAATACTTAAACCAAAGCTCTTTTGACAGAGAGGCTGTCAACAGGCCCTCTAATGTGGAAACAACAGCTGCCTGCACAGGGTTTAACAGACAGATTCTCAGAATAAAGCACGTCTTCAGTGAAGATTAACTCCCCTCTGGGGAGGGCCTGCCTGACAACTTGCCCCTCTCATTTGTACATATTACCAGCCCTTTGGTTCCAGGAAGTGTTGTGGCTGTGAGGGCAGATTGGGGCCCGTTGTCTGCCGTCTGCTGTTCTTCCTCTGGTCAGCAAAGCGATGCCAGCGAAGATGGAAGCACTTAAAAAGGCATCATTTGTGATGACTCAGATCTGGAGGTTTGACTTAGGGGAGGTCTGTTAATCCCGCCCCTTCAATTAATCCCCCCAAGACTTGCCATCGAAACCCAGTTAGCTGTCTAATCTTAGAATGAACAAGAGAGCAGAGGACTTGAGGAATTTAAATGTTCCAGGAAGAAAGAGCAAGACTAGCTTGTGGGGAGAGGAGGAAAGAGGATGCTTGGTTCTGTATGCCCAATCAAGAACATCAGACTCATCTGGGAATCTGGGGGGCCTGGTCTCTAAGGCTCTGCAAGGCAAGTGACTTTCTATTATGGGACAGTGTTCGCCCCCCTGCTAAGCTCACAGTAACCACATAACATAACACAGCATGTCAACATAACACTGCGAAGGCATTGCATCAGATGAGGACGGGAATGGCGGTGATTACCCCTTTATTAAGGCTAGACAGAATGGTTTAAAGCAGGGGTAATGAAGTCAAACATCTTACAGAGTTATAACATAGGCTATTACTGCCTACCCCTGGACCTTCCAGCAAAACATATCATTCCAGTGTACTGTTTTCTGCCGCCAGTATAAGCCTTTCTTTCCTAGCGCTTTCTCCAGCCAATGCCTCTCTCCCTGCTTGTGCAATCTCAACAGTCAACTGACAGGAGTGGGTGTACAAATACCCCAGCTCCCTTGCCCCTCTGAAGCAATGACTCAAAACATGTTCTGTGCTGACTCTCACATGGTCGCAACATGATTTAACTCCAGCTGCCTACAGCAGTAACTTGCTCATCTACACATTTTTATTGGCTCTCTTCTCCCTGTCTTACTTTCCCATCTTCTACAGGTGTTTTCTAGAATCACTTCCTGAGTAGAATATCTGCTTTCCATTTTTGGTCCCAGGATCTTTTCAAAGTATGGGGAACAGTCTTTAAAGTACTGGAAACATCTCACCTACAAAGGTGTGACTGTTGTGTGGCTTCCCATGTGGTATGCCCCAGTTCCTGAAACACAAAGTCAGAACTGGAAATCACAGAGTCCAACCCAAAGCTCTAGTGACAAGTCATCCCCTGGCCTCTCCTTACATATCTGTAGTCATCAGGGGTTCACTGTCTCCCATGCCAATCCATCACATGGCTAGGTGGCTGTCATGTTCAGAAAGTCTTCTTTTCTGTGATAAAAGCTACCTCTCTAAAACTCATCCTCAGTGGACAAATTCTGCTTTGTGGAGCTACGTACTTAAGATAGTGAAACTCAGCAAGAAGATAAGGAAGTAGGTTGGGTGGATGCAACAGAATCTCCAGGTGAAAGAAGGGGTAAATGATGTAAATGGTTTGAAATTGCACAATTCAATTTATAATATTTAAAGCTGAGAAATGAAAAATAAATACTATTTTCCATGATACAAACAACAGCTTGATGACATCTTGGCTGATGGGATACCCAGAGGTCAGAGCCACTTGTGCCCTTTCAGAGGACAGGTACCAGAATCCCCAGGACATCAAGGAGTTTTATGTTTATCAACGGGGGACACGCTATTGGTTAAGTAGTAGAACTTAGTTTGATATACGTCTTACAGATTTGCCTTCAGACATATGAAGACAGCTGAATGCCTGCCCCTGGAACCCTTCCTCTTAGCAACAATCACCCCCAGTTCTTCTAGCCACTTCTCCTGGACTCAGGTCACAGTTCCCTCCTTGTTCGGGTCACTCTCCTTTAAGCTTCTTCCCAAATTGGCTCATCATGTGCTTTTCAAACTGTGCATGTACATCTGGGAAAGTAATCGGAGATAAGGTAGGGATTAGGTGAAACCTTAGGAAAAATGTTATTTTAAACCAGAAAATTTAATATTAAAGAAAACAAGAATTTTTTGGCAAGTGGACTATAATAGCAGAATAAAAATCTTAAATTTTTAAATGTAAAAATTCAGGAAACTTGAGATATACCTGTAAGCCCTGGTTGCTTCAGGGAATACCCCAAAATCATGGGGTTTATGAGTTCACATTCCTCTGCCTTTATCAGTGTTTTGATTGGCAAGTCTGAGGATCCCTGGGATGTCAATGTGTCCCCTGAAAGGGCAATGCCCAGAAGAAAAACCAAGTGGAGGGGGCAGTTGCCTCTCTGTTATAGGGCATATATAAGGAGCAGACATGCAGCCTTGCCTTATTTATTACTGGCCAAACTTTAACCAGGCTGGAGCCAGCCTTGGAGTATACAGAAAGGAGAGTTTAGAGCTTGAATATCTTGAAAGCAAAACCAGTGGAAACTTTTCAGCGAAAATCTGGAATTTCTGGGCTACAGTCCCCCATGTTCTGGATGGAGGCAGGTCTGCTTATTTTTGTTTGGACCTCAAAATATAACATTTCTTTTTAAAACTTCTATAATCCAAAGAGCATGTGGTGATTTCTACAGTGACAATATGTTCATTTATTCATTACTTCAACAAATATTTATTGAGCCTCTAACCATATGCCAGAAACAGTGTTTGGCAAATAGAGGTCCCCACAGATCTACTTTAATGACTAAAATCTGATGTATCATTAACATGCCCGCCATTGGCATGTGTCCGTGTGCATGTGAGTGTGCGTGTGTGTGTGTTTGTAGGGCTTATTCCCTTAAGCAGGCCAAAGGAGGTCACTGACAGTCATGTTTATATATTTCCCTTGTTAAACAAAGCCATTTCCTCATAGTTTGAGAGTATTTATAAATTCCCACCTTGAGTTCAAATTAATGAAGTACAATGACGGGTGGATTTCAGACAGTGCAAGCTGGTTTGACCTCAATGGTGATAGAAAACATCTGAATTTAATTCTGTCCCTGTCTACCCTATTCTTCCCTCTTTCTCTGACCCATCCCAGGAAGGCACTCAGGGGGTCCATTCTCAGTGCTCAACAATGAAGATCTGGCACTCCCCAGCTCAATTAATCTCTACTTTTTTCCAAAAATAATTCACACAGCTTAGTAATTTTCAACCCTGACTGCATTTTAGAATCATCTTGGGAACTTTTTAAAAAAGAATAATGCCCAAGTCTTAAACTCAGAGACTGATTCAATTGGTCTGGAGTGTGGTTCAGGTATCAGCCTATTTTTTTTTTAAATTCCCCATGTAATTCTAAGATGCATCTAGTGTTGGGAACCACTGATAGTCATTTCCCTCTGATACCTGTGGGATTGCTCAGATAGGCCACAGCCTTGCTGATGGCATGATGACAGCTAATGAGTCTGAACTAGGTCACAGATCTCAGCTTGGTGCTGATGCTGAGTTGGTATTATCAAGTATAAGCTAGGTTCCCAGAATGCTGCTAGATGCTGCAAGGAGTAGTTGCTTAAGCTCTGAGCTTCATTCATGTCATCTGTACAATGGAACTGTCTCCTCCTGCATGGAGCATGCTGTGTCGATCTACAGGATTCCTACAGTGAAAAGAGTTTAATGAGAACACAAGGCAGCAGGCAGGGGCTGCTTTTGGTCATGGCAGCCTTTGGAGAGTCATCAAATCATATAGCATATTCACCCATTTATCTCTTCAATGGCATCCCCAAATGGGAGTGTTTTAGTCTGTTCCTGCTGCTATACAAAATAACTTAGACTGTGTGATTTGTATATGGCATAAATTTATTGCTGACAGTTATGTATGGTTGGAAGTCCAAGATCAAGGTGTCAGCAGGTTCGGTGTCTGGTGAGGGTCTGGTTTGGTGTCTGGTGAAGGCTTTCTAGATGGTGCCTTGAATGTTGTATCCTCTGGAGAGGACAAATGCTGTGTCCTCACATGGCAGAAATGAAAAGGGATCTAACTACTCTTCTCTCTTTAGTAAGGCACTGATACCTTATGCACGAGGGCAGAACCCTTATGGCCAAATCACCTTGTAAAGGCCCCATCTCTTAATACTGTTGCATTGGGGATTACGTTTCAACGTGAATTTAGAAGACACAAACATTCAAACTATAGCAGGAAGAATTAAGAGGCATTACAGACATGTGTCCTAAACTGAAGTGGACACTAAGAAGTTGTCGTTGGCCAGTCTCACAATCAGGCACTAGGGCCATCATAGGCCATGACTTGACTACCACTATTTTCTCATATTGTTGGTATCTGGGAGGCAAGGAGCAGAAACCCTTCAAATTTGCACAAGAAATAAAAGGGGGACTATTTATTGCACGCATCTCTCAAAGCCACGAAGAAGGCACCATGAAACTGGACCTCGTGGGGGATTGGAATCAGGGCCCCATAGCCTTGAATTGCTCCTTTTCTCCTCATCTTCATCTTTTTTTCTCTGTAAACTGCTTTCTCTCTGAAAAGCAGCCAGCCAGCATTTCCTGAGTCTACACTAACCACAGTTCATGCAGCCGATAGAAACTGACTAGCATTTTGCAAAAGGCCAATTCCAAGTGTTGGGGTGCAGGGGAGATAATCTGATTGGCTCAGCTTTAGTCAGCAGACCACCCCCGTCCAACCGGCTGTGTCTGTGGCTGAGATCTTGTGATATAAACAAGGCTGCCAGCGCCCCTCTATAGGAAGGAATCCGGTGTTCTTAGAGAAAGGAGCCACATGCTGGCGAGACACCCAGTTGGTGTCTTCTACAGTCACACACAGTGTGGTTTTGGCAAAAGTTAGTCTTGAAGATGACTCCATGACTGGTCTGAGAGTGTACTGTTCTCATGCCTAAAACCAGAAGTTGCCATCCAGCTCAGGCACCCCTTCAGGTAAGAAGGCAGGAGGTGAGGGCTCTACCCTGGGTGGTGGTGGATTAGATGTTTCTGAAGTCTTTCCCACACCCTTGTGCAGCTCTTGGGAGTGCTTGGTGCAAACAGACTCCAACCTAATTACCAGCCGGAATTAATCAATGGTATTCCCAATTGCATGAGCCCTGCTAGCCAGGAATGTCTCCGAGTTGAAATTCTTAAAATACTTTTGTTTATGAGGAAGTTTTACAGTTAACTTTTTCCAAAAGCCAGCAAGAGGAGCAGTCCCTGCAGACATCTGAGAGTTCTTTGGTTGTCTTAATTCACTCATGATGTTTCATTAATATCAATTTTCTCCCTGCAACCCGGCCTGGCAGGTTCTTTTTACATGTATTCCATTCTCCCAACCTTTTGACGGGGGGTGGGGTGGGTGGGTGGGGCGGTTGTTGTTGATGTTTGCTTTAACTTTCCCCTGGGGTTCTTCCTCCATTTCCTAAGAAATTCTCCTAAATCTCCACGATGCACAGGTCTTTGGAATCTAACAGCTTCATTTAAAAAATAAAGGGCACCACAGACTTTATGGATTTTTGTTTTCCACTTGGAAGTTGTTCCACAAGAGAGAGGTTGGCAGGGAAATCCGAGAGAAACAGACCCTAATCTTGTTTATTGATCCTACCATTGAGGCTAAAGGTACAGAAACTCCATCTTCTTCTTGCTGATCCTTCCAAATTCTCCTAGATTCTCCCAGTCTCTGAGCATCATCTTGCTAGGTCTTCCTTGCTGCAGATAGGCTCTGGCAGCCTTACTTATATCACAGAGGGACAGTGAGAAGGATGAACAGAAACATCCTAATCTACCACCACCCTCACCATGATCAGAAGTAGATTGGAGGCAGTTCCATCTGGCTTGTTTCCTGCTGTCTTGCCGCTGCATCTTGACCCTGCAGTCTTTGGCTTGCTTGCTCTCAGATCTATTCACTGTCCTTCCCCTGCCCTTTATCCCCAAGCTCCCTTGCCAACTGGCTTTTGGGTAGATTTAGCCAATGGAAGGCACTGGCACGAGACTGGAGGATGGGAGGAGGAGGAGAGTCTAGGTATTTCTCTTTCTCTTTATTTGTCTCTAGTGGCATCCCTGGCAGTGACAAGGTCTCTTCCATGTCTTCCAGGGCCAGGCAGCCCTAGCGGTGGATCTAGCTCCCTGTGGACAACTCTGAATCTTGAGTTTTGATTGCAACACATACCCCTGTTTTCCCTCCAGCCCTAGCAGTGGTAGCAGCTTTCTTCTGTGGCAAATCTCTGGGTTGTGTCATCATCCCTGGCTTGGCTTCCCAAATCTTTCATTACCTGTGTAATCATTTCACTCTGTTAAATTCCCTATGTTTGAATCACCTAGAGCACTTTTTATTTTCCTGGTGGATACCGACTGATACATCTACTCACTCAAGATTAAATATCTCTGCCTGCTTGTAAATCAGTGTTTCTTGAACTATCTGTTGCAAAGGACTATTTACAAATATTTCTCATCCATCATAGATTGACATGGTCCTGCTGCATAGGGCTGGTTATGTAGCTTGACCACCTGCCATTTATGAGGCAAGTTCGACAATAACTGAACTGGTGTATACGCTGTTCAATGAGACAAGTTCTCTGAGTATGCATTTGGACATCACAGCAATGTAAAATTGCTAGAAACATCTCTAAACATTTACTGTCAACCTTTGTAGTTGTCTCATCACAGATCTCCTACAAAGAGTTTGTAGGCTGTGGTGAGAGCATGGGTCACCCTTTGAACAGCACTGCTCAGGGATACTTTTTATTCATGTGTGGGACCATCCCATAGTTTGAGGAATCTGGATACAGCATAGATCAAATAGTCTTTGGGTTATGTGTAAGTCCCTGTCAGAAGCTGTATTTCTCTCACATGCCATGTTCCCCACAACTTCCCCATGATCTTCCCAATAAGGAGAGCAACAGTGACCATCTTTTACCAGAGACTGACTTCCTTTTTAGGCTTTAGACCATTTCATCCTCACGACAGCCCCATGATGAGGTGCCATTATTATCCCCATTTTACAGAACAAAAAGGTGAAGCTCAGAGAGGTTAAATAACTTGGCCACGATCACAAAGCTCAAGAGTGACAAGCATGCCTGACTCACTGCCCTGGGTCTTAGTTGTCACACTGAATTGCCTATTCATCTTGGATCCTGAGGCATAAGAGGAGACATCATTAAAGATCTGAATAATCAAGTGAAACGATGCATGGTACATTCCATCTCCTTAAATAGGGTTCCTCATGAAAATGCCCTCCCATGGACACCCGATCTTCCCCAGACAAATTGTCCCCGTCTGCACCCTCCCTCAGGAAGCCTTCCCCGGCTCTTCCAGGCCACCTTTCTCTGATTTCCTATAGCTCTGATAGGGCACACTGCACTCTCTGAATTCACATTGAATACCACACAATCCTATTGTCCCCAGACTGTACTTTAAAGGCACTTCTTGTCTCCCATGAGTTTAGAAGTCCTTCAAGAACAGAGGCTTTGATAATAACAGTGGCTTCTGGCACACAGCTAATATTTATTGAGCACTTCTGGGCGCCAGGCATAGCTTTAAGCACTTTCCCTACAATAACTGGCTTAATATTCACAACAATATGGGTTAGGTACATTTTTCATACTCTTTTGACATGTGGGGAAACAAGGGAGCTTAAGAAAGTCTCCTGTTCTCTTATTTCGGACTGCTGTAACAAAGTACCATAGACTGGGTGGCTTCAACAACAGAAATGTGTTTATCACTGTTTCGGAGACTGGAAGTCCGAGGTCAGGGTGCCAGCATGGTCAAGCTCGGGTGAGAGCTCCCTTCTGGGTTGGATACTCACCATATTCTCATGTGGCAGAAAGAGGGTGAAAGAGCTCTTGGGGGGTCCCATTCATGAGGGCACTATCCTCATGACCTAATCACCTTCTGAAGGCCCACCTCCAAATACCATCACATAGACACAAACATTCAGTCCATTATGCCCAAGTTCAACAAGGAAGAGCTGGACTGATATTTAAACCCTTGGATTGTTGGCTTCCAAAGCCTGTGGTCTTAGCTACTGTGCAATAGTGAGTTCTTGAATTTTCAAGGTACCTCCACATCTGTTATCTAAGTAGGTTCTCATGGTGCTTCAAGGAAGGAAGGAAGTACAATCATTGAGAGTGTCTTATAGCTGGGAGGGCCCCTGGAGAATTTTTAACTTCCCCATTATGCAGGAAAAGAGACCATGGCCCAGGGCAAAGTGATGTGTGAAGAGCAAGCCCATACAAGAAACACTGGTGAGTTCTCAGTCCCAGCATGGAGCTCTCCCCTCTGCCCCAGATGCCAACAGCAGGCAGGTGGATATTCATCTGACCACTGAACTCACCAGAGTACCATGCAATGTTTTCCAGGACTCATGCCAGGCCAGTATTGGTGTTGGAGAGATCACAAAGGCCATGGATGCTGGGAATAGTCTGTGAAGATGGGGGTTTCCAAGGAAGGAAAGGAAGCTAAGCATAGAGTTGTGATCTTGCCTGGGAGTCAGAAGACCTGGACTTGAAACCCAGTTTTGCTGTGTGAACTTCGGCACATTACATAACTTCTCTGAACCTCAGTAGTTTCATCTGCAAAATGTTCTGGGTTTTGGAGTAGCTGACATGCACGAAAGTCTTAACAGTGCTGAGGACATTGAACGCATCATCTCATTTAGCCCTCAAAATAACCTTCCGAGGCAGGTGTCAGTGTTATCCCATGAGCGTGGGGAAGCTCTGTAGCATACCCGGGGCTACAATCTGGCAAGTGCAGAGCCAGGCTTCCCTCCCAGATGTGACGTCAGGGTCCAGCCACATACCCACTGCAAAATTTACAACACACGGGAAATGTTTAGCATAGGGCCTGGAGGATTATCTTTGAGTCTCTTCCCCCTCCAGGCCTCAATCTTCCCATCTATTAAATGAATGAAAAAAACTAGAGCAGTGCGTACAAGCTCAAATGTGGATGCCCACCAGGCAATTGCGGAAGTCACGGATGCTCTTCGCCAAATGGCTGCAGCTCGCTCCCTCCTGGACACATAGTAGGATTGCACTTCCTGGGCTCTGTCACTGGGCGGGGCCTGTTACTGGTTCTGGCCAATTGAGTTGTCAGCAGAAGCGACCTGTGCCACTTCTGTGCTGGGGCAATTAATTGCTGGTGGGAAACCCTCAGAGCTCCTTTTCCCTCCACCATATTTAAGATACCGGCTGCTCCAATAGTCTGGGTCCCAGAGTGAGGAGACTCAGAACTGGCTCCTGGCCAAGCTTCAATGGACTATAGTGGAATTGTAGAATGAGTGAGAAATAAACCTTTTTTTTTTTTTTTTTTTGAGACAGGGTCTTGCTCTGTTGCCCAGGCTGAAGTGCAGTGGCACGGTATAGCTCAGTGCAGCCTCAAACTCCTGGGCCCAAGTGATTCTCCCTCCTTAGCCTCCTGAGTAGCTGGGACTACAGGTACTTGCCCCCACACCCGGCTAATTTTTAAATTTTGGTAGAGATGCGGACTTGCTATGTTGCCTCAAATGATTCCCCTGCCTTGACTTCCCCAAATGCTGGGATTATAGGTGTGAGCCACAGCGCCTGGCCAAATCTTTGCTTTTTAAGCCACTGAGATTTGGGGATGGTTTGTTTAGCATAACCCAGCATACCCTGATTGCTACCACAGATAATATAAACAAATGAAATGGGTTAAGCATTCAAATTTTATTAAAATGCACGACTCTCTCGTTTTAGCTTTTTTGTTGTCTCTCTTTTGAGGGAAACAAGAGGATGAGTCATATTCCACTGTCTTCTTCCCACTTCTATCAGACAGACAGTGACACAATCATCATAAGTGGCTCCTGACACTTGTCCTCTGGGCTAGGGGGACACAGGGACCAGGAAAGGGGTGATTGTGAACCTGAGGAAACAGCTATTCAGTTCTGATCCTGGCTGTATGGAAATATGAGCCTGATTTGCCAGACCTGATTGTTTTTCAACACAAACTAAAAATCCAGGTGTTTATAGGAAATCTTCCCATCTGTACAAGTTGATAAATAAATAAGAAAAGTAGTAACAAATGTTCAGGTCAAACAAAAATGTGTCAGTTGGCTGCGTGAGGCCTGTGGAGCACCCACTTGAATCCCCTAGACCGGAAGGTCCACCATGCCCCATCCAGCTCTGACTTGCATGCCACTCTGGCTGGCCATGAACTCCCTGCAGGCTGGGACATTGGTCATTGCTGTCTCAGCTACACCTAGCCCAGCATCTAATAGTAAGGGCTCAGTAAATGTGTGATGAATAAATGGGTAAATAAGTGGACAAATGAATGAATGACATTCAGTCTGGAATGGGGGCCCAGGAAACTGATTATCTCAAGGCTTAGGGCAGGGACACCAGAGCCAAACTCCATTGAGTCCTATTTGGGTGAAAATGAGCGTTGAGGCCGTGTGGGGTGGCTCACACCTGCAGTCCCAGCACTTTGGGAGCCCAAGGTGGGTGGATCATTCAAGCCCAGGAGTTGGAGATCAGCCTGGGCAACATGGGGAAACCCTGTCTACAAAAAATACAAAAAGGAAGGAAGGAAAGAAAGAAGCAAGAAGAAGGAAGGAAGGAAAGAAGGAAGAAAGAAGAAGGAAGGAAAAAGGAAGAAGGAAGGAAGGAAGGAGAGAGAGAAGAAAAGAAAGAAAAGAAAAAAGAAAAGGAAAATAAGCACTGAATGGTGAGACCAGAAGGATTAGGAACCTGCTCCTCCTCAGCATCTTCCCTGAGGCTAGGCCCTGCCAACTGTCCTGCTCCCCACATACTTGGGGCTCCAGGGCCCAGCAGGCTCAGCCTGAGCTGGATTTGACCTGATTCCCCACCCCGCCTCCTGCAGCCCCCATGTCACCCACCTGTGCTATCCTGTACGCTGCTCCTGGGACTTCAGGCACAGTCTCAGTCTCCTGCACCCAGAATGGTCTCTCTGCTCTGCTTCCTCCCATGCCCACTTGCCCTTGTTGAGGTCTAGCTCATGGCCCACCATTCATATCTTGGAGGCTCCTCTGATTCCGAGTTCCTAGGATAGAGGACCGCACAGAGTTGCTCGGTGGAACCCTATTCCAGGAGACACTGCTACAGGCAGTACTATATAGTATCGTGGTTGAGTTTAGGCTCTGGAGCCAGATGGCACAGGACCACATGCTAACTCTACCGCTTTCTGACTACGTGTATGTATTAGTTCCCCATTGTTGCTGTAACAAGTTGCAATACATGTAATAGCTTAAAACAACACAAATGTATCATCTTACAGTTCTAGAGCTAAGTTTAAAATCAAGGTGTGGAGAGGTCTGCATTCCTTCAAGAGGCTTGAGGGGAGAGTCTGTTTCCTTGCCTTTTCCAGCTTCTAGAGACCGCCTGGATTCCTTGGCTCCTGACTCCTTCCTCACAACACTCTAGCATCTTCTTGTCATCACATCCCCTCTAACTCTCTCCTGCCTCTTTTTTAACAGGAACTTCTGATGATGTTGGGCTGGCTCTCCCCATTTTAAGATCCTTAACCTAATCACATCTGAAAAGTCCCTTTGCCATGTGAGGTAACATAATCACAGGCTCAGGGATTAGGATATGGATTTTAGGGGACGGGGCTGTTCTTCAGTCTACCTCAGTATATATAAATTTAGGTGAGTTAAACTCAGTTGCCTTATCTATCAAATGGCAATAACAATTGCCTCTAACTTCAGAGAGTTGTCTTGAGAATTAAAAGATTTAATACGTATCAAGGCCTCAGCCAGTGCCTGGGTCATAGTAAACGCTCAATATATGTTAGCTCTTCTTACTGTCATACTGTAAAATAAGGGTTCCATGGCCAATGAAGTTTGAGAAAGGCAGCATACTGCATCTGCATCTTGGAGATTCGTGATGCCCCTCATTGTGTTAAAGGCTTTGATAAATCTTGCAGAAATAAAGGCTCCTGGTGGCTAGCTCAGCATATGAATGTATTTGACCTTCTAATGAAACCATTTCTTCCACAAAGCATCTATTTAGATCCTCTATATTTAGAAGTTGGGAAAACTTGGCCCAGAAGTTTTCTGGTACTTATACAAGTGACAGCAATCAACAGAAGAGTACCTGGCAGAGGCAAAGAATGCAAGTTTCTTTACAGGCCCCAGCCCAACACATGTGTTCATTGACATACAGGACACTCATTAGTACCCCCAGCTGGAGAGGCAAGCGGCTGTTCCCTTCAGGTCTCCCCCATGTGGCCTCTGATTAGGATGAGGGTACTTCAAGAAACTTCTTTCTGTGCTTACAGGTGGAAAGGTGTTCTTATACCCTCGGCCCCTCTCAAATATCTGGCTGCTTACTTCCTGCCCTCCAGGTGCAAATAATGAGAACCATAACAACTCCAGCACACACCTGAGCGCTTGCTGCAGGGAAAGGTGCACTTTTCCAGGTGCAGTGGGCTGAAGGATGTCCCCCAAAAACCTATGTCAACCAGAATCTCGGAATGCAACTTTATTTGGAATAATGGCCTTCAAAGTTTTAATTAAGGTAAGAATCTCAAGATGAGATCATGCTTGATTAGGGTGAATCTAGAAATGATGTCTTTATAAGAGACAGAGAAGGAGAAGACATACAGAGACACAGGGAAGATGGCCAAGAAAGATGGAGACAGAGATGGGAATGATGCTGCCACAAGCCAAGGAATGGCAGGAGCTACTAGGAGCTGGAAGAGAGAAAGGATTCTTCCCAAGAGCCTTCAGAGGGGGCGTGGCCACACCACCACCTTGAGTTCATACTTCTGGCTTCCAGAACTGAGAGACAATATATTTCTGTTGCTTCAAGCCACCCAGTTTGCAGTTTGCAATCAATAGCCCTAGGAAACTAACCCATCAGGTGTGCTTGTTGCCAGGTTACCACCCTCTGGCAGGTGCAGGCGTGCAGGCTCAGGCTGATACCTCATGGCTGACTCCTGCACCTGTTGCTCAGGCATGTTGCCACCCCTCAGCTTGGTTCAGCTCTGTCTCTCTGGAAGCCTGTGAGCTCCCTGAGGCCAGAGCCCTAAAGATGTCTGGGCCCCTGTCCCCTGCTGGAGCAGGAGTTGTGGCCATTAAAAAAAAAAAAAAAAAAAAGTCTGATGGGCTGGATCAGCAAGTTTCCCTGGAACAATGGTAGGTGAGGATGCATACTGGAGGTCCCCGATGAGTCTCTGAGTCCATGGGCTTGCACATCTGTTTGGCCATCTGAGTTACCAGGCTTCATGAGGGCCTCTGAGGTCAGAAAAAGACCCTGGAGCCCAGTATCTAGAGCTCAGCAAAGGATGAAGTGGGCAAGAAAGACTTGAAAGTGAGTACCTGCATTTCCCCCAAAGCATAAGGTACGGACCATCTTGAGGAGCTCACCATGTCCTAGAGATAATCAGACCCTCCAACCTCCTAGCCAACCAAAGTCCTTAGCAATACAGGGAGAACACAAGTCTTGTGAGATCTCAGACACAACTGGGGTCAGCATGGGCTTGGAGTCGACAAGAGCTGGTTCCCATGGGAAGACCTGGAAGGGTGGGCAGAATTTTTTCAATTCAGTGTTGGCATTTTCCTAATGTAAAAAGAATGCTGTCTTGAAGAGATGTTAGCACTGCCATGTTCAGTGCAGCACTACTCACAATAGCCAAGATATGGAAACAATTTGTTTGTTGACAGATGAATGGGTAAAGAAAATGTGATGTATGTATCATATATCATATATATACACATATATACCCACTCTATATACACACTATATATATACACACACACTTTTGACACCATATATACACACAATATATACACATACACTATACACACACACTATATATATACACACACACACTATATACACACATATTATTCCGTTTTTAAAAACAAGAAAATTCTAGCATTGATGACAATATGGATAAAATTTGAGACCACTACAAAGTGAAATAAGCCAGTCACAAAAAGACAAATACTACACAATGTCACTTATATGTAGAATCTTAAAAAAAAAAAGTTGAATTCATAGTAACAGAGATTAGAATGGTGAATACCAGGGGCTAGGGTGGGAGAGATGGAGGAATATTGGTCGAAGGGTACAAACCTTGAGTTATAGGATGAATAAGTACTGGAGACTTCATGTACAGCATGGTGAATGTAGTTAATAATGCATTGTACACTTGAAAAAAATAATTCTAGCTTACCATAGAATATTCTAGAAGTTCAGCAAAAAGAGCAAATACATCCAGGAAACAGATACCCATACTCCCACTTTTTGGGAAGTTTGGGCAATGCCTGAGCTTCCCTTCAATCTTGTTCCTGGGCACATTATTGATTTTATACAGAGGCAGTGGAGCATGATGAGATCCAGAGGTCTATATTCAAATTCCAGCCTTAGCATACACAGCCACATGACTCTGGTCAGGTCACTTGAACTTTTGTTTCCTGCGTCACTTTTCTCAAATATTTAAGGGTATAATAATAGTACCTACTTGATATGGTTAGACTTTGTGTCCCTGCCCAAATGTCATCTTGAATTGTAATCCCCACAAGCTCCGTAATCCCCATGTGTCAAGGGAGAGACCAGGTGGAAGTAATCAAATCACAGGAGCAGTTTCCCCCATGTTGTTCTCGTGGTAGCGACTGAGTTCTCATGAGATCTGATGGTTTTATAAGGGGCTCTTCCTGCTTTGCTTGGCACTTCTTCCTGCCACCTTGTGAAGAAGGTGTCTTGCTTCCCCTTCCCCTTCCACCATAATTGTGGGTTGCCTGAGGCCTCCCCAGCTATGCTGAACTGTGAGTCAATTAAACCTCTTTCCTTTATAAATTACTCAGTATCAGGCAGTTGTTTATAGCAGTATGAGAAAAGACTGATATACTACCATATAGGGTAGATGGGAGGAATAAATCTAAAAAGTCTTGGAATAGCACCTGGCACATAGTAAACACTATGAAATATTTTTGCTTAACATTACACTTAATGTCTTCCTTTTTGACACCATTAGGATTCTTCACATATGTTTCTCTGAGCTTGCAAAGTGTTCCGATAATGAGTGCACAGTAGTCACTTGAGAAAAGCCCAGAAAACCAGAGGCAAAGGGTGAGGCCTCTTGGTGGTGGTACAGGCTGCTCCTGGAGCCCTTCTTTCAGGGTCCTATTTTCCCTCGTGTGACACTGCAGCAAGAGCTTCTCAGGGAACATCCCCCACACACATACTTCCCCAACCCTCATCTCCCACCCTGCAATGGATACTGTAGCTGCTGTGCCCACATGCCCTGGGCCCCTTTTACCAATTCTGCGAGCTCATCCTCCCCTCTCTCCTGTTTTGCTGCTGACAGCTAGAAGATTCCAGGCCAGCCATTCTCTAGAAATCCCTTATCCAGGATTGTTTGACGTTTCCCTTTGATTAAATTTAGGTTATTCATTTTTGAGGGAAAATAGTAGTTTCATTTTTTTACATGAAAATATTGAATCCGTTTGGAGTTAATGTGGGCTTAAATGGTATGTTTTTTCTCATTTATATGAAACAATTCCTTTATCATATAGCGAATATTTAATTGCATGTTTGTAATTTATTTAATTGCATATTTAATTGCAACTTTCTCCATATTTTTCTTTATATATATGTATTTTCATATTTTATCTTTGCATACAACCATCTTTTTTTTTCTCTCTGGTTTTCTGAGCTCTTCTCAAGTGATTGCTGACACATTTCTAAAGGTTATCCCAAAGCCAGTGTCACACTGTTCTAATTACCATAGCTTCGTAATCTGCTCCAAACTATAGTGCTGGGCAAGTTCCCTCTAGTTATGCACCTTTTCTCAAAAACTTCCTGGTTCTTCTGTTCAATTAAGCCTTCTGGTGCATCTTAGAATGGTGTTATCAAATTCCTTAAACAATACCTTTGTGACTTAGAGGACTTAGAGTGTCCTAAATTATTCTTTTCTTTTCTTTTTTTTTTTTTCTTTTTTCTTCGAGATGGAGTCTCACTCTGTCACCCAGACTGCAGTGCAGCGGCATGATCTTGGCTCACTGCAACCTCCACCTTCCCGGGTCAAGCAACTCTCCTGCCTCAGCCTCCCGAGTAGCTGGGACTACAGGCATGCGCCACCATGCCTGGCTAATTTTTGTATTTTTAGTACAAGGTTTCACCATGTTGGCCAGGCTGGTCTGGAACTCCTGACCTTGTGATCCAGCGATCCACCTGCCTAGGCCTCCCAAAGTACTGGGATTACAGGCATAAGCCACTGTGCCCAGCCTGAGTGTCCTAAATTTCTAAGTCATTCTGGGCAGGAGGGACACCTTTGTAGTGCTAAATCTCTCTGTGTGGGAGCATTGGATGTGTCTCACTTAAGCCTTTTATGCCCAAAAATATTTTGTGCTCTTCGCTATGAAGCTCCTGTCCATTTCTTGTTGGGTTGTTTATTATTTTTGAGTTGCCTACAAACAGGATTTTGTATCTCTTTTCCATTGCCTTTTCTGATGAACTGCCTCTGATAACTATGCCAGCTGACAGTATAGTACAGTGGTGAGTTCAGAACCCTTGCAGAAGACTACTTGGGTTCAAATTCTGGGCCACTCACTCATTAGGCAAGACACCTGATCACTCTGTGCCTCAGGTTTCCTCATCTGTGAAATGGGCCGATTGGGGATACCTGTTTTAAGAATGGACACACACAGAAGGGGGTCTGGCACATAGTTAGTGTCATCCACTGCTATTGCCTAAACAGGCCCCTCACAGACCCCTGGGGCCCTTCTTGGTGATACAGTGGATGAGTGATGGGATGTCATTTGTTCCTTCACACTGCCTTGCCAAACTCAGGCGCTTTCCTTAGGAAGCTGAGAGAGACCCCATTGTTGGGGGAAGAGCCAGGGACCAGGCTGGAGCTGGGCTTCAGTCTCTTCCCCTCACCTTCCTGCGGAGGCTGCACGGCCTTTCTCTCAAGGCATTTCCATGTGTCTCTGGCTCCAATTTCCTCCCTCCCCAGCCAGTGCCCTCCAAGCATCACACTGTCCCCCAGCCACCCTGGTGACACTGGTCCGCACCTCCCTCATCACTTCTCAACTTGGTGTCCACAGGTTCCTCCCCTCCTTCCTCATGGTCATTTCCAGGTGCAGGAATCTGATGGGCTCTGTCTCTTCAAGCCAGTCTGTGGCCTGGCCATCGTGGCGTGGGGGGCAGAGAGGTCTGATTTTAAAAAGTTGGCTGGGGAAGCAGCAGATTTCCTAAAGAAGGAAATTTTGGCCACAATGGGGCATACCCAGTATGTACCTATGACCATGGGCATTTCAGAAGAGTTCCCTTCCTGGCAGGACCCACTATCCACAAGCAGAGATTAAATGTGCATCCAGGAATCACCTAGATCTTATTATCCCTCTTTTCATAGATGGGGAACACCATGGTTCTGAGAGGTTAGGGGACTTGCCCAGGGTCACAGAGCAGCATTGGACAGAGGTGTATCAACAAACCTGGGCCTTCAGCCTCTGGGCTCCTTCCACCTGTGTGCCCACACACCACTGTGTGTCTCAGGTGATCTGCATCGACACTTCCTTCCAGAGGAGCTCAGGGCAGGGCCAGGCAGGCAGGCTGGGTCTTGGTTGAAGTATCTACTGGGAACGATGGAGATGAGTGGGAGCAGCATTAAGGAAAAAAAAAAAGTTAATCCAGGTGGAAAGAATGGTCAAGGCAAGGGCTTAGAGGTGGGAGAAAGCAAAGGATGTGTACTGACAGCCAGGGACACAGTCCAGCCAGGTGTGCTGGGATCCATCTAGGGAAGCTCAAGTAGTGGGGCCAAATTAGGACACTGGTTCAGAGCAACTGTGATTAGCACACACTAAACGGTGTGTCTTGCTATTCCGTGCACCTTCTCATGTTCTCACTGCTTCCCACTGTGGGAAACCTACAAACGCAGTGCTGGCTGTACCCCCACACCAATCTCAAGCCAGCAGGGTATGCTCACTCCACACACTTCTGTCCAAGGAGCCAGTGTTCACCGGCCCTCAGACACAGACCAGTCCTGCTGAAATCTCAGCCTCTTGGTTGGTGGGTCTCACACTGTCTTCTGTGGGGTATGGGGTTCCTGGATGGCTTCAGAGAGGAGGGTCAGGAGAGGAAAAGTCTGGAGGGGCCAGTGGCAGGCCCCCAGCCTCCTCTGTGCAGGCTCAGTTCTCATCCTATTTCATTATCAGGAGTGTTATGTAGGATTCCACTTGAAACAAAGCATTTCAGCATTCATTAAAAAACAACAACCCAGACTACCTCCTCCCCATCCTTTTTGTTGAACTAGCGCCTGCTCACACTCGTTTTCCCACAAAACCCCTACACAAAGGGGTCCTTACTTTATACTCTCTGAAATAGTTGCACTTAACTTTCATGGAAGTCATCATAGTTTGGTGATATATTTATCTTTAGAGACAAATGGTTTAACATCTGTCTTCCTCATCAGACCAGGCTGCCTCAGTCAAAACCTGGCTCCATCCTTTTCTAATTGAGCATCTTTGGAGAGTTCCTTAACACCTCTGTGCCTTCATCATCTGTAAAAGGGGGTTAATAAGAGCTCCAGCCTCACAGCCTTTTTGCAAAGATACAATGAGATATCAATGAAGGAGCATGGCATAGAACCTGGCATAGCCTTAATAGAAGTTCAGTGTTATTACTGTCATTGCCACCTCCATCACCACCACCACCATCATCATTATCATCCTTAAGGCCGAGATTAGGTCTTCCTTGTTTGCTGTTGCATGCTTAGTGCTTAGCACATTATACAACCCACACAGTCCTGTTAAATGAATGAACAAGAGAATAAATGAATGAATATGTGCTTCTCTGCAAGCACGACTGTCTTCCTTCTAAGGAGGCATTCCCTTTGAATCATTAAGTTGATCCTTCTGATTTCTCAGATGGAAAAACAAAACTTTTCTCCAGGTGAAAACATTTAAATGTAGCTGATGAAGGTCCTGAGATGGCACATGTTCTTGGATATTTTGCGGAGATCCTTTATGGGGAACATATTGAGGTGGTGAGGAAGTGTAATTTTCTTGGTGGAAGGTCCAGGTCTTTTTTCTTTGTAATTTTTCATGTGTTTGTCAGTTTTCCGGACTAACTGGTGGGCACCTTCCCCCAGCTGTCTGCATAGATTCTTACTCATCTGGCTGGTCCATTGCTCAATGCAGCCCACTTAGGGTGTCAGGAAAAGCACCCAGGAAGGGAGCTAGGAGATATGAGTTGTATGGGGCTTCAGGCAGGTCTTTACCCTTCTGTGGGCCTCAGTTTCCTCATCTAGAGTATGAAAAGATTTAACTAGATGTTTACTAATAGAGCTCCAAGTTCTAAGGGAAGCTGCTGGCTCAAAGTTAAAAAATTTCCAACTCTGGGAAGGTCTTCTGGCTTTGTGCTACTCAAGCTTTGCCACTTCCATCATCATTGGCATTCAGGTGCCCACAATGCCCCACATCCTCAAAGTGTAGTGACTGGTATAATATCTCTGCTTATAGAATAAATGCACAACCCAGGGCATAAATCCATGCACAGATAGAGTTTTAATACTGGATTCTGGATGCAACACTGCAGGAGGAAATTGAGGCCTGCAATTCAGTTCTTCTGCACCAAAGGGTTGGTGGTCAGCCCCTTGGCACTGGAGGGAGATCATCCCTCAATCAAGAGTCCCAGGCTTTCACTTTTCCAGATGAACTCTGAAGGGTGACTAGAAAATTTATTTGGTCCCTAGAGCCTCTTAGAGGATCATGGGATGACCCATCGAAGGGGCAGGCAGCCCACAAATGATGCCCCTGATCTTTCCACCAGAAAGGAGATACTCCAAGTGTTCCGGCTCAGCCTGCAAATGCAGGGCATTTTGGGGGCAGGGAGGGACAATATTAGGTGTGACATCAAGGAGTGTCACTCATATTGTTCTCCTATTTAGTGTTTAGGGGATTTCCCTCAAGTTTCTTAGTGAAATGGACAAAAAGAAATAGCAAGGAATAAGTCCAATAGAAACTGTGAACTGGAGTGTGGTGCAGAGCAGGGAGGCCAGGGTGGGAATCCAGCTCTACCGCTTCTTAGCCTATCTGAGTCATGGACCTTCCAGACCCACAGGGAATCAGGGACTAGGGAACCATTCCCTTCCTTGTAGAGTTGTTGAAGGGATTTAAATAAATCTTGCATGTAAAAATGTCAAGCACGTAGAAGCTCTGGACATTTAAAAACTCTAACAAAACATGTCTGCCCTAGATACAAAATTCATAAAAAAGAATTTAGAAAAAGAGAAGAGTGTCTTCTACCCCTGATATCATGGGAGAAGTAGACAGATCATGGGGAAGAATAAAATCCAGTGCAGAGGGCCGGGCACGGTGGCTCACGCCTGTAATCCCAGCACTTTGGGAGGCCGAGGTGGGTGGATCACAAGGTCAGGAGATGGAGACCATCCTGGCCAACATGGTGAAACCCCGTCTCTACTAAAAATATAAAAATTAGCTGGGTGTGATGACGCATGCCTGTAATCCCAGCTACTCCCAGGAGGCTGAGGCACGAGAATCGCTTGAACCCAGGAGGTGAAGGTTGCAGTGAGCCAAGATCGCAGCCTGGTGACAGAGTGAGACTTCATCTAAAAAATAAATAAATAAATAAATAAATAAATAAATAATCCAGTGCAGGGGAAGTGGGCTGAACAGAGGCTCCAGAAAGATATGTCAAAATGCCTGGAACCAACCTATAAGTGTGGCCTTATTTGGAAAAAGTGTCTTTACAGATGTAATTAAGCTAAGGATATAGAGATAAAGAGATCCTTCCTGACTATCTGGGTGGTGCTAATACAGTGCCAAATGTCCTTATAAAAGAAGGACAGAGTGAGATTTGAGGCAGACCCAAGAGAAGGCAATGCTATCAGGTAGATGATAAAGCCACAAGGCAAAGAATGTCAACTGTGACCAGAAGATGGAAGAGGCAAAGAATGGACTACCCCCAAGAGCCTCCAAAGGGAATGTGGCCCTGCTAACACTGAATTTCGGACTTCTGGCCTCCAGGACTGTGAGAGGATAAGTATCTGTTGTTTTAAGCCACCCAGTTGGTGGTGAGTTATTACAGCAGCCACAGGAAACTAACAGGAGGTGTGGCCAGACATTCAGCTTTTACCATCAGAAAACAAAACAATCAGCAGCCTAAGCTGACCCTTAATTAAGCTTAAGGAGGCTTCTACTGGCTGCCATGGCAGAAGATCTTGAAGGCTGCTACTCCAGATATGTTCTGGTTTTGATCTCCTAACATCCATTTTCGCCTTTTCCTGGCATCTGCATTATTTCTTTTGGAATATTCTCTCTCCTCTTTTGGGTGAGTCTGTAAATTAAGGCCTTTTGTATTCCCCTACTAAGAAGCAAGAAGGTAGCACAATGTTGGTCAACTGGCCTCTCTCTGTCTCAGGACATAGAATCTTGAGTGGAAAACAATTCAAGGGCAGTGCCGACAGGACTATTCAATTTCAGCACCCTGGACCCCATTTTCTAAGTCATTGCTCCAGCCTTCCTATCAACCCAGTGAATTTTCCACTATAGCTTTTCCATCAATTTCTTTGTTGCCTAGGTCAGTTGCTATTGCTTGTGGAGAAGCAAATTGAGTAGAGGAG